>NC_000002.12:96131350-96458417 GCF_000001405.40 Homo sapiens
CAATTTCTGAATAGGAGAAGCTTTCGGTTTTGATGTATCGGTTTCTACTTTATATCATGATCAGAATGTTTACATTGGTCTACTTTCAGAGTTGCAGGTTTTCATGGCATTTCATGGTATATCATAAAATTATCAGGGTAAACTTTCACAACTGTTCCACGAGCATTGGGAAGGATCAGTCTGTTTTCAGGGTACAGAGTCACTTGTCACCCCCCTCACAACCTCCCCAGCCTGGTCTGATTCAATATCCATCCCCTCCCCCTTTGTGAGGTGCTACCCACGTGCCCCGTCACCCCTTTCTCTGTGACTCATGTTTGCTGAGAGCCACTGAGAAAGCGGTGTTTGGGGCCTGGGAAGGTCCTTGGGCCCAGGCAGCTTCCCTGGCTGCCTCACCTGGCTAACATGACAGCCCTGAAAGGTCTCGTGCTGGACGCCCTCCACCTGCGGTAGGCCTTCCTGCTCCAACCCCTAAGCCAGACTCCCACCCAAACCTCCTCTGCCCCTCCCTCGTGGGGCTCTTCCTGCCTCCTGAACCAGACCATCAAGCCCACAATGAGAGAGACCCCACCATCACCAGGATCTGATCCCCGGCGCCACACAGCCGCTGCCAGCACAGGAACCACAGCCCACCTGCCTCCAGCCTCCACTCTCCCATGGCCACAGTCTGTGTTCCTTCTGCCTGCTCACTGGCACCACTGGCACATGTCCCAGCCCCACAGTGCTGCCCTCAGCCCGTGGCCCAGCACTTGGCTTGTGCAGCCTGCTACCTTGGGGTCCCACTTTGGCTCAGCTCCCCAAGCTGGCACACAGCCCCAGTCCATGGTGGTGGTATCTGGTACATGAGACCGCTGCTAGAGTACTCAACAAGCAGGTATCATGGGCACTGCCTGCCCCATCGCCAGGGAGAGGACAGTGTCAGGGATGAGAAGCGAGACAAAGCAGGTGGTGGCGCCCTAGCTAAGGCACAACTACAGGTGGGTAGAGGAAGGCCTGGGGCCCAGAGCAGCACCCAGAGTACCACCTCCAGGTACCAGGTACCAGACAGAAGTGAGACCCCCACCTTCCCCACAGGAAGCAGGCAGGTGATGGGGAGGATGGATAGCCTCACCCATGGGGACCAGGCGACTTGGGCCCAAGCCGTGCTGTCCCCTCCCCGGCACCAGCCTGTCCTGCGTGTGGCCTGGCTCACCTGGCAGGATCTCGTTCCAGTTGACACGGATATAGCGGTCCCGGTCGGCCCGCGTGTGCTCGTGCCAGAAGCCCAGCACATGCATGAGCTCATGAAGGACAATGCCCCGGCCCTTCTGGAGACACGTGGGCGCCAGGGAGACCACCTGCATCCCTCCACTGCGCCCCACACTCGAGAAGCACCTGCAGGGTGATGAGAGCAAGTGGGGTAAGTGCCAGCCCAGATCCCTCCGGACATACAGACCTGGGCTCTCCCTCCCCACACAACACAAGATAGACAAACTCCCAACAGGCAGGCCCCACTCTGGGCTCTAGTCTCAGGTTCACCATTCTCCAGGCCCCTTTACTGCCTGGACTTCTGTGAAATGGCCATACCGGACCCCCATCACCAGCCTGGGCTGCAGGGAGGCTGCAGAAACTGATATATGAACACAGAGGACAGAAGCAGCTTACTAAGTGAGCACACCCTCCTGGTCAGCCCTAAGCCAAGGCTTTCACACAAATTGCCTCAGGCCCCTGACAAGCTAGGAAGCAGGTATCGCCACCACTCGCACCCCAGAGGGGACAGAAGAGGCTCAGAAGTTAGGGGACTTGCCAGGACTCAGTGACTCACGCACTGTCTGCCCCGCAAAACCTCCTCTCCTCACCACCTCATGGAGTCCCCCGGGAGAGGAGGGCTTTGTAAATGGAGGGTCTAGCACCGTTCCCATCCCTTTCCCACATTCCGCCCTGGAGGTCCAGCTCACACTTGGCAGACCCCTCAGGGTGGGCAGGGAGACTGAGCCCTGGAGGATGGGCCCAGGAATACATTTTAGACAATGGCCAAGTTAATTCCGGGCTGAACGCAGAAGCGAGCTGAGATACGCATCCTGGCCCCGGCACTTACCCATACATGGGGATGATGGAAATGAAGTCTCTCTGGTCCTGATAGGTGACAAACCTGATGCACGTGGAACGTTCAAACTCCGCAAGAGCCTCCAGGATGACCTGGCGGCTGGGCTCATCTGGAAGACACCACCTGGCTGAGCCCCCAGAGCCCTGGTGGTCTTTGAGCTCTACCTGAGGGTCTGGGAGCAGAGCTCTGAACTCACTCTCCCAAAATAGCATCAAGAAAGGGCAGCTTAGTGGTGCCAGGAAGAAGCTGGGCCCCAGACAGACCCTGGCTGTGTGGCCTTGGGTAGGTCACTGTCCTCTGCACCGCATGGTCTCAAGGGGAACCAGATCCCCACTCGACATACCTTCCCATCAGATTTTAACCCTCCCTACTCAGGAGACCTTCAGCAACAGAAGGGCATCTGTGGACAGGTTCTTCGGGTGGGGAGGTGGAAGGGATGTGATGGTGTAAGAGGAAAAGGGAAGAGAGGAACACCTGCCGCATTAGGAAGAAGGGGCTGAGGCAGGGAGGGAGCGCGCCATGCTCACTCACCGTACTTGCTGGAGAGCAGGAAGGGGACCTCCACGACACCACTACCACCCATGGGCCATTTGTTGCTGGTTGCTGACAGCAGTCGGAAGGGACTCTGAGGAGAGAGCAGCAGTTCAACCCCTGGGGACAGAGGCCACCCAAGCTTTGTGCCCCAAGGGTACCACACCCCAGGGCACCAGAACCCCAAAGATGTGGGAGTCAGGACCTGTGTGCATGGGAATGGGGGACCATTAGAGATGGGACAGAGCTGTGGAAGGCAAGGGGCCAGCTACATGAACCTTGATGCACAAGACAGTCCCTTGGCCTATGATGAAAGAATTTCAATCTCAAGCAAACAAGAGATTAGTCCCTGAGGATGTTGGCTAGGAGGCCCAGCACCCCAGGGTGCCCTGAATCAGAAGGGCTTGGGCCAGCAGCCCCACTCCAGCATGTTGACAGTGCCCCTTCCAGAGGGGAACAGCCACCAGGCTTCCCTGAACATGGGACGATCATGGGAACAGAGCCATATGGAGTGAAAGTGAGGCAGCACCCTGGCCTCGGCTGCTTACTTCTGCTCTCCAGCAACCAGAGCCCTTCGGTGCCCAGGCTCCACAGCACCCCAGCGTGCCTGTGCCATCGGCTGGAGGCATTTGATTCTGCTCCGGGTGGTCGCACACCACCTGCCCGAGCACTCACTGCATAACCCAGAGGGTCTGCCCTGCCCCCGGAGTTCCTGGGCAGCCTTGGGCCAGCCTCTGGCTCTCCTGCCCAGCCAGAGGCTGTGCCGTCAGTGGCAGCCTCCAACAGGACAGTCTTGCCTTCCCCTGGGTCACTGTCCTATTCAGGAGCCTTCTGCCATTCGCAGTTGCCTGAAACACATGGCTGCCATCCTGGGCACAGTGTTCCCTTTTCTGTTAGCAAGGCGCCCCAATCCCCAGCAACCTTCTCCCTTCAGATGCGGCCCCTCGACCACAGCCAAGATGGTCAGGCTCAACATCACTCCTTGTTCCACCATCCCTAGGTCGCCACTGCCACCAGGCCCTTTATCTGCCACTGGCCACTCTGCCAACCCTTGCTCATCTCTTCCTTTATCTGAGCACCTCCCGAGTGCTGAGCACCTCCCCTGGGCAGGGTACCAAGCTGGGTCAAGTGTTCAAACCTCCTCCTTCAGGAAGCCCTCTCAGGCTGACTGTGCCAGCACTTCAGATACCAGCCTTCCTTAGCATTCAGGCTGGCTTATTCCTATTTCCTAACAGAACAGTCGCTCTGACCTTGACAAAAAGAGGCATCTACCAAGCTATGTATGTCCCTCACACATCAGGCCCCATGGCATCCAGGGTGGGCTCAGAGGACCTGTCGCCAACTGTGGGCTTATCCGCACCCACACACGTCAGTGTGTGCACTCACCGGCCGGATGATGTCCCCCTCGATGAGGAAGCTGCTCTCTGGGGTTTCTTCCAGGATGAGCCCTGGGAAAGGAAGAAGGACGTGTTGGCCCATGTCCCCCAGAACACTGACTCGTGGGACAGGCCAAGCAAATCCCTACTTACTTAAGTCTATTCTTGTGTCTTTCCTAGTGGATTGTTACTTTTATAAGTTCTTAAATAGCCTGATAAAAGTATAGGTCATCGGCTCTCCGAGCCTGGGTGTTTAGTTAAGTCATTAGTTGATGTTTGAGAATGTCAGCCACCCTGTGCGGACTGTCTGCAGGTGTGAGGGGGCTGGAGGACAAAGACAAAGGAGACTGAGGCTTGGGGTCTGTCCCTCTCCTGACTGTGGAGCTAGAGGTTCCCTGAGCACTGAGCCTGCGTGGCCTCAGGGAAGTCACACAGTCCCTGAGTGTGCAAGGCTTCTCGGCTGGACTGCAGCCTTCCCCTGCTCAAACACAGCCCATGACCCACGCAATCCAGTCCCAAGCCCGGGTCCCTGCTGTCAGGAAGCAGTGGCTTCTTCCAGCCTGAGCCACACTCCTCAGAACAGGCCCTGGGGTCTCCTGCCCACCTCATCCCCCATCTATTCCCCACCCATCTGTTATATTCAGGCCCCTTGAGGTGGCAATTTTGTTCCACAAATTTGTTCCACCATCAGAGGCAGGCAAATACCGGCTCTCGCAAGCCCCTCTCCCCTCTTAGTCCCTCTGCTTCTCATCTCTCCCTGAGCCGGGTCTCCCACAAGTGACTCACAGGGGGAGTGAGGGAAGCAGGAGAGAAGGCAGGGAAGAACCCAGGCACAGCCTCAGCCAGATCCCATGGGCGCTCCAGACCACAAATGACACCGCTGACTTGTACCACCTTTAGGCAGGAGCCAGACTCCTGTCCCTTAGAAGTCACAGTAGGCCACCTTGGGCAGACAAGGGAGTAGCCCCCGGGCATCTCTGGCTGAGGCAGCTCCTTCTGGCCAAGGGCCAGTTTTGGGAGGCAGACAGCTGTGCAGCATTAGCCATATTCACAGTGGCTGGAGATGGGCAGGTGCTTCCCAGGAAAGCACTGGGTAAGGCACGGGCAGCCCTTATGAGACAGCCTCACCGTAGGTGATAGGATAGTTGTTGGGGTCACCAGCATTTGGGAGTTTTCTCCATTGGTTCTGGTTACCTGCAGACCACTCACGGTGATCCAGGGGTGGGATGGTGCCTGGGGCTCAAGGCTCAGCTGGCGCTGGGCTCCCAAGTCAGCTCACAGAGGAAGAAGGGGGCAGATCACACAGTGGCTACCACATCTGGTAGGATCTCACCCACCCTTAGGGCAAGGTTGTCCCCTGTTCAGCCCGATTGCTTCAACCCTGAGTGCTTCAGCCCTCATTGCTCCAACATCTGAACTCCAGTCTCCATTTCAACTGGCTTTGTTCAGGCTATTTATACACCCTCATTCCTCAGCTGACATCCCCAGACAGCAAGGCCCTGAGCCTGACTTTTGTTTTTTGTTTTTTGTGAGATGCTCTGTCGCCCAGGCTGGAGTGCAGTGGCGCAATCTCAGCTCACTGCAAGCTCCGCCTCCCAGGTTCATGCCATTCTCCTGCCTCAGCCTCCTGAGTAGCTGGGACTACAGGCGCCCGCCACCACGCCCGGCTAATTTTTGTATTTTTGGTGGGGACGGGGTTTCACTGTGTTAGCCAGGATGGTCTCGATCTCCTGACCTCATGATCTGCCCGCCTCAGCCTCCCAAAGTGCTGGGACTACAGGCGAGAGCCACCGCACCCAGCTGAGCTTCAGACTTCTTAATCACACCTGCAGACAGTCCTGCACAGGGTGGCTGACAATCTCAGACTGCGACTAACCGCTTAGCTCCACGCCCAGGCCCTTTAAGAGCTTGGTTTTTCTTATAAAAGTAACAATCCACTAAGAAAGATACAAAAAGAAAGAGTAGACTTAAGCAATTGCCCATAGAATTTCCACCCATTCACACCTGTAGTCCCAGCTGCTCGGGAGGCAGAGGCAGGAAGATCACTTAAGGCCAGGAGTTCAAGACCAGCCGGGGCAATATAGCAACACCACTCCATCTCTTAAAAACCACTTAGAGCCCAGAGTAAGCTGGTCCATTTCCTCCCAGGCTCTGCATTTCTGAGTGTTCGGTGTGGTTTTCACACTACATAACGTCGTGCCCCTCCAGGCCGTGAGAAGATGTAGTGCCCTCACCTTGGTTAATTGCAGGAATGTCCTTGTCCCCGGAGGCCTGGGTTCCCTCAGGGGTGAGGCCATCTGGGAAGCTGGTACCACAGGCTCCTGCGCAGCTGGAGGCCAGGGGCGCTCCTAGGATCACACCTGGTCCAGACAGACAGGGGCATACACAGATGCCTGGAGCACCCACCGGTGAGACCAGACAGCAGGACATGGGGTGGGTGTGGGGGATCAGACGGTAAGACTCAGTCCCTAGGAAGAGTAGGCTCCAGCACAAAGCCAAGGAGCCTTCCCAGCCTCCCTGCTCAACCCCAACTGGTGCCAAGGTCTAGATGACCTCAGGGAAGGAGCTCCCTTAGGGGGACCAAAAGGGACCATGTGCCCCACCTATGAGGTAGAGGAGGGGCAGGAAGGAAGGAGGCAGGACAGACCTCGGGTTCTGACGCCCGTGACGGGCAGGGCCAGCCTCAGACCCCACCTTATGACTCTCTCTCAGCCCAGGCTCTTGGACAATGGGCTCAGCCTGGATGACTCCCTGCCTGACCAGGCTGGAGTGGGGACTTACAGCCTACCCCCACCCCAAGACAAGTAGGCCTGGGGCACAACACTTATCTTCTGCCAGGCAGGCCCTCTGCTTCCAGGGCCTTCAGGAGGCCTCCCCTTGGCCCCCCAGGAGCTGACTTCTAGAATAACCCTGGAGAGCTCTGTGCTCTGAGCTACTGAGCTCAGCTACAATCCCTGCAGGCTCCAGCCACAACCTTCTAGCCTCTCCCCAGCTTTCTCCAGGCTGGAGCCAGCAGCAGGAGGGACAGGCAGCCAGCTTACCTGGCAAGGAGAGCAGACCCAGCACCCAAGGCCAGAGACCCCCTACACCCTCCATGGTAGAGCCCTGCTGCCCCTTCAGCAAACAAGACCAAGCCCCAGCAAGACACAGTAACCTAATTGCAGAACCGGCACCACCACCCCCTCTTAAATAGCAGCTGCTCCACCTCCCACCTTGCTCCCCTCAACCGCCTCCACCTGCAGCCCCGCCCCAACCACCTCCACCTGCAGCCCCGCCCCAACCATCTCCACCTGCAGCCCCGCCCCAACCACCTCCACCTGCAGCCCCGCCCCAACCAGCTCCACCTGCAGCCCCGCCCCAACCAGCTCTACCGGCAGCGCCACCCAAACCAGGTCTACTGGCAGCCCCTCCGATGCCTACCTGTGGTTCCCACCCCAGCCCAGTCCCCTTCCTGGCTGTAGCAGGTGAAAGACAGGAGGGGCCCGCTTGGGAGTGTGGCTCTTCTGAGGTTCCTTCCTGCCTCCAGGGGGCAGAGAAACATCGCAGAAAGTTGCTCCAGGCCTAGCTGAGGCCCCAGCCCAGGTATAGACCTATTCCTCCAGCGAGGGAGACCCCCTTTCCTACCCCGGCCTGTGCTTAGACATGGGGAAAGCTGCCTGAGACCCTGGGGCGCCCCCCGTGTATCTCCGGAAGGAGGAAAAGGTCACTGCACTTTCACAAGCTTTTATTTTAGTACACATATAGAAAAGTTCACTATCACAAGCACAGGGCTCCAGGAAATTTCACAAACTGAACAGTGTGCAGCACCCTAGAAAGCCTGCCATGTGGGAAAGGTGGAACCCCCAGATGCCCAGAGCCTCGCAGGGAGTCCACCCCCTAATCCCACAGCAGCTGGCATGATCAGTCAGTATTTATTCCCATTTCACAGATTTGGAAATTTAAACTCCTTACCTATATCCCCCCTCCTCCATACCCCTGAGCCCCAGAGCCAGGTCACTCAGGGCCCCACCTGGATTGAAATCCCAGAGGCGGAGCATGTCAGCGCTGGGCAGCATTTGGGGACACCCCCACAGTCACCTGCACCCAGTGAAGGGAAGCGACAGAGCCAAGAAGAATAGCTATTGTCCACAAGGACCTTTCAGCATTCCCACTGTGCCTGGAATCCAGAGCTTCTCCAAAGATAGGAATCAGAATCACAGGGAGACCATGATGGAGGCAGACGCCCTGCTGCCAGGGCAGGGTATTGACAGATGTCAGGATACACACCATGGATATGCTAGTTAGCTTGTTGTGGTCATCATTTCACAAGGTATGCATATGTCAAAACATCACGTTGTATACTTAAACATATACTACTTTTATTTGTCGATTATGCCTCAGTAAACCTAGAAAAAATAAGTAAAATAAAGAATAGGACCCATCAAAAAACAAATGCACAAGGCTGACCACTTAAGATGAGTGTTCAGGAGGGCGCGGTGGCTCACGCCTATAATCCCAGCACTTTGGGAGGCCAAGGCAGGTGGATCACGAGGTCAGGAATTCAAGACCAGACTGGCCACCATGGTGAAACCCCATCTCTACTAAAAGAATACAAAAATTAGCTGGGCACGGTGGCGGGCACCTGTAATCCCACCTACTCGGGAGGCTGAGGCAGGTGAATCACTTGAACCCAGAGGTGGAGTTTGCAATGAGCCAAAATCGCGCCACTGCACTCTAGCCCGGGGGACAGAGTGAGACTCCATCTCAAAAAAAAAGATGAATGTTCAGTAAAAAAAAATAAAGTAGACCGGGCGCAGTGGCTCATGCCTGTAATCCCAGCATTTTGGGAGGCCAAGGCAGGCAGATTACTTGAGGTCAGGAGTTCGAGACCAGCCTAGCCAACACGGTGAAACCCCATCTCTACTAAAAATACAAAAATTAGCCAGAAATCCCTTGAACTCAGGAGGCAGAGGTTGCAGTGAGCCAAGATTGTGCCACTGCACTCCAGCCTGGGCAACAGAGTGAGACTCTGTCTCAAAAAACAAAAGAATTAAAATAATGATAAGAAATAATCACCCTGCTTGGGGAGAGAAACAGAGTCTTTATTAGGACATGCAGTTGGTCTGAGGATATTTTGCTGAGCGAAACAAGCCAGTCACAAAAAGACAAATCCTGCATGCTTCTACCTCCAAGAGGTGTCTAGAGTAGCCCAGTGCACAGGGACGGAAAGTGGAACGGAGCTCACAAGGGGCTGGGGACTGGGGAGGGGAGTTATCATTTAATAGGTATAGGATTTCAGGTTCGCAAGATGAAAAAGCTCTGGATATCTGTGCACAACGATGTGAATACACTTTACTAAACACTTGATAATGGTAAAGATGACCAATTTTATGTTGCATTTTTTACCACAATTAAAAGTTTAAAAATTTAATAAATAGGAAAGAAGGAAAGGAGGAAAAGAGAGAGAAAGAGAAGGGCAGTTTGCTAGATGACAAGCTATAAAAAGCACGGGGAAGGAAGGAGAGGGGATTGGGGCTGGGTAGGGTGGGATGGGGTAGGGCCAAGGGTGGGGGGTGGGCAGAGGCCTCAGCCACCAGTGCAGCTGTGTGTGAGATGAGGCTGTGTGGTGTGAAGTCCCCTATGACTTAGAGCCCCAGATGTCCCCCACCCACCCAAGCTGGGCATGGGGGTACAAGTGGGTCCCAACAGATGCCTACTCAGCTCCTAAGGAAGGCAGAATAGCAACCCCGGCTCTGCCCAGTTCACACTGGAGTGGCTCACCCCACCCCTCAGACAGCAGTGGGAACAAGAATCACCCTTCATTCGGCCTCACAGAGTGAGCGCCCACCTGTGCCAGGCTCCAGGCACAAGGCTGAGTGGACCCCAGGCCCAGCCGTTATGAGTGTCCATCCTGGTCCAGATGCACACCTCGCATGTGCACACCGGCACATCAGATCAACCTCACTCCTAGGGCCGTAGTTAGCTAACATTTTCGGAGCGCCTACTATGAGCAGGCACTACATGGATTGACTTGTGTAAGTCTACATCCTCAGAGGTGGGGGCTAACAATGAAACTCCATTTTACAGACAAGAAAACTGTATACAGCAAGGTGAAGCAAAACCAGCCCCCGGACTGTCAAACTACACTGCCCTGCCCCACAAGCACACCCTCCCAGGCATTCAGAATGCCGTAAGACAGCAGTTCCCAACCTTTGTGGCACCAGGGACCGGTTTTTGTTTGTTCCTCTGTTTGAGATGGAGTTTCACTCTTGATGCTCAGGCTGGAGTGCAATGGCGCAATCTTGGCTCACTGCAACCTCCACCTCCCAGGTTCAAGCAATTCTCCTGCCTCAGACTCCCAAGTAGCTGGGATAACAGGCGCCCGCCACCATGCCTGGCTAATTTTTGTATTTTTAGTAGAGGCGGGGTTTCACCATGTTGGCCAGGCTGGTCCCGAACTCCTGACCTCAGTTGATCCACCCATCTCGGCCTCCCAAAGTGCTAGGATTAGAGGCATAAGCCACCATGCCTGGCCCAGGATGGTGAGGGGGATGGTTTCTAGGTGATTCAAGTGCATTACATTTATTGTGCACTTTATTTCTATCATTACATTGTAATCTACAATGAAATAATTTTATACAACTCACCATAATGTAGAATCAGTGGGAGCCCAGAGCTTGTTTTCCTGAGACTAGACGGTCCCATCTGGGAGTGATGGGAGACAGTGACAGATCATCAGGCATTAGTTAGAGTTTCATAAGGAGCATACATCCTATATCCCTCCAATGCAGTTCACAACAGGGTTCAAGCTCCTATGAGAATCTAATGCCACCGCTGATCTGATAGGAGGCGGAGCTCAGGCAGTAATGCTAGCAATGGGGTGCGGCTGTAATACTGATGAAGCTGCTCACCTCCGGCTGTGCAGCCCAGTTCCTAACAGACCACGGACAGATCCTTAGAGGTAGCACTGTGCAGAGACAACCCTTGGCTGGATGACACTCCAAATGGCCGAGTGTCCCAGTGAGCCTGAAGCAGGACTGGCTCCCGCACAACCATTTCCAAAGGCCTCAGCACCCCTGCTCACAGGCAGATCACAGCACCCCCTCCCGGCAGCGTCGGCAGGTACCCCTTGGCTTCTGGCGTGGGCGGGGCCCTGGTCTCAGGTCTCCACTGAACCTTAGTCCTATGCTGGGCCCGTAATTGAAGCTCGGCCAAGATGTGCTAGTTGGGTGGGTGTGCAGAGCAATGAATCCCATCCCTGGTGACAGGTCCTCTGCACCAGACACAGGGCCACATGCCTTTGGGGGACATGAAGGAGCTCTGGAACAGGGGACGCTGTGAGCCCCAGCCCTGGGATGTGGGAGAAGAGTAGGGAGGCCATGCAGGCCTGCTGTGAGGAAGTAGAGACCCACACGGCCTGGGAAGTGCCTCTTGTGTGGGCGTGCACACACGCTCCCACAGGAACACCATGCGCAACATGCAGGTGTGCATGGGCCAAGACCACCCACCCCCACAGGACCACACCCTCAGGCACACACTCGCATCCTTCCACATTCCGAAAAGGAAGCGGGGTCTGATCGGGGCAGCACTGGGCCTGGCTCTGAGTCACGGACGGGACCCAGCCTCCCAGAAACAACCCTGTTCAGCTCTGGAGCGAGGTCCCTGTCTGGGAAAAGACGCCAGCCCAGGGAGAACTGGGGCCAAGAGAGCAGCCTTTGTGGGGAGGGTCAGACCTGCCCCTTCCGGCCGCTGGCCCCTCTGCCCATTCACTTCCCAAACCCCAAGGGCACAAGGAAACGTGAGGTCCAAGCAGGCTCCCGGGTATCAGATGAGACCAGATGCTGGGTTGTTGTTTTTTAAATATAACAATATTTTATTGACATATCCTGAATGTTCTGTATAAATATAAAGTGCTAAGTTTCCAACCCCTGCCCACAGGGCTAGGAGGAAGCGGGGGAGGGAGTGTTAAATGTCAGCTGAGCACAAATAATTTTCCAGCGCCAGCACAGGTGTGAAAGGCTCACAGACAGACACACGCAACATGACACACCCATCACTTCCCAAGTCCCCAGCTTCCCCAGGAACACAGGGCTTGGGCTCCAGGCCCTGGGCAGACGAACCCACAGACAGGGCTCCTGGTTGTCACAGCTTGTTCCTTGGAGCTCTCAGGCTGCCAAGGGCTTCAACATGGTGGTGGACCAGGGAGAGTCCACGGTATAGCGTCTAGCTGATTTCTGCCAGAGGATGGGGAGGGAAAGAGCAGACACACCCTTGGTTCCCGACCCCGAATGAGGGCCAGCCTCAGTCCCCCAGCAGAAGAGCACCAGGTCGGAAAGACCAGCATGCCGGCATTCCTAGAGCCCCCATGTGGGGGCTTCTGAAACTCTGAGGAGGTAGCAGCCCTGCCAGAGGTGAGGGGACTGTGCTGGCCCAGAGGGGAGCCCACCAGTCCACAGTCAGCTCCTGCCAGCACAGTGGGGCAGGCAGGCAGAGGGGCACCACCTCAGTGACACAGCACCTGGGTCTCAAACTGCAGCAGCTGCCCCATGAAACTGAAGTTGGGGGAGATGACCCCCCGGCGCTGCTTAACGAAGTCAAAGGCCTCGTCCAGCCGCACACGGCGACTCTGCATGAGGTATGCCAGACAGATGGTGGCAG
Organism: Homo sapiens; assembly: GCF_000001405.40. Classification (NCBI taxonomy): domain Eukaryota; kingdom Metazoa; phylum Chordata; class Mammalia; order Primates; family Hominidae; genus Homo; species Homo sapiens. The sequence goes on from NC_000002.12 coordinate 96,143,978, forward strand.
AGCGCGAGATACCCGCCTGGCAGTGCACCAGCACCCGGCCTCCGCTGTTCTTCACCCAGTCTGCAAGGGAGATGGGGGAGTGGTGTCAGACGGAATGTGCACAGCCCAGGAGACAGGTGCCCCCAGTCCTCTCCTCTGGAGCCCCTCGGGATTTCTGGGCAGAGGTGCCCCCTTACCAATGAAGCCTATGGCCTCCTGGAACCAGGCACTGATCTCCACCATCTGGTTGTCCTCCACAGGGATACTCTTGTAGCGGAAAAGGCCCTCAAAGTGGTTGGGGCAGCTGGCGGACACGTTGAGGACGGCTGTGATGCCACAGGCCTGCAGCCCCTGCAGGTCTGACGAGTGACTGCAGCTGCCCAGGAACAGGTAGGGCAAGATCTCCACAGGGCCACCCTGGAGGGAACAGAGGGGCGGTGAGGCCTTTCCAGCCCAGCCCCGGAGAGCTGGAGCAGCAGCGGGTGGAGACCCCATGGGCTGGCCGAGACAAGAGGACTCCTCAGCCAGTCCTCCTGACCTGAGACAGGTCTCAGGAATGTGCGGAGGACACACCGGGACATACATTTCCCTTCATGCTCCCAACATACACATGCAAACATACACAGACCCATACAGGCACGCGCGAGCAGCCATGCCCCACCCCCTCCCCCAACACACACACGTATAAAAGTGTGTGTATATGGGCAAACTGCTCGCATCCCCAAATGGCAGGCTCTTTCCCTAGAGGCGCCCAGTCCGCGGCGGGGAGAGAGGGAGGTTCGGGGGAGGGGGGTCAATACTCACCTGGTCGTAGACAGGAGCCCTGGAGTCGGAGCGGCTGGTTTTGTCCCCTGTTGGCGGCAGCGCAGGGGCGGGGGCCTCAGAGCACAGATCGGGACAGCAGCCCTGGAAGCCGTCGAAGCCTCCTGCAAGGAGGGGAAGAGCACGATCAGCAGGGAAAGCCGGGCTGGAGTCGGGTGGGGCGGGCCAAGGGCGGCCGGCTTGCTCACCTCGCAGGAAGTACACGGCAGTGGGCCCCGCGCGGGTCTCGTGCAGCAGCGCGGCCAGCAGCACATGAGCCGGGCTGTCGGGCCGGAGCTCCGCCACCGAGGCACTGCCCTCGTCCAGCACCACGGCCCGCGCCAGCTCCCCGCGGACCAGGCGCGTCCGCAGCGCGCGGTCGGGCAGCAGGCAGGCGAGAACGGCGGCAGGAGGGCCGCGCGCGCGGCGCCGCAGCAGCGCGTTCCAAGGCACTGGCCGCGCGGCGCGCACGTGGCGCCGGCAGAAGGCCAGGAAGGGGCGGCAGTCCAGCAGCAGCGTGCGTTCCGCCTCCCGCGGATCCCGCAGCAGCGTGCCCAGCGCCGCGCACTCCAGCTCGCGCGCCGCCTCCAGCCCCATGGCCACCGGTGCCTCTTCCTCTTCCTTTCGGTCTTTCCCGCGTCCCGGGCTCTCGTGGCGGTGGCGCTGCCCGAGCGGTCGACTCCGGGCGCCCTCCGCGGCGGCCCGGGTTAAGTACCCGTGGGCCGGCCTCCGGGGCACCATACAAGGGCAGAGCAGGAAGGCGCTGGCGCCCGCGCCCGCCCCCGCCCCTCACGTGGGGCGCAGTCTGGGCTGACCTGGAGACTTCGGGGCGGGGGGGAGGTTGAGGGGGAAGGCAGGGCGCGGGGACCAACACACCGGGAGGAGGCGGGGACCAGCGACTAAGGGAAGGGAAGGTGTTACCCGGAGTCGGAGGGACTAGCACCCCTCCGTTTTTGCGCCCACCCTTTGACCTGTCCCAAGCCACTCAGTCCTGGGGAACCCAGCTTCTCAGATGCAGGTCCCCCTTTAGGGCCAACGATGACCCTTGGAGTACCCCACCCCCTAACCCCACGCTTCCTCTGCCTTTTCCCTTTCCCTCCCAGAATTTTCCTCTTAGAAATTTGTCACCACAAACATTGACAAATGCCTGCTGCCACGGGTGATTTCTACACTGGATGATGGGGGGGGTCCCTGCTGAGATGTCCTATTTCTCATCTATTTGGAGACCTTGAGCCAGAGGGACTTTCTCTCTCCTCCCCCTCCCCACCCCCCATTGCCTGGATAAGACCAGTACTCAGGGTCTTGCAGTAGGTTGGTGGCCAAGCTAGGCCAGAACACAGTCCCCGGGGCCCAGGCCCCTGGGCTTGGGCCGAAGGGAAATGAGGGGGGGTCCCAGGGCCTTTCATGGGGAAAGCAGGGGTCTGTGACTGGTTTCCAGTTATGTGTAGGGCAAAGCTTCTTCCTCCTGGGTGCAGGGAAAGCCCCCAGGCCCCAGAGAGAAGTACTTCCCCCTGCCACAAGCCCGCCCTGGAGGGAAGTCCGCTGACGCTCCCGGCCCTCCCCAGGCCTGCGGGGATTTCAAGACCTTGGCAAGGGGAAGAGGGAGAAGCAGAACAGAACTGGCCTCCCCCATCCTAGGCCTCCCTGTCCAGCCCCGCCGGGCAGCAAAGTCCAGGGCTAGCACTGCACCCGGAGGACTGGGGGCCTGGGTATCCCCTCCATTCCGCCCTCCCCCAGCCCTGCTGCCGGATGTGGTGAGGCCCAGGTGTGCGTGGGGTGTCTGAGCCACAAGAATTGTTGGCAGTGAACTCCCAAACTCAAGCAGAGAAGTTGAGGTGGGTGGAGACAGCGTCACTGCGCTGGAGCTGCCCTCGCCCTGCCCCCAGCTGCGTGGGATTTCAGAACCCACCCTCCAAGCCCCCAGTCTCCTGAGGCCCTCCTCCGTGCCCTCTGAAAGACCCTTCCGGCTCCCCCACAGACCCCTGTGTCCAGACCGTCTTGAAGAGTGACAGCTGGGACCTGTGGAGAGCCCGCAGCCCTTCTGGACTTGTCTGCCCTGAGTTCCTCACAGCAGTGTGCTGTATGCCTGGTTGTGTGCAGGGCAGCATCGTACCTGTGCAGTTCCACTATGTGTGAGAAGGAGCTGGAGCTTGTGTGTGCTGGGGTCAGAGCCGATGCAGAGGAGAAAAGCCCCAAGGACTCCAAAGGTCCCTGGGGCCACGTCACCCTCTCAGTGTCTCCATCTGTAAGGGGAGCACATCATGGTGCAGCGGCTCTTCCACACTGGCTCCAACGCTCTAAGGCTACTCCACTGTCTGGGCAACTTGGCTGAGGCCCCGCTGTCCCTGGCAGGCCAGTCTGGAGGCTGAGGCAGCAAAGCCCACAACAGAGCCAGGGAGTCTGGGCCACAGATCCCAAAGGCTGATATGAGCCCTTATCTTTGGCATCGGCCTCCAAATGACTTAATGCTTATTCCAGGGGCAAATTACAGAGCGTGCAGAAGGACAATCAGGTCCAGTCTTGCTGCTGGGCCAGGAGCCAAAGCCTTCCAGCTCTGTGGGAGGACCCCAGCCAGGTGGGATCCCTGATTCAGGAGTGAATTCAGCTCAGCCGTGTAAGGGGCTCCAGACCCAACTCCCATGCTGGGCTGGGCCTCTTCCCCTCCTTCTGGAGAATCTGGTATACCTTGCCGGGGAGTTCTGCATGTGGGGAGAGCATTGCTGAAGGTTTGCTCTCATAGCACAGTCCCTGGGGCCTGGCACTCTTGGCCATGACCAGTGGTCTCTTTTTCTTTTTCTTTTTAAGTGACAGGATCTTGTTATGTTGCCCACACTGGCCTCAAACTCCTGAGCTCAAGTGATCCTCCTGCCTCAGCCAACAGAGTAGCTGGGACTATAGGCACGTGCCACCACCCAGCTCAGGACTGGTGATGACTGCCTAAAGTGGCTGCACATATGTCACCCCCTTGAGGCCATTTGTCTTGGGGCTGTCCCCTTTTCAGCTCTGGAACGTGGACTTACGGAGGCCCAGCTTAGCCATGAAGGAGGGCCTTCCCTTTGCCTTCTTTCCCTACTCCCAAACTGGGGAAAGCCCCACCCCCGATTACTGGGTGAAAGCCCAGGGCTGGGGTAAGAAGAGGGGGAGAGACTTACCAGCCCATGTCCCTCTCCTGCTTTTGCTCTGACAAAAGCCCCCCAAGCCTTGGATGCTGCCTGTGGTGATAATGGTGCAGGACGCCTGCTCCTCTCCGCCACCCACTCAGAGTCTCCCCAACCACCGTTCGCCAGAGCCCAGCCTTGGGAGCCACAGCAGAGAGGAGGCAGGGCATTGGGTGTAGGGGTGAGGACACAATGAGGAGGGGTCTCTGCTAGACTGGATGCCCCACAGCCTGAAGGCTCTGGAAGCAGGACCCAGTCCTCGCCACTGGCTGGGAAGGGGCTGACCCAGGTTGGGGGTCCCTGCTCAGAGCTCTCTCTGTTTTTGTTTGTTTTTCTTGGCCTGGCTCTTACAGAGCAGACAATATCAAGTAAGTTTGGGCTCAGCACTGTTTTTAAAATTGAAAACCTGTGAGACTCACCGGGAACAAATGATGATTCTGCATGTTATTCTTTTTATAACCATCTATTTTGACGGCTGTTTAAGCGTCACTGGCTCCTGCCTTTGGGATTCCAGGTCTTTCCTGGCCCTGGCAGCACATCCATCAGCCCCCTGCACAGCAGGTCTCCCTCCCACAGCTGCCTCGCTGCTGCTGCAGAGCCTTCCTTCCTCCTTCCAGCCCCCACCTCCAAGCAGATGCCTCACAGGGGGCGGGAGGTGAGTGGCTTGGCTACAGTGCTTGCGCCAGAATAGGGATGGAGGTGAGAGTGACGGGCCACCCCAAGCTCCGCCTGAGTGGTGAGTCAGGGATGACGTCGGGTTTCCTGTGCCAGGCCTCTGACGAACACACCGATGCGGCGGCCACCCCCACAGGCTCCTGCCAGGCGCCAGGCTCCAGGGACAGCCCCTCTGTGAGGAAGGCGTGTCTGGCACAGAGCAGGGTGGGGGCGGGGGTTCACCTGGGGCACCCAGCCCTTAGCAAGGCCTCCTCCTGGCCAAGGTGAAGCGGGAAGCCTGCAGCCGAAAGGGCTGGTGTCTGTTCCCACACTCTGTCATGCGTCTTGTCACGTGTGTGTGTGTGTGTGTGTGTGAGCAGGACCAGGACCACCCAGGAGCAGGGCTGCTGGGGAAGACACTCTGAGGCCTCCTCAGGGGACCCGTCGCTCAGACTAAATGCATAGGGGCCCGCGATACGCCCCAACCCTGGCCCTGCCTCTCACCCGGGTGCCACCCTGAGCTTCAGGTCCCCTGGCGTGCACCCCCAAGCAGGACATTCGGATGCTCAGACACCTTGAGGCTGCATCCAGACCAGCACTGAGGAGTCCCCAGCCATGCGCGGAGGACGTTCTGCCTTTTTCAAGTCAATCAGTCCTTCTGAGTACATCAAGAAGAAAGTCTCCACGTGGGGCTGGCGTGGCTGTAACTTCTAATACCTGCCTTTCCTCATTTTAACCAAGAGGCTTTGCGCCCCTTTCTGCATTTATCACTTACTCAACCCTGCATTCAGAAATACATTTCAAGAACCTATTATGTACCAAGTACTATTCTACGTGCTGGGGATATAGCAGTAAATCCCAAACCACTGCCCTCAAGGCGCTGACCTCATTGCTTCAACAATATATATTTTTGTGATTATGTTGTGTTCATGGTAAATGATACTAATTATCCACCTAGAGTAATCATATCTTTTCCTTTTAAAGTAAATTTTAGGTTTGTAAAAACTGAGTTGACTTAAGGAAAACTGTTGGGAACAGATGGTACCCAAACATCTTAAAAAGTGAGGTGCATGGCCGGGCGCGGTGGCTCACGCCTGAAATCCCTGCACTTTGGGAGGCCAAGGCGGGTGGATCACCTGAGGTCAGGAGTTCAAGACCAGCCTGGCCAACATGATGAAACCCCGTCTCTACTAAAAATACAAAAAATTAGTCAGGCGTGGTGGCAGGTGCCCATAATCCCAGCTACTCAGGACGCTGAGGCAGGAGAATCACTTGAACCCGGGAGGTGGAGATTGTGGTGAGCCGAGATCACGCCACTGCACTCCAGCCTGGGCAACAGAGCAAAACTCCGTCTCAAAAAAGAGAAAAAGAAAAACGTGCAGTGCAGGCAGGAGATGCCAGAATTAGGCTGTGTTGTCCAGGAAAGGATCCTATGGCCCCTTCCAGCTTTGGGAGGTACGGTGCTATGGAATCTGGTTCCCCCTTCTGCCATGGTTTCCCATAAAGAGAGGAGGCCACAGCCTGAGGAAGGGACTCTGGGAGAGCTCATTGCCAAGGCCCCACTTGCCTGTGGGCCTATCCACCAAAGCAACTGTGTTTGTCTGTGTTCCCAGATGGGCCTGGGCCTGGGCCTGGGCCTGGGGGTGGAAGGGACCTCCTCTCTGAGCTTTTCCCTGGGCACCCACCCCTGGCACACCTGTGGCCCCCAACCGATGGGGGTCCCAGTAGTGAAACCAATTCCCACCCTGCTAGCCAGAGGCACTGTGGCTTAGGCCCAGGTATCTAAGGAGGGAAGAGGAGGTTGCTAAGGAATAGCTGTGGCCGGTGGTAAGAGTTGGGCAAGAAATGAAGGAGTCTCAAAAATATGACCACACTGCGGGCACAGGGCGAGTGACAAGAGGCCTCCTGGGGCTCCCCTGTGACCAGAGCTGGGTGCACTGTTGGGGGGGGGGTGACAAAGGGACCTCCTTCCCACCTCACCAGCACTGCTGACACCTTAACTACCATCGAAGACCAGGCCATGCTCTCTGCCACCCCCCAAAACCAGCAATACCAGCACAGCAGCAGCAGCAGCCGGGGAAGCTCTGGGCATCAGTTAGCTGTGGGGGCTGTGAAGCCACCTTGCCTTGGTCAGACACAACTGGGCTGCTTCCCTATAGTGTGATCTTGGTCTCGTCCCTCATTAAAAAAGAGCAATCACTAGCACTGTGTTCAGTGCCTTGGGAGCATCACTGCATCTGGCCTCACACCCTGGAGAGCTGCCTCATTACCCTGCTCTGCAGATAGGGAAACCGAGGCCCAAAGGTGTTAGGGGGCAGAACCAAGGCCACACAGTCCATATGCAAATGAAGAACTGGGATTGGAACCTGGGCTTAACCACTAGTCTGCCCTGCCCCTGGCCAGGGTCCACATGGGTCCGCCTGTGTGGCGTCCCCAGCACACACCCTCCTGCCTGGGTCTCTTGCTTCATGGGACAACCACAACAACTGACACCGATTGTGTGCTTGCCATGTGCCCTGACTTGTCCCAAGAGCTTAACAGAACTTATCTCATTTAAACCTCGAAGAGTCCCAAAAGTGGGACCGATTGGCACTCCAAATACAAATGGGGGAGCCACGGCTAGAAAGGCTGAGGAGTTTGCCCGAGCTCTCAGAGCCACGGCTTAAATACACAATTTTGTGTCCCCTCCTGACTGTCTCCAGAATCCAGGTCCCCATCCTCCAGGCCCTTCCCATCGGCCTCCCACCCTTGCCCACAGCCCTTCTTTCTCTCGGCTGCCGTCTTGGAGGACCTTCAGGGCATTAGTGCCACCTCCCCAGCTCTGCTGAAAACCCCTTGAGGATGCACAGTGCCCAGGGCACTGCCCCTCTGAGTCCAGCGGGAAGCACAGTGCCCAGCCCTGAGTGGGGCTTGATGCATCTCTGCAGGCATGAGGACTTGCCCCTGTGCCCCCAGGTAGCCCTCGACAGGAAGCTGACACAGGAAGCTGAAATCCACAATGTGGGATGGAAGTCACTGTCAGGCTAGGCCTTCATCCCCCACCATTCCTCAAGCTCCAGGGAAAAAGAGATATCCTCAGGTGCCCAGAGCAGCAGATGGTTCCCAAGAGCAGACAACCCAGGCATGTCAGTAAAAGAGCCCACCATGAGGCCGGGCATGGCGGCTCATGCCTATAATCCTAGCACTTTGAGAGGCCAAAGGGCAGATCACTTGAGGCCAGGAGTTCCAGACCTGCCTGGCCTATATGGTGAAATCTTGTCTCTACTAAAAATACAAAAATTAGGCTGAAGGGGTGGCACGTGCCTGTAGTCTCAGCTACTCAAGAGGCCGAAGCATAAGAATCACTTGAGCCTGGGAAGCAGAAGTTGCAGTGAGCTGAGATTGCACTACTGCACTCCAGCCTGGGCAACAGAGTGAGACTCTGTCTCAAAAAAAAAAAAAAGAAAGAAAGAAAAAAAAATCCACTGTGACGACCCACTGAATGTCCTAGGTTCAAGGGCAAGCTCTACCACACACATCTCTGTGGCTCTGGGCACACTGCGAGCTTCAGGCTTCCTGCGGGTCCCAGCACTCATTCACTCACCAAGTGTTACTGAGTGCCAGGCTGCTTTCATGGTGCTAGGGATGCAGCCGTGAACAAGACAGACAAGATTCCTGCCCTTTGGGGCTGGCCTTCCAATGCAAGGCCACAGAAGGATGGAGTAAGCAAATGAATGAGACCACGGCAGACACTGGGCGATGTTATGAATGATGCCGCAGAGGGGCATGAGATGGAGCAGGGGAGAGGGCACCAGGGAGGATTCTGGGAGGAGATGGCCTTCCGCTGCAACTCCAGGGATGACAAGGAGCCTGCCAGGGCTGGGGCAGGGAAGAGCAGCGGGAGGCAGAACGGCAGGGACAAAGGCCTTGCAGCAGGAGCTCTGGTTGAGCCCAGGGCCCTGGTCAGGGTCTGATTTCATTAAAAGGACAATGGGAACCGTTGGAAGGTCCTGACTGGGGGTGGGCTAGGGAGGGAACCTGTGAGTGGAGAGTGGACTGTGGGGGCAGGAGTGGTCATGGGGAGAGGTCAGGAGCTGATGCAGTGATTCAGGGGACAGGGGGCTGACTTGACCCCTGGGTGGCAATGCAAATGAAGGAGGCTCCAGGATCAGCAGGGGCAGGGCTGTCAGGAATCGTGGGCAGATGGGATGGGGTGGACAATGAGAAAGAGAGGGGCGGGGGTGGCTCCCAGGTCTGGGCTGAGCAGAGGGCAAACAGGTTCCTGAGGAAGGAGGAGGTTCCCTCCTCTCCCCTGTCACCCCAGGCCCTGCCAGGGCTCCTCCTCCCTGAGACGGGGCCTGGGAGCAGCTGAGAGAGGCCAGCTGCTGCCCAGTTTTATAATCTGGAAGAGGGACATGTATTCAGCATAGGGTGAAGGCCAGAGAAGAGAGGTTGCCCCCACCACAGCCAGAGAGAGCTGGGGAGCTGCAGGAGGTGGGGGCGGGTGAGGGGCATGGGGAGCTGAGGCTCAGGTTTAGAGCACAGATGGCCGGGGTGACGCCAGACAGGAAGAGACTGATCAGGGAGGATCAGGGCCCAAATCCGATGATGCTTCCTCAAGAATGACTGCGCCTGGAAAAGCTGAGGCCATCACTGCTCATGGAGCCACCCAGACACCCAGAGAGGGTCAGGTGTGCACACACACGCATACATGTGTTATGTGCACACAGACTCATACACACACACCCTGCACTTACATAGCCACACTCACACACCTGTCCTCCTGCACACAGTGCTGCACGGCCAAGCCTAAGCATCCTCTCCATTACCCATGGACACCCAGACACACCACAGTGATGTGGCCTCCCTAGTCCCAGGACAGCCCTCAGAGCCCTCCGTGATTAGTCCTGCCATGGTCCCAGCGGCCCCAGGAGCCAGCCCCCAGATCCATGGGGGAGGGGCCCACCCCGGCTCACATGCCCCAGCTGCCCCTCCGCAGCCCATGAACCTGTACTCCTGACCACCAGCCCTGAGACCCACCACCACCCACCAGTGCCCTGCCCACATTTCACGTGGACACAGCCCTGCCTGATACAAGCCCCGAGTCCATTTCTCAGACAGCACAGGTGAGTGGCCCCTTCCCTACTTAGCCAGCACCACCCAGAAGGAAGCAGGTTCCTGGACGGCGGGGGCGGTCAAGCAGGGCCATTTCTGGGGCCCTGGCCTCAGCCCTCTCCTCACACACAAACACAGGATGACCACACACCTGCCACACACACACACACAACACACATACCCCAGAACACACACACCACACATTTGTGACTATGAATGAATCTCTCATTTGAGTGTTGCAACCCAGAAGAGGTCACCACCAATGTCCCCTGATTCCTTCAGGGGTGTAGCTGCTGCCCAGAGAGGTGTGTGGCCCTATCCCCAGCTCAACTCACCCAGAGCAGGGCCTGGGCAGGAAGTGCCTGCCTCTGTTTCCCCAGGGGCAGGGGCAGGACTCAGGTTTAGTCTGAGAGAGGTAAGACCCTGGAGGAGTGGCTCCCAGTGGCCACCAAGGGCATCTCAGGCTGGGCCTGGCAAAGGCAGTAGCGACCTAGGTCCAGCTTCCTAGAGCCTGCAGGGGTCAGGCACACCCAGTGCTTTGCCAGCACAGGGCTGGGAGCTGTGGCTGCAAGATCACCCAGGAGCAGGGCCGAGTGAGGGCCCCCGGGAGCAGCCCCAATGACAGCAGTCACTAAGCCAGAACCCCCAAGCCAGGAGGCTCCTTTCTGCTGGCCTGGGTGCTGAGGGCAAGGGAGAGGCACGAGGGACACAGGATGGCCCGGAGGGTGTGCTGCCCTTACCCAGACCCCGTGGGAGGACCCCGGAGAAGGGCAGGAGGGTGGTGCCCAGGGAGGCGCCCTGTGTGCCAGCAGGGAAGGCCTGCAGCTGGGGGGCCACCTGCCTTCCTCCCTTCTCTCTCCTTTTCCTCTACGTACCCACTGTCTCTTTGTTCTCCTCCTCCTCACCCATCTCTCTCCTCCTCCCCAACCCCTCACTGCTCCCCATCTTCAGGCCACCCCCCTACCCTCAGTAAATATCCCCCTCAGCCAGAGGAGGCCAAGGGAGGGGAGCTGAGCAGTGGCTGAGGCAGGGACGCTGGTCCTGGCCCATGCTGTCCAGGCTCAGGGGATGCCCTGGCAAGCCTCTCCCAGGACTCCTGCCCCTCGTATGGACTTAAAGGACTGAGGCCCCTGATGCCAGTGCCTGGCCCAAGATGAACCAGTATAGAGCCTGCCTCTCCCTGCTCAGAGACCACAGTGGTGACAGCCAATCCTCACTCAAGGGCCTGGCTTAGAGGACTCGCCAACGACCCCCATTCACCCTGCAACCCCAACTTCCACACCTCCGCTCTTGCTGTTCTCTGCCCCTGGATTGCTGGAGCCGCCTCTTCTGTGGATCCTTCTGTGTCCCAGCCCAGCCCTCCCGACTTCTCCTCCATTCTGGGCTCAAGCACGGCTGCCTCTTCAGCCTGTGATGCACTCCTGGAGGCCAGAGGAGGTGCTCCGTGACCGCTCCTGAGCACTAGGTCTGCAGACTGGCCTGCACGTGCCCAGCCTTGCCCTGGCCAGGCCTGCTGGACCAGAGAAACCCAGAGGATAAAGGCCCAAGGTCACAATGCAGGGGAGTGTCCCATGCCCCCCAGGGAAGGCGCCCAGAGCCGAAGTCTTCTCCCTCTGGGGACTGAAGCCCCTCCTTAAGGCAGGGGAACGGGCACACCACCTCAACACAGGTTGCTCACCAGGCACAATAGGATTGTTGGCTTCTGCGTGCACCAGAATTTCACCTCCCTCCACCCTTCTCCACCCACCAGGCCCCTCTGCTCAGCCTCAGACCCCAGCCCAGAATGTCCAGTTGCTAATGGCCCCAGTCAGTGAGCTCCCAGAAGCTGCTCCATGCTCCCCAGATCCTGGAGGCCAGAGTAGCCGGGGGCCTGGCTGCAACTGCCTGGGCTGGAGACCCAGAGGGTTTCCTCGCCTCTATTCCAGCAGCACCAGGCACCTGGATGTTGTCTCATTCTGGCTAAAAATAAGAACTATTTGGCAATGTTTTCCAATAACTTCCAATTACTGTGAATCTACCGTGAGCTAGCTACATTAAATCATACTTCTCAGCCAGGTGCGGTGGCTAATGTCTGTAATCCCAGCGCTTTGGGAGGCTGAAGCGGGCGGATCACAAGATTAGGAGATCAAGACCATCCTGGCTAACACAATGAAACCCCGTCTCTACTAAAAATACAAAAAGAAATTAGCCAGGTGTGTTGGCGGGCGCCTGTAGTCCCAGCTACCAGGGAGGCTGAAGCAGGAGAATTACTTGAACCCAGGAGGCGGAGCTTGCAGCAAGCTGAGATCACACCACTGCACTCCAGCCTGGGCAACAGAGCGAGACTCCATCTCAAAAAAAAAAAAAAAATCACACTTCTCATCAGTTTCACATCACTTTGCGGGACAGGAATTACTTGCTATTCCCATTTGGCGGATGAGGAATTTTTTCCCCAATGTCAAGGCAGAACTGGGACTCCCGCCCATCCTTTCCTCGTTAAGGCCCCTGGGCTCTGTGCATTAGTCCTGCCTCTCCGATGGTGGTAAGGTCCTCCAAGGAAGAGGAGGCCTGACATGCCCATGGCCGCACTGCCACCCATGCCCCTGGCACCATCTGACCTTGGTTGGAGCCCAGCAGTCCCCCACCCCCACCCAGTGGAAACAGAACAGAAATGCGTGTGTGCCCAGGACCCGGGGCATGGGACCTCACATGTGGCTACAAATTAGATGGGCTACAGATTAGTTGTGGGTTAGAACCCCAGATGGGTTCACCATCTTCCAGGGGCTGGGGAACCCCCTCCACCTTGGCTGAGAGATGAGCCCACTTCAAACACACTTTTACCTTTTACTTATTCTCCAAAATTTGTTTGGAATGATGACATAAAATATGAGAAAAACAAACAAGCACTGTTTTTTAAACCAGAAAAGCAGAGAGGTGGTTAACTCCATGCCACAAAAGGATCAGAGACCCGGCATGTCATGTGCCCACACCAGGGCCCATGTTGGGGTGACTCCAAGCAGTGTGACAAACTGGTTTGGGGGCTAATGTGAGGTTACAGCAGAGGTTTCCCAAACCAACCAGTTGGTTTCAGAATCAGCCAGGCCCTGTTGTCTCCTAACCAGACTATGATAACAGCCACCCCCAGGTCCTGGGCACCTGCCTCTGCCTCTCCCGGCCCCGTCTGCCCACCCCCTCCCATCACAGCCCAAGTCTTCTTCCCCGAGGGAAATCTGAGTCCCAGCTCCCTATAGTTGCCTCTGGGATGCATCCACACCCTTCAGCAGGGAGTCAAGGCCCCATCTTTCTTCCCCTTATTTGATTCATGTTCTTCAGCAAAGCCCAGCTTAGTTCTTCCCACCACCCTGTGCCCATGGCCCCCAAACCACCTTGCTCACAGCAGCCACTCTGTCTGCAATGCCCTTCTTGTGGACTCAGAATGCCCTCATGCCCGCCTCCCTGGGGCCAGCACCAATGCTGCCTCCTCCAGGAAGCTTCCCCGTCACCCTGGCGGAGCGTGGTGGCTCCCTCTTGGGTGCCCTGCAGCTCTGTGAAGCCCTCAGGGACTTGCTGTCCCATGGGAGCTGCTGTCATGCAGCTGCTTCCAAGCAGGCTCCACCCTCTTGGATGTCTCCCTCTGTCCTCACCCCAGGGATTCTCATCAGCCCTTCTTTACAGATATGGAAACTGAGGCTCAGAGAGGGAAAGTGAGTCATGCTTGGTGAATCCTAAGCAAGAGGCTGGAGGGGCAGAAGACATGTCCTGTACAGGCTGCCCAGAGCCATGCTGCCTTCCCCCACCCTCAGCAGAACCTGCCTGCCCCCAGGTCAGCCACCGTCCCCCCAGGAGGCCCCCATGCCTGAACACAGGGGTGGCCCCTGCCAGAGCCACACTGGGCAAGTAGGGCTGTGGACAGGACCAGTGCACAGCCATGGTTCCCACAGGGCAGAAGGAACAGGTTACAGAAAACCACTGGGCTTATCCTCAGCCATCTCCTACCTCCCCAAGGAGCCCTTGGGGCCTGGGGACAGGTCAGTAGCAGAGGAAGGACAAGGGGCTTACAAGCATCTTGGCCCTGGCATGGAGTCGAAAATGGGTGAGCAGGTGGCCACATGGGTTGGGGACCACAGGGCCAGGCAGTGTCCGGCAGCCCAGAAGCCCTGAGCTGAGGCTAAGCGGGGCTCTCCCCACACCCCACCCTATAGAGGGTGGAGGAAGTTCCCTGCTGGGTCCAGGGCTGGGACAGTGACAGGCCCCAGCGGGGAGAAGGCCCCATAGTCCCAGTCCGCCAAGGGAAATAGAAACTGCTCACACGCCAGCAGTAGGGCGCACACGGGGTGCCTTCCCCTCATGGCGTGCAAGGAGGGGTGGCCCCTCTGTGTGGGCGGCGGCAGTGCTGAATCATGTCACCCTGCCCCTGCCGCTTCACTGGGAAAGGGGCCCCAGCAGCACCACCTCACCCTGCTGTTGTCGGAACTGAATGAGCCACCATCCGGGAAGGTGTTTTGGAAGCTGTGAACGGCCTGCCATACGTAAATAATTAAAATAATGAAGGAACAACAGACTCATGAGGGCAGGCAAGTGGGCTGGCCTCCCAGCACAGGGGGCAGCCCCCACCTATAGGGAGACCCCAGAAGAAGCTTTTCTTCTGTCCCCCAGCCTCTCTCCAGGCATAGGGCTCTTCCTGGCCCCTCTGCCCATGTGTAAGCTTCTCTCACAGCCGAGGACAAAGCCTTCCCCAGGACCCTCCTGCTCTGGCACCTCTCAGCCTCCTGGCCCTTGACTCCTCAACTTTGGATCCTGTGGGGCAAGAGAGGGCAGTCAGGGAGAGCAGAGGCCCCATGGTTGTCAATTCAGGGGGAGCGTCACAGACAGTGCCCCCCTGCCCCACCTAGCTGGGCCCCTTCCTCGTGCATCTCCGGGCTGCTTATGCTAAGAGAACCTTCCTCCTTTCCCTGATCGGCAGCCCCTTCTGTAGGCTCCATGCAGCAGGTGCTGGGACAGAAGAAATCCATGCTGGTGCACTGCAGCCGTCTGCTCCCGAGAGGGCCGCCTCGGGACCTGCTGCCCAGCACGGGCTCGGGCAAGGCTTGCTGAGAGGCTCAGGGCACGGGGGATCCAGGAGTCCAAGGTGGACCCAGGGGGCCTGGCCGCCTGCACAGCCCCTTCTTGTCCTAGCTTGGCAGGAGGCCCTCAGACCCTGGCCAGTGAGGTCCAGAGAGTCTGCACTGGGACAGCCCAGTCACATCAGCGGCAAGAAGAGTCGCGAGAGAGCCAGGAGCTGGGTCACGAGAGGGTGTTGCTGACTGTTTTTGGCCCCAGCCCCTTCTTGCCCCTTCAATAAACTTCTCCTCCTCCACCCTGGAATTTCCCCAGGAGGATCACACACATTAGAGGGGCGCTGCCCAGAACTAAGACCTCCGTGAGACTCAGCCATTCAACACATATTTGTGGAGCAGCTCTTATGCGCCAGGCACCGCTCTGGGCTCTGGGAATGCAGTGGCTTTGCTGGTTACTCTCTGTCCCCTTCCCCTTCCCAGACCCGTTCTCCTCCCTGCTCTGGGCCCACAGGCTGCCATGCACGGACAGTCAGGTGGGATCTCTCACTCTCTGCTTCCTGACTACTCAGCCAGAAGGCACCAGGAGGCGAAGTGGGGAAAGAGTCTCGAGGACTTCTATCCCTGCTCCTCCTCTGCCCTGACACCAAGGTGTGGGCCGGGCTGGGTCCCTCTGGGACTCCCGTTCCCATAGCTCGGCCCCTCTTCACAGCCCTCGCTGTCCCAGACTCTGACAACATCTTCCCTCTCCTTGTTCTCCCAGCCCAAAAAAGAAGAATGGCCTTGTGGTACAGTGCAAAAATGACTACAACATTTTGACGCTCTTCTATCAAGAGGTGGAGTCCAATTCTCCACAACACATCAAGGACACAGGACAGCCCAGCCTGTGGCACAGGTGCTTTCTCACACATCCTGCCCAGACGCCCACGGTTCCTGGTACTGTGTGTTTGCCCTCGCTGCAAATATGCCCGATTTGTTCAACTACAGCTGTGTTCCTCGTGGTCTTTGGCTGGAGGGAGTTGAGAGACCCCACCTCTATCCTGGTTCCAGCCTCGCCCCTCCTCCTGTAGCATCCAGAATGAACTTTCTAAGTTTCTAAATTGCTCTGCTGGAAACCTTTCAGTGGCACCCAGGTATGTCGGTAGCAGTTCGATTTGGCTGACAGGACAGTGGCCCAGGGTTAAGTGGGGACTAGGAGCTCAGGCTGGTATGCAGGCTCTCCTCCCCAGAACTCCCAGCATATAAAAACTATAAAAACCCTAGAAGAAAACCTAGGAAATACCATTCTGGACACAAGCCCTGGCAGAGACTCCAAAAGCAATTGGAACAAAACCAAAAATTAACAAATGGGACCTAATTAAACTAAACAGCTTCTACACAGCAAAAGAAACCATCAACAGAGTAAACAGGCAACCTACAGAACAAGAGAAAATATTTGCAAACAATGCATCCAACAAAGTTCTAATATCCAGAATCTATAAGGAACTTAAATTAACAAGCAAAAAACAACCCCATTTAAAAAATGGACAAAGGGCTGGGTACAATGGCTCATGCCTGTAATCCAGCACTTTTGGAGGCCAAAGCAGGCAGACCACTTGAGGTCAGGAGTTCAAGAGACCAGCCTGGCCAATATGTGAAACCCTGTCTCTACTAAAAATACAAAAATTAGCCAGCTGTGGTGGCTCGCGCCTGTAGCCCCAGCTAGCTACTTGGGAGGCTGAGGCAGGAGAATCACTTCAACCCAGAAGGCAGAGGTTGCAGTGAGCCGAGACCTCGCCACTGCACTCTAGCCTGGGTGACAGAGCAAGACTCTCTCTCAAAAAAATAAAAAATAAAAATAATAAAAATGGGCAAAGGCCATGAACAGACACTTCTCAAAAGAAGACATACATATGGCCAACAAGCATATGAATAAAATGGTCAGTATCACTAATTATTAGAGAAAGGCAAATCGAAACCACAATGAGATAACAATTCACACCAGTCAGAATGGCTACTATTAAAAAGTCAAAAAATAACAGATGCTGGAGAGGTTGTAGAGAAAAGAGAACACTTCCATGCTGCCAGTGGGAATGTAAATTAGTTCAGCCACTGTAGAAAGCAGTTTGGAGATTTCTCCAAGAACTTAAAGCAGAACTATCATTTGACCCAGCAATTCATTACTGAGTATGTACCCAAAGGAACATAAATCATTCTACCACAAAGACACATGCACGTGAATGCTCATTACAGCACTATGCACAACAGCAAGGAGGAGGAATAAACCTAAATGCCCATCAACGGTGGACTGGATAAAGAAAATGTGGTGCATATATACCATGGAAGATTACACAGCCATAAAAAAGGAGATCAAGTCCTTTGCAGCAACACGGATGGAGGTGGAGGCCATCATCCTAAGCAAATTAATGCAGGAATAGATAACCAAATACCGCAAGTTCTCACTTATAAGTGGGAGCTAAACGTTGAGCACACATGGAGCCTACTTGAGGTGGACGAGGAGGGTGAGGGTCGAAAAACTACCTGTCTAGTACTATCCTTATTACTGGGGTGACGAAAAAATCTGTACACCAAACCCCCATAACGTGCAATTTACCCATGTCACAAGCTTGCACACATACCCTCTGAACCTAAAATAAAAGTTGGAGAGAAAAAAAACAAAATAAACTTAAAATTTTTTAAAAGTTTCTGTATGCTCAAACTCACCACAAACAAAAGTAAAGGGTGAGTGACAAACATGGAGAAAATACTTAGAAACAGGCTGGGCGCGGTGGCTCATGCCTCTAATCCCAGCACTTTGGGAGGCCAAGACAGGCGGATCACCTGAGGTCAGGAGTTCAAGACCAGCCTGACCAACATGGCGAAACCTCGTCTCTTCTTAAAAAATACAAAAATTAGCCAGATGTGGTTGCACGTGCCTGTAATCCCAGCTACTCGGGAGGCTGAGGCAGGAGAATTGCTTGAACCCAGGTGGCAGAGGTTGCAGTGAGCCGAGATTGTGCCACTGCACTCCAGCCTGGGCAACAAAAGCAAAACTCCATCTCAAAAAAAAAAAAAGAAAGAAAGAAAATATTTGAAAGCAAGTGACAGATAAAATATTATTCATTCATTCATTCATCCAGCAGTTAATTGGAGGGTGCCTATTAGGCACCAGGCATTGTCTCAGGTACTGGAAACCTTCACATGGACAAATGACAAAATCTCTGCCCTCTTGGTTCTTACATTGTAATGGGGTGGGGAGGACAAGCAATAAAGAAATAAACACATCGTACGTCAGATGGTGGTTATGGAGAAAAGCCCAACAGGAAAAGAGGACAGAGAGTGTGAAGAAAGTGAGTAAAGATGTGAGGCCTCCAAAAACAAATAAGAAAAAGTCAAACAACACAACAGGAAAGGGGCAAAGAATAACAACACAGAATTCACAGACCAAGAAATGCAAATCTCCAGTAATCCACAAAAGCCATGCTCTACCCACTGAAACAAGGCAGCGCGATGATCCACCCATCAGGTTGGCAAACATTCAAATACTGGGAAGGGTGGTGAATGAGTGAACTTGTGCTCTTTTGGTGGGAGTGTAAGTTGGTTGATAACGTGTGTTTAAAGAAAGCAATTTGACAGAACCTATCCAAATGTTTAAAGCACATGCTCTTCAACCCTGCAACCTCTCTTCTGGGTGAAGAAACTTGTCCAAAGATTTCCAAGGCAGCATTGTCTGTATTGGGAGGAAAAATGGAATACAAAGTTTTTACACTTCTATCAAGTATCTGTAAAAACAAATAATGAGGTAAATCTACACACACTGATCTAGAACAAGCTTCAAGATACAGTGAAGACAAGTGAGTTGCAAAATAAGTTCGTATAGTATGATCCCATTTCAATAAAAACAAAAAAGAGAAAGCTGTACATTCTTGTTTGTTTTTTGGTTTGTTTTGTTTCAGTTTTTTTTTTTTTTTCTTTTTTAGACAGCTCTGTCACCCAGGCTAGAGGGCAGTGGTGCGATCACAGCTCACTGCAGCCTCAACCTCCCGGACACAAGCCATCCTCCCACCTCAACCTCCTGGGTAACTGGGACCACAGGCGCACATCACCACACCCGGCTAATTTTTTGTATTTTTGGTAGAGATGGAGTTTCACCGTGTTGCCCAGGCTGGTCTCGTGGGCTCAAGCAATCTGTCTCGACCTCCCAAAGTGCTGGGATTACAGGCGTGAGCCACCGCACCCGGCCTACATTCTACATGAACATAAATGTGTATGAAAAGCTCTAGGACAAAAAGTCTGGTTACAAATCAAGGAAAAAGCGTTGAACCACCAGAAGGGGATGGTGACTCAGTGAGCCTCGTGGCACCCCTCAGTTGGGGCTGCTGGGGAAGTGGGGGGACAAGCCTTCCACTAAGTGAGACTTGACTGTGGTCTGGACTGTGAAGGAGGACCCCGAGGCTGGCTGAAGGTGTGGGGGAGCCATGGACCTGACAAGGAAAGAGAATGATGGGCCAGAGGGGAGGCTGCAGACCTCAGAGAGGAGGGATCTCAGGAAAAGCCCTGAGCAGGCCAAGGGGGGCAGGCTCAGGCTAGGTGGGCACAAAGGCCCCGGTGACATTGACCACACCACTCAGGCCGGGGGTTTCCTCTGCGCCCTGTGCTGGCCGACCTGCCCGGAATGGCTTCACCCACCCCTCCCCTGCCCATCCTTGAGACCCCTCAGGTTTCGCTTCCTCCAGGAAGGCTTCCCAGATCCCCAGGCTGAATCAAGGGCTTCTCCCAGAGCCTCCCAGAGCTTGGGCTCGCCTCTGGCCTTCACAGGCCTCATCAAGGCACCCACCCAATACTGGTGCCTCCCTGAAGCCAGCGAGTGGGCCTTGGCGGGTTCGCTTTCCCCACACCTGGCTCAGGCCTGGCCTGCAGTGTTGGCTGATGGACAGCTGGTGAGCTATTTACCCTGTTTCTCCATTGGTGGCCTTGGGTAGGTACCAGGCCTCCCTGGGGGAGCCGGGAGCCCTTATTAAGGTTTGATCCCCATCTCTCTGAAAGGCAACATCCTGTCCTTCTCTTGCCCACCATCCCAGTGCAGGGGTCAGATTCTGCCCTGGCCAACAGCCAGGCCAAATGGGGGAGGCCTGTCTCCAAGCAGGATGTAAGGGCTCCCACGCAGCCCAGGGTCTTTTTCCGTGGCTCAGAACATGCTGTACCAGGTGGCCGCCTCTGCTGGGTGTCACCTTGCTTCTCACAGCCCCCTCTCTGCTCACATCCTGTTTCCACCCCTCCAACACTGCTGGGCCCCGCGCCCCCAGCCTCCGCCCCCAGCTGCTGGGTTTTCACGTGGCCTTTCCTGGGTTGCTGTAGGGGCACAGGCCTCTTATTTTTAGCTCCTTGGGGGCTGAAGGAATTTACATCTGAGTCTGCTCTCCTGAAGAGACAGACGGTTTCAAATGTGTCTAATGTGGTCTCCCGGGCAGCCTCAGCCTAGGCCAGCACTAAGGCAGAGGGGAAGGAGTGAGACGGCCAGCCCAGCATCCGGAGGCACACCATGTGGCCTCAGGCAGGGCCCGCAAGCCAGCTGAGCCCCACTTTCCTCAGCTACTAAGTGGGAACCCTGGGGAGGTGACCCCACTGCTGTGAGCCAGGAATAAGGATGCCCATGGGATGGGCAGGGAGGCCCTGGAGATGCCCATGTCAGGGGAAGGAGCCCTCACTCTGGGCCGGAGCCTCACCTACCACACCACCCTGCACAAGTCTATCACACATTTGTTATTTTCCCTAATTATCCCAGAAATCCCCCAACACTAGGAAATTTGGAACACACAGAAAAGATGGCAGAAGACAGAAATGCGTTGCTCATAACCCATCACAGTTCCTATGTGGAGCTGCCCCTCTCTGAGCCCTTTGCAATGCCCTCAGAACGAAAGGCAGGAGGGGAGGTCCCTTACTGAAAACAAAAGCCTACTGTTAGCCCAATAGGGCCTGGCAGGGAGCCCCAGGCAGTGTCCACCAGCCCTCCTCAGGCAGCATCAAGGGACCCAAGCCCCTCTCCCCCTTCCCTTCCTCCTTCCCGGCTGATCCCAGCAGCCCTTCCCTGGTGGCGGCGCTCCCAGAGCCCTGCAGTTTTTCCCCTCCCGAGGTGGGTCCAGGGATGGGCTGTAAGGCCGGGCCTGCCCCCAGGAGACCGGAGACCGCAGCACACATCCTGCAGTGAATATGACTGGTAGTCGCTGGTCCCAACCTCCTCCCTACCAGACGCAGAGGCTTACCCTACACAGACCTCTCACACTTGGCAGAGCCATGTGACTTACTCCAGCCAATGAAACACCACCTCCAGACTCAGGCAATAAAAAGCCCTGTGCGATTTTCCCACTTGCTCATCCTCTGCCATGTCGATGGAGGAGATCTTGAGTTCTCCAGGCACCGCAGCTGCATGACAGCCAGTCGGCCGCATCCGAAGGGCTCTGCCCACTTTTCGACTGGTGAAAACCCACTCCCTGTGGCCCTGTTCCACCACACCCCCAACTTCCATCCTATTTTCCAGTCTATTAAATGGTGGTGGCCACCCCACCACCACCTAGGTCCTGAGTTTCTCCTCAACCTTCAGACAGTTAGTGACATGTACGCTGTTCACTCCACTCCCATGGACCCTATTTATAATTTCATAAATAAAATAAACTATTATGAAATTATATTTTGGCATATACAAGGAATTTTTACAAATCAAGAAGAAAACCAGGGGAACTACAGGAAAAATATCAACATAAAAATGGATATAGTCGACCGGACGTAGTGGCTTATGCTTGTAATCCCAGCACTTTGGGAGGCCAGGGTGGGTAGAACACCTGAGGTCAGGAGTTCGAGACCAGCCTGGCCAACATGGTGAAACCCCGTCTCTACCAAAAATACAAAAAATAAAAATAAAAAATTAACCAGGCATGGTGGCAGGTGCCTGTAGTCCCTCCCAGCTACTCGGGAGGCTGAGTCAGGAGAACTGCTTGAACCCGGAAGGCAGAGGTTGCAGTGAGCCAAGATGGGGCCACTGCACTCCAGCCTGGGTGACAGAGTGAGATTCAGTCTCTAAGAAAAAAAAATAAAAAAGGATTATAGTTATAATAGGCAATTCATGCAAGGGAAATCCCAATGGTTAACAAGTATGACAAGAAATATTTAACTCCATAGTAACTAGAGAAATCAAAATTATAACTGAGATATCCCTTTTATACCATCCAGATTGGAAAAACTAAATAAAAATAAAAAATAAAAGGCAGATAATATTGACCAGGCATGGTGGCTCACTCCTGTATTCCTAGCACTTTGGGAGGCCAAGGCAGGTGGATCACTTGAGGCCAGGAGTTTGAGACTAGCCTGGCCAACATGGTGAAACCCTGTCTCTACTAAGAATACAAAAATTAGCTGAGAGTGGTGGCACATGCCTTTAATCCCATTATTTAGGAGGCTGAGGCAGGAGAATTGTTTGAGCCTGGGAGGTGGAGGTTGCAGTGAGACGAGATTGTGCCACTGAACTCCAGCCTGGGTGATGGAACAAGACTCTATCTAAAAAATAAAAAATAAAAAAAAAATAATGTAGGGAAAGCAACATGACACTATTGAGTAAAAACGGAGTATACTGGCTACCCCCATATTAGCAAATCTTTCTGTCTCTTTCCTCTTAAAAAACAAAAAAACAAAAACACATTTCCTATAATGTATATGGAATAAGGCGAGGGAGAAAATAATAGGGGAGTGAGACTCCCATTCTGCCTCGTACGAAATAAGAAATAATGTTGGAGACATACTAAATGTCATCTAAGACCCTTAACTCACACCACATATAAAAATTAACTAACTGGAACAGATCAAAGACCTAAATGTAAAATCTAAAATTATGCAATGTATAGAAGAAAAACATAGGAGAAAATATTTATATCTTGAACTGGACAAAGTTTTCTTAGAACACAAAAAAGCACAGGCAGGGTACGGTGGCTTACACCTGTAATCCCAGCACTTTGGGAGGCCGAGGTGGGCAGATCATGAAGTCAGGAGATCGAGACCATCCTGGCCAACATGGTGAAACCCTGTCTCTACTAAAAATATAAAAATTAGCTGGGTGTAGTGGCATGTGCCTGTAATCCCAGCTACTCAGGAAGCTGAGGCACGAGAATCATTTGAACCCAGGAGGTGGAGGTTGCAGTGAGCTGAGATTGCACTACTGCACTCCAGCCTGGCAACAGAGCGAGACTCCATCTCAAAAAAAAAAAAAGAAGAAAAAAAATCACACACACAAAATATAAACAATTGATAAGCTGAACTTTGTCAAAATTAAAACCTTTTACTCTTTGAAAGACACCTTAAAAAAACAAAAGGCCTGCTGGATGCAGTGACTCACACCTATAATCCCAACACTTTGGGAGGCCAAGGCGGCAGATCATGAGGTCAGAAGACCAGACTGGCCAACACAGTGAAACCCCATCTCTACTAAAAATACAAAAATTAGCCAGTCATGGTGGTGCACGCCTGTAGTCCCAGCTACTCAGGAGGCTGAGGCAGGACAATCTCTTGAACCTGGGAGGCAGAGGTTGTGGTGAGCCGAGATCATGCCACTGCACTCCAGCCTGGGCAACGGATCGAGACTCCATCTCAAAAACAAAACAAAACAAAACAACAACAACAAAAAAAGGCAAGCCACAGACAGGGAAGAAAATATTACCAACACATATATCAGACAAATGATACACATCTACACATCTAAAATATATAAATACACAACTCAACAATAAAATGACAATCTGATTTTTAACTGAGTGACGGTTTTGAATAACCATTCCCTCAAAGAAGATATGCAAATGGCCAATAAGCACATGAAAAGATGCTCAACATCATTAGTCATTAGAGAAATGCAATTCAAAACCACAATGAGATAACATTTCACACACATGGGGATGGCTAGAATAAAGAACAACAAATGTTGTTAAGGATGTGAAGAAGGTGAAACCCTCACAAACTGCTGGTGTGAACGTAAAATGGTGCAGCTGCTTTGGAAAATAGTTTGGTGATTCCTCAAAAAGTTAAACATCCATTAACCATGTTACAGGTAGTTAGACAGACGTGAGCCGGGCAGAGAGGACTCTCCCTCAACCCACTAGGAATGTTGGGTTGTGGTTCGGCAGTTATTGCATTGCCTCTCTAACAGTGATAAATTGGCAGCTGGTGCCAGGGAGAGCCCATTTCCTGATGGTCCACACCTGTTGCACTAACGTATTAATTAAATGCAGGTGCCAGGGAGAAGTAACTTCCCAGGCATATGCATTAAGAGACAAAATGATGGACCTCCTGGGGGCACCCCACCAGAAAAGGGAAGAAAGCCTCAGATGGGCATGCACACAACTTCCTAAACACACTGCCCCTGCTCACTTCCCAAGGGTAAGGAGGGCACTGCGCATGCGGGAAGCCCACCTGAGAGAAGAATCATGGGAAAGGGGCACAAGACGCCATAAGTGGGCCAGCCTATAAAGTCCTAGGATCAAGGTTAAACATCACACTTGTTCTTCAAGTTCCCGGCTTGGGCCTCTTCCAAGCTTGCTTTCCTTTCTTTCCTGTTTTAAAGGCTTCTAAAATAAACTTCCATTCCTGCTCTGAAAATTTGCCTTGATCTCTTTTTCTGCCCTCAGTCGAATTATTTCTTCTGAGGAGGCAAGAATTGAGGTTGCTGCAGACCCATACAGATTTGCCAGTAACTCTGATACCTTCCACCAGTAATAACCATATGACCCAGCAATCCCACTCCTACTTATACCCAAGAGAATTATAAACATATGTCTATACAGAAGTGTGCACATGAGTGTTCATCAATGGTATTATTCATAATAGCCAAAAAGTGAAAAACAACCCAAATGCCTAGCAGTGAATGAATGGACAAAATGTGGTATATCAACACAGCAGAATATTATTCAGCCCAGTGGCTCACGCCTATAATACCAATATTTGGGAGGCTGAAGCAGGCAGATAACTTGAGGCCAGGAGTTCAAGACCAGCCTGGGGAACATGGTGAAACCTCACAGCTACTAAAAATACAAAAATTAGCCAGGCGTGGTGGTGCATGCCTGTAATCCCAGCTACTCGGGAGGCTGAGGCATAAGAATCACTTGAACCCAGGAGGCAGAGGTTGCAGTGAGCCAAGACTGTGCCGCTGTACTCCAGCCTGGATGACACAGCGAGACTCTGTCTCAAAAAAAAAAAAAAATTATTCAGCCATAAAAGGGAATGAAGCATGTATCAGTAGATACATGCTATAATATGGATGAACCCTGAAAATCTTAAAAATGAAAGAATCCAGTCACAAGAGACCACATATTATATGACTCTTTCATATGAAATGTCCCAAATAGGCAAATTCATAGAGACAGACAGTAGATTAGTGGCTGCCAGGGGCTGGGGAGAGAGGGGTAAAGGGAGTGGTTGCTAATGAATCTGGAATTTTTCTGAGGGGTAATGAAAATGTTTTGGAATTAGGTCATGGTGATGGTTTTATAACCGTAAATGTGCTTAAAAACCACTGAATTGTATATATCTTAATTTTTAAAAAAGGAGAAAAATAGAAATACTCGTGTCAAGACAAACAACCCAATACAAAATGAGCAAAAGATTTCAAATGACACTTCACAGGAAGAAGTTTTATGACCACCAATAACCACATAAAAAGATGCTAAACATCATTAATCACTGGGGAGATGCAAATTAAAGCCATAATGAGAAGACAGATCACAAAACATTTTGGCAAGGAGATGGGGCAACTGAAACTCTTATACACTGCTCATAGGAATATAAAATGAGGCAACCACTTTGGAAAACAGTTTGGCAGTTACTTTAAAATATTTGAGGCCGGGCACAGTGGCTTGTGCCTGTAATCCCAGCACTTTGGGAGGCCGAGGCGGGTAGATCACCTGAGGTCAGGAGTTCAAGACCAGCCTGGCCAAGATGGTGAAACCCCATCTCTACTAAAAAAAAAATCACAAATTAGCGGGGTGTGTTGGTGCACGCCTGTAATCCCAGCTACTTGGGAGGTTGAGGCAGGAGAATCACTTGAACCCAGGAGGCGGAGGTTGCAGTGAGCCGAGATCACGCCACTGTACTACAGCCTAGGCAACAGAGCGAGACTTCGTCTCAAAAAATAAAAAATAAATAAATAAATATTTGAACATACTTTTACCATGACTCAGGCATTTCATTCCTCAGTATTTACCTTAAAAAAAAAACCTAAAATATATATTTACACAAAGACTTGTACACAAATGTTTACAGCAGCTCTATCTATAATCCTCCCAAACTGGTAACAACTCAAATGTTCCTCAACAGGTACATGAGTGAACAAATTGTGGTACATCCATTCAGTGGAATAATACTCAGCCATGAAGAGGGGTGAACTACTGATAAACACAACATGAACGATCATAGAATCATTATGCTGAATTCAAGAAGCCATAAACCACACTACAGCACATACTCTAAGATTCCATTTATATAAAACTCTATAAAATGCAGACTATTCTATGGTGGGTATGCTCAGACAGGGCAGGGGAAGACTTGCAAGGGGTATAAGGAAACTTTTGTGGGTGATGAAATGTTCATTATCTTCATCGTGATGATGACATCACAGGTATATCACATGTGAAAATTTCTCAGGTTGTGCATTTATTTAATGAATTTAAGTAAAATTTATTAGGTTGTGCATTTTAAGTACATGCAGCTTACTGTACTTTGATTATACCTCAACAAAGTCAATGAATAAAAACTACTTAATAAAAAAAGTGAGGACCTAGGTAAAGATGACAGTGGTTACCCCCTGAACCCATGCTTGACAGCAAAGAAGGTGAAGCAAAAGGCAAACCCCACACAATCAAGGAGAAAGGAAAGAAACAGGAAACATTTTTGGAAGGTGGAAAGTATATGGTCAAAATGGCAAATGGCTTAAGACAAAGAAAAAACTGAATTCCTAGCCAGTAGTGGGGACAGTTAAGAGCCAATCCAGTTTACCCAGTGGAATGCCCAAAAGGCTCAGGCTCAGTGAGGTACCATGTTGGGTGAAGAGAAGGGATAGACTAAGAACCAGCTGAAGGTTTGTGTAACAGCCAGCCAGCCTACCCTATAATGAGGTCATGGCCGGCCGCTCACATGCTGAGAACCCCCAGTCAGAGTTTCTTAATAAGAACCAACAACCAACAGCCAAGGAAAGCCTCAATCACAAAGGAGAGGCCACTAACAGGAAAAAGTAACTTGGAGGAAACATCGTGCAGGAAGAAAAAAAATTAACAAAAATCACTCCCATCCTCAGAGAGGGAAGATACTGTACCCATAAAATAAGAACAGTTGCCACAAAGAGCAAACACTCAGAAAATAGGTCTCCAGTTATTAAAAATAAGAAAGCAGAAATTTAAAACTCAATATCAGGCTGGAGGTGGTGGCTCACACCTGTAATCCCAGCACTTTGGGAGGCCGAGGTGGGTGGATCACTTGAGGTCAGGAGTTCAAGACCAGCCTGGCCAACATAGTGAAACCCCGTCTCTACTAAAAACACAAAAATGGCCGGGTGCAGTGGCTCACGCCTGTAATCCTAGCACTTTTGGAGGCCGAGGCGGGCGGATCACGAGGTCAGGAGATCGAGACCATCCTGGCTAACACGGTGAAACCCCGTCTCTACTAAAAATACAAAAAAATTAGCCAGGTGTGGTGGCAGGCTCCTGTAGTCCCAGCTACTCGGGAGGCTGAGGCAGGGGAATGGCATGAACCTGGGAGGCGGAGCTTGCTGTGAGCCGAGATCACGCGACTGCACTCAAGCCTGGGCAACAGAGCAAGACTCCGTCTCAAAAAAAAAAAAAAAAAAAAAAAAAAAGCACAAAAATTAGCCAGGCGCGCCTGTAATCCCAGCAACTCGGGAGGCTGAGACAGGAGAATCGCTTGAACCTGGGAGGCCCAGACCCCGCGGGAATTGAAATCTTACCACACCTGCTGCAGCAGCAGAGAGAGAGATCCCAATTGCCAGAGAGGGTGAGTGGTTTTGTTTATTTTGTTTTGTTTTGTTTTGTTTTGTTTTGTTTTGTTTTTGAGACGGAGCCTTGCTCCGTCACCCAGGCTGGAATGCAGTGGCGCTGTCTCGGCTCACTGCAACCTCCCAGGTTCAAGCGATTCTCTCGCCTCAGCCTCCGGAGTAGCTGGGACTACAGGCGTGCGCACCACCACACCCAGCTAGTTTTTGTATTGTTGGTGGAGATAGGGTCTCACGATGTTACCTAGGCTGATATCCAACTCCTGGTCTCCAGTGCTCCACCTATCTAGGCCTCCCAACTGCTGGGATTACGGGCGTGAGCCACCGCGCCAGCGAGGGTGGTTAGTGGTAAGGACACAACAGGGCCAGGCATGGTGGTAGGTGCCTGTAGTCCCAGATACTCAGGAGGGTGAGGCAGGAGAATCGCTTGAATGCGGGAAGCAGAGGTTGCAGTGAGCCGAGATCGAGCCATGCACTCCAGCCTGGGAGACAGAGTGAGACTCCATCTCAAACACACACACACACACACACACACACACACACTCACAAAACCCTGGAAGACAGAGTGAGACCCCATCTCAAAAACAAAAACATACACACACACACACAACCACAACCCTGGGAGACAGAGTGAGACTCCATCTCAAAAACACACACACACAGAGAGAGAGAGAGAGAGAGAGAGAGAGAAAGAACCCTGGGAGACAGAGTGAGACTCCATCTCAGAAACAAACACACACACAAAACCCTGGGAGAGTGAGACTTGGTCTCAAAAACAAAAAAACACACACACAACCACAATCCTGGGAGACAGAGACTCCATCTCAAAAACAAAAAAACACACACATACACAACCACAACAAACTAAATAAATGAAAAACCAAGTACTGGCTCTAGGAAAACAAAAAGTCGTGCTAGAAAACAGTGTAGTGTCTTGCCTGTGATATTTCCATGCTCGTAATACTGTAAATGCTAAATAATACTGTAACTAATTCAGTATAATTAAGTACTCTGGGACAAAGAGGGGATAAGGGGGGCAAGGAGGGGAAGGAAGAGCTAAGTCATTGCGAGGGGGTGGGGATGGGAAGAAAGAGCGAAGTCTTCATATAATGCCTAAAATGAAAAAGCAAGGAGGGGCGAGATAAGCACATTATTTAGAGACCTGGAGATAAATATCAATATAATATGCTGGGAGAGGTGAAACTGGCTGTCCCTGGGGAGGGGAGATGGTGGGAGGAGTTTTCATAACAAACTTTAAGAACGATTTGACTTTTTTTTTTTTTTTAGACTGAGTCTCACTCTGTTGCCCAGGCAGAGGGAGTTCAATGGTGCCATCTTGGCTCACTGCAACCTCCGCCTCCCTGATTCAAGCCTCCGGAGTAGCTGGGGTTACAGGTGGCATAAGCCATAGTGCCCGGCCATGACTTTTCCAACTATGCGCACAAATATTTGGATAAAAACTAAAAATGGTTTTTTAGTTTTTTGGGTTTTTTGAGATGGAGTCTTGCTGTGTTGCCCAGGCTGGAGTGCAATGGTGCGACCTCAGCTCACTGCAATCTCTTCCTCCCAGGTTCAAGCGATTCTCGTGCCTCAGCCTCCCAAGTAGCTGGGATTACAGACGTGTGCCACCACGCCCAGTTTATTTTTGTATTTTTAGTAGAGAATACTAAAGAGTGCTGAGATTACAGGCGTGAGCCAACGTGCTCAGCCAGAAAAAATGTTACGTACAAATACAAGTGGAGAAAAATACACTGATGCTCTGGGTTGTACAGATTATGTAATTTTTCTTTATATTTTTATGTGTAAAAGAAATGCTTAAGTTAGGCCAGGCGCAATGGCTCATGCCTGTAATCCCGAGCACTTTGGGAGGCCAAGGTGGGTGGATCACCTGAGGTCAGGAGTTCAAGACCAGCCTGGCCAACATGGTAAAATGTCTCTACTAAAAATACAAAAATTAGCCGGGCGTGGTGGTGCGCACCTGCAGTCCCAGCTACTGGGAGGGCTGAGGCACGAGAATTGCTTGAACCTGGTAGGTAAAGATTGCAGTGAGCCACTGCACTCCAGCCTGGGTGATAGAGTGAGACTCCGTCTCAAAAAAAAAAAGAAATGCATAAGTGCATTATCTTTTAGCCTCTTAATTAATACTGTAGAAAACAAAAGAATATGAAGGCAAGATCCAAAGGAGTATCCAGAACATTCTGGGTGATGAACCAGCAGGCCGCTGGTGTAACTATGTTCGAGACAGTTGGTCTCAGGAACGGAGTCACAGCTCACCCAGTCCTACTCTGTCCTTGCTACACAGGACTGAGGCTTTGCTGGTTCTCGATGCTGGGCTGTGCAATTATGTCTAGGCCAGGGTTGTCTCCCCAGCTGCTTTATAATTCCTTTGAAAGTCCTAAAGCACACAGTGGGCCCTCAATAAGTCCTTGCTGATTATCACCCCATCACACCTTCTTTCCTAGGCACAGAAATACAGGAAGCAATAATGAGTTTCATAAGAAGTGGAGGAATCATAACAGGAGCATTGGAACATCAGACAGCTGGATCCTCCGAGTGGCCTGGCAGTCCTGGCTCCTTCCGGAGTGGCCAACCCAGCTTCCTAGGCTGAACACCGGACTGGCCTCCAGGAGCAGGAGGGTGATGAGGAAAAAGGCAGCTCATCCAAGCTGCTGTCTAGTTATCCCCATCTGTCCATCTGTCTCCTCAGCAAACACATTCTTAGTCACCACCTGGAGCCTGTGACTCTCCCAGTTATCTAAAGGGACAAACCCTTGGCCTCCTCTTCCCACTGGTGCACTACTGTGCAACCTGCACAGGCTGTGGTCATCTGACCCACTTCCTCTCTTTCATTCATAGGACTTGATGTAAATCAAGGCTCTGAGGGGACGATGGTGCCCATATAGACCCACATTGAACTGTCAGTTGTCAGGAGCTATAAAATCCTTCCAGCAGCCACGGGCAGGCTGGCAAGACTCCTAGTGGGTGGCACAGCCCTGCCCCCTGCTGCTCAACATGGAAGCTGCAGGATAGGTGACCCTGGCCAGGCTGGGAGTCTTTATGGACTCTACTGGGACAGTGGCCTCCAGACACCGGTTTTGAAAATTCATCTCTTAAATTGAGTTCTCTGCAGATCTCCCCTTGTTCTAGATTGAATTGTATCCCTCTAAAATTCATATGTTGAAGGTCTAATCCCCAGTATCTCAGAATGTGACCCTATTTGGAGATAGGGTGTTACAGATACAGTTAAGATCAAGTCATAATGAAGTAGTGTGGTCCCTAATGCAATATGACTGGTGTCCTTATTAAAAGGAAATGTGGGCAACACGTGCATGCAGGGAACACAAAGGCAGGGACTGGGGTGATGCAGCTCACACGCCAGCAACCACAAAAAGCTGGGACAGAGTTCTAGAACATTCTCCCTCACTGCCCTCAGAAGGAGCCAGCCCTGCTCACACCTTGCTTTTGGACTTCCAGCCTCCAAAAATGTGAGACAATAAATTTTTATTGTTTAAGCCACTCAGTTTGTGGCACTTTGTTACAGCAGCTGATTATGACCAAACTAATACACTCCTCGTCCAGGGTGTTCTTAGGGTAGTTGGGAGTGGTTTTAAGGCTTTACGGCATGCATATTATGAATTCTAAAGATTTCTCCGAAAACTTCGCCAAGAAATTACACAGTGGAATGGAAAATGCATTGGATCCCAGAAGACCAAGGTTCTAGACCAGGGAAGAGCTGTGTGACTTGGAACAAATGCTAAGCTCTGAGCATCGTTTATAAATGAAAGATCTGTACCTGATGCCCTCTAAAGTGCCTTTCAGCATTAAACTACATTTGTTTAAATATTGGGCTCAATCCTGTCTAGGGAAATGCAAACTGAAATATACACACATACCCTGAACAGTCCCAAGCCCCCAAAAGCAGAGAACATTTTAAGAAAAAAATTTAAAAATAACAAAGTAAAGACCGGGTGCTGTGGCTCACACCTGTAATCCCAGCACTTTGGGAGGCTGAGGCAGGCGGATCACCTGAGGTCAGGAGTTCAAGACCGGCCTGGACAACATGGTGAAACCATATCTCTACTAAAAATATAAAAATTAGCTGGGCATGGTGGCATGCACCTGTAAGCCCAGCTACTCAAGAGGCTGAGGCAGGAGCATTGCTTGAACCTGGGAGTCAGAAGTTGCAGTGAGCCAAGATTGTGCCATTGAACTCCAGCCTAGGCAACAGAGCAAGACTCCAATGTCAAAAAACAAAACAAAACAAAACAAAAACACCAGACTGCGCAGGAGCTTGCTGACGAGCTCAGAAGGTGGTAGTGGGACAAATATAGCCAAGCGAATGCTCACCTGCCTGCATGATCACCACGAAACCCTGTGATTGGGCTTCCCATGTGTTTTGCTTACAGTGGAGATGACCCTGGTCGGGCTAGCAAGGCCTGACTCATCCTGCCAGCATGTATTTCTTGGACTGCTAAATGTGTCTTTCTCTTGGGAGCCTGGTTAGACACTGAGTTCAACCAACTCTGGTCTCTGACATGGTGGAGTTTCCCAGCCCACAGAACTGAGGTGCAGCTCCTGGGACACAGAAATGCACACAGCTGACCACTCCGGAGTCACCTGGGGACACCCCAACCTGCACCCACAAAGTTTCCCATTTCTGTATCTTCTTTTTTTTTTTTGAAACGGAGTCTCACTCTGTCGCCAGGCTGGAGTGCAGTGGCACGATCTCGGCTCACTACAACCTCCGCCTCCCAGGTTCAAGCGATTCTCCTGCCTCAGCCTCCCCAGTAGCTGGAACCACAGGTGCGCACCACCAAGCCCAGCTAATTTTTGTATTTTGTTAGAGACAGGGTTTCTCCATGTTGGCCAGGCTTGTTTTGAACTCCTGACCTCAAGTGATTCGCCCACCTCGGCCTCCCAAAATGCTGGGATTACAGGTGAACACCATGCACAGCCCACTTCTGTATCTTCTGTATCTTCTGATGGAAAGGGAAGATTGAACACATCGGAAAAAAGGAAACTGGATACCAAAACAGTTCCTTCTTCCTCTCCCATCACCTAAACTTTCCAAATGAATCCTGACCTCCAGATGTAGAACCACAGCCCAGGCAACTACAATCACTTGCGTATGGAAATGGGAAGTGTGCCAGATACTTGTGTTAATCTAGACAATGCTTGTGTTCCAACAGAGGAGCAAATTAGCCAACAAAAATATCAGACACAAGACGTTTAAAAGTAGAAACAGAAAGATATAAGAAAGAAAAAAACACACACACAAATAAGGGCAGGGACAGAAAGTGGATCTA
Organism: Homo sapiens; assembly: GCF_000001405.40. Classification (NCBI taxonomy): domain Eukaryota; kingdom Metazoa; phylum Chordata; class Mammalia; order Primates; family Hominidae; genus Homo; species Homo sapiens. The sequence continues at coordinate 96,177,018 of NC_000002.12, forward strand.
GAAATGAAGCAAAAATACAAGTGCAGCAAGGCGTAGTGGCTCACCTCTGTAAACCCAGCACTTTGGGAGGCTGAGGCGAGCAGATTACGAGACCAGGAGATCAAGACCATCCTGGCCAACATGGTGAAACCCCGTCTCTACTAAAAATACAAAAATTAGCCAGGTGTGGTGGCACACACCTGTATTCCCAGCTACTTGGGAGGCTGAGACAGGAGAATCGCTTGAACCCGGGAGGCGGAGGTTGCAGTGAGTCGAGATCGCACCACTGCACTTCCAACCTGGCAACAGAGCGAGACTCTGTCTCAAAAAAAAAAAAAAAAAAAAAAAAAGCATGCCTGAGAGTCCTATTCCGGACACTGAGGCCAAGCAGATTTCTTCAGAGGGTCCTCAACAAGGACTAAATGTCTAAATTCCTGAAGAAAGAGGCACCGCTGATTGGAGATGGGCAAAGGCTATTAGGGTTTTCAAAAAGGGGATGAATTACAGGCCAATTGGCTTGATGTCGATGCCAAATAAATTCTACATCTACTGAGTTCTAGACTACTGAAAGTTCTAAAACATCTACTGGCGATTTTTCCCTTTTTAACTGAACCATTTGGTCCTTTGAAGTGATTCATTTAAAGTTATTTTCAGCTATAATTTGGCAAAGACTCCCAGCTGTCCTCCATTTCCATTCTCCCTTTCTTGCCCAGCAAATCACCTCTGAATTTTAACTGGGCACATAGCTGCTTAAAATATAAATTATTTCCCAGCAGCTGGTGTTCTTTGAAAGTGTGGCCATTGGCCGCAGGTAAAAATGGAAAGTGTCTTCAAAGGCAGAGGCCATCCACTTCTCCCCTTGTTCCTTCCCACTGGTGGAACAGACGTGATGGCTGGAGGTGGAGCCGGTCCCGCTGGGGCACTGGGAACACAGACACTGTCCCTTCCCTGGGGATGCCTACCTTCCAGGGAACAGAAAGGGGTCTAGCCCTGGGCTCTGCATTTTAGGAAGGGCATTGACAAACTCTACTATTTCCAGAAACGTAATCAGGAGAAAAGAAGACCGTGAGAATGTATGGAGTGCTATGTCTCAGACACCAGTCTAAGTACTTTACATGTATTATGTAATCTTCACAGTAACCATACAAGGTAGGTACTCATTTCCCTTTTACAGATGAGGAAAAAGGTTCATTAACTTGTTCAAAGTCACACAACCTTTGACTCTAGCTACAGAGTCCTTATTTTGAACCCCTTCGCCAGTGCTTCTCAAACTTTACTGCACATTAGGATCCCTGAAAACTTTAAAAAAAACAGGATGCTTGGGTCCCACCCTCAGATTCTGATGCAACTGTAATTCCACCTTGGTGGAGGCTGTATGGAGAAGACAGCAGGAGCCTGGGACCAGGAGGACTGCAGAGCTATCATACCAGTCCTGGACTGGCTACACTCACAAGAATCAAGGGTAAATTTGTTTCAGCCACATGGTAGCCTCTATTCCTCAAGGCTAAACATAATCCTAAACTCCCATACACAGCAGAATTTTAAGATATGACAAAATGCATTTACTGAAAAGCATTTACATATTACTTTTTTTTTTTTTTCGAGACGGAGTTTTGCTCTTGTTGCTCAGGCTGGATGTAGTGCAATGGTGCAATCTCAGCTCACTGCAACCTCCACCTCCCCAGTTCAGGTGATTCTCCTGCCTCAGTCTCCTGAGTAGCTGGGACTACTGGCATGCACCCACCACGCCCGACTAAATTTTGTATTTTTAGTAGAGACGGGGTTTCGCTACGTTGGCCAGGCCGGTCTCAAACTCCTGACCTCAGGTGATCTGCCTGCCTTGGCCTCCCAAACTGCTGGGATTACAAGCCTGAGCCACCACGCCCGGCTCACATATTCAAACACTCAGCCTACCTTTTTAGGTATGGTTAGGCTCTTTAAAAGTGGATAATAGGCCAGGTGCGGTGGCTCACGCCTGTAATCTCAGCACTTTGGGAGGCTGAGGCAGGTGGATCATGAGTTCAGGAGTTCAAGACCAGCATGGCCAAGATGATAAAACCCTGTCTCTACTAAAAATACAAAAATTAGCTGGGCGTGGTGGCAGGTGCCTGTAATCCCAGCTACTTGGGAGGCTGAGGCAGAGAATTGCTTGAACCCGGGAGGCAGAGGATGCAGTGAGCCAAGATTGAGCCATTGCACTCCAGCCTGGGCGACAGAGCAAGATTCTGTGTCCAAAAAAAAAAAAAAGGGGTGGGGGGCAATAAGGTCATTTATAAAATTTATAAATTATCTGTTTAAAAATGTTTTAAAGTATATGTGTGGGTCACAACCAACCCTGAGGTTATTAAAGCAGCTCTGACAGTGGAGAGCCTGAGGCTCTATTTGAATGATGCTCCATCAAGTACCCGCTGAGGCTTATAGGGATAGTACATCTGCATTAAGATCACTTTCATCTACACGTTACTGCTTGATTTTTAAAAGGCTTTCAAGTTTATTCATTAGAAATCATAGTTCTCAGATTTTATTGCTATTTTCACTTTGAGAAAAATATTTAGATTTCTGTCCTATCATGGTGGGTTCAGAGACTGGTGACTTTGAAATTTAATACCTTTAGAAAACGTTATTTCAAGATGTCCCCACCCCCCATCCCTTCATTACACAGTATGGTACTGGGAGTGGTGTACATTCTGAAGTGTTCTAGAGAAAAATGATTCCAGATACTTACAGAAACAGAACTCAAACAATTGGTGAAAGAGATAAAGTTCAAGCAACTGGCTATTATACTGGATGGAACTAGAGGGTAAGAAGTGTAAACCACATAAAATTTAACACAGAAAGCAAGCCTAAACCAGGCATAGTGGCTCACACCTATAATTCCAGTGCTTCGGGAGGCCAAATTGGGAAGATTGCTTGAGGCCAGTTTTGAGACCAGCCTGGGCAACATGGTGAAAGCCCACCTATAAAATAAATACAAAAATTATCCAGGTGTGGTGGCTCGTGCTGTAGTCCCAGCAGAGGTGGGAGGATTGCCTGAGCCCAGGGAGTTGAAGACTGCAGTAAGCCTTGACTGCGCCACTGCAATCCAGCCTGGGTGACAGAGTGGGACTCTGAAAAAACAAAAGTCAAGCAAGCAGGCAAGCCTAGGCCAGGCACAGTGGCTTACACCTGTAATTCCAATACTTTGGGAGATCTAGGTGGGAGGATCACTTGAAGTCAGGAGTTTGAGACCAGCCTGGGCAACACAGTGAGACCCCATCTCTACAGAAAAATTAGATGGGAATGGTGGTGCATGCCTGTGGTTGGTCTGGGCTACTCAGGAGGCTGATGTGGGAGTTCACTTAAACCCAGGAGTTCAAAGCTGCAGTGAGATCTGATGGCACCACAGCACTCCAGCCTGGGCACCAGCGAGACTATCTCAAAAAATAAAATTTTTTAAAAAGCAAGCTCATGGGGCATATGTTCTCAAGATCTCCTGAGGGCTGTGTCACTAGCCAAAAAATAAAAATAAATAAATAAATAATAAAAAATAAAGCAAGCTATGATCCAAGCTTCCAAACAAGTCAACTACCCCCAGGGGAAAGAATCTGGCAGTATTTATAAACATTAAGTTTTAGGGGGAAAATAAAAAAATTTAAAAACATAAGTTTTAAGCCATGCTGCCAGCTGTCTTTGGAGATGTTAGAGCTAGGTCTGCATCCTGGCTGTCACTTCCTGTGTGACCCTGAGCAAGAAAATTACTTAACCTCTAATGCCATCTCTTCATTTTATAGATGAGGCACTAGCTACATACTCACAGGGCTATAGAATTAGATGAAGGCATGAAGCATGGTGCCTGGCACAGTAGATGCTCAATAATGGTGGCTATTATTGGCTAATCCCAAACTCAGCATAAGCCAACAGTATGACAAGACTTACATCAGTAGTATGCGGATCTAGGAAGACTGTTGCCTCTCTAGCCTATTTGTCTCCCTTTGATCACATTCAACATTTAACACTTGTTCATGTACACTTGCACAACACTTGCTCACCCCTAGAGGTTTCAATGGTCTGGGGTGGGGCCAGGCTTTGGGAGTTTGCAAAGCTTCCCAAGTGCAGCCAAGCTTGAAGACCACTGCTCTACATTCTATTATATGAAGCACAGGTGAAGTTACAAAAGGTAGACTACTGTTCTAGATGAAAAGTGGCCAAAGAAGGCCGGGCGAAGTGGCTCACGCCTGTAATCCCAGCAGTTTTGGGGGCTGAGACGGGTGGATCACTTGAGGTCAGGCGTTTGAGACCAGCCTGGCTAACATGGTGAAACCTCATCTCTACTAAAAATATAAAAATTAGTTGGGTGTGGTGGTGCACGCTTGTAATCCCAGCTACTCGGGAGGCTGAGGCAGAAGAATTGCTTGAACCCGGGAGGTGGAGGTTGCAGTGAGCTGAGATGGTGTCAATGCACTCCAGCCTGGGTGACAGAGCAACACTCTGTCTCACAAAAAAAAAAAAAAGTGGCCAAAGAGACAAATGCAACACACGATAATTAATCTTGGGTTGGGGAGGCTATAAAAGTCATTTTGGAAATTTTAATATGAACTGCATTATTAGATATTGTGGCATTGTTATTTATCTTGTGTGCTCATGGTATTGTGGCTACACAGAACACCTGTATTATAAAAAGCATGCTCAACTGTTTAGGGGTGAAATACCATGATGTTTGCATCCTACTTTCAAATGATCATGACACTGTGTATATAGAAAGAGAAAGCACACACAGCAGATGTTAAACACCAGCAAAGGGAAGGGTATACAACGTAGTTTCTTCGTCTTTTTCTATATATATATACATTTTTTAAAATGAAAACCTCATACTAACACTCAACCCACGGTCACCACGCTGTGATAGCTAAGCCCACGCTAGCTATTAAAGCATCACTACTTTCCTATTATTTGGTTCTCCTGTTCATAGAACACTCAGTGCTGCTGTCTCACAACATGTCTACACAAACCACACAACAAAAACTGCAAGGCCTATAGAGAAATGGGTTTAGGTGTGCAATACTCAAATCTTTGTGACACATAAAAAGGTACCAGTTTCAAATATGTCAATGGTTAAGAAATAAAGCAGTCTACCTTGACCTGCAATTTGCAGGCAGAAACACACTGGACAGCCCACCCAGCTCCCACGCGTACCACCCTGCATGAAGAGGAAGAGAACAAAAGATAAGACAAAGTGAGAGAAAACATAGAGAAAAAGAAGAAAGATTGGGCTGGGCGCAGTGGCTCACGCCTGTAATCCCAGCACTTTGGGAGGCCAAGATGGGCAGATCACGAGGTCAGGAGATCAAGACCATCCTGGCTAACACGGTGAAACCCCAACTCTACTAAAAATACAAAAAATTAGCCAAGCGTGGTGGCAGGCACCTGTAGTCCCAGCTACTTGGGAGGCTGAGGCAGGAGAATGGCGTGAACCCGGGAGGTGGAGCTTGCAGTGAGCTGAGATTGCGACACTGCACTCCAGCCTGGGCAACAGAGCAAGACACTCCATCTAAAAAAAAAAAAAAAAGAGCTATAAAATTTGCCGGGCACGGTGGCTCACACCTGTAATCCCAGCACTTTGGGAGGCCAAGGCAGGTGTATCACCTGAGGTTGGGAGTTCAAGACCAGCCTGACCAACATGGAGAAACCCCGTCTCTACTAAAAACACAAAATTAGCCAGGGTGGTGGCGCATGCCTGTAATCCCAGCTACTCAGGGGTCTGAGGCAGGAGAATCGCTTGAACCCGGGAGGCGGAGGTTGTGGTGAGCCGAGATTGTGCCATTGCACTTCAGCTTGGGCAACAACAGCAAAACTCTGTCTCAAAAAAAAAAAAAAAAAAAGCTATAAAATTTTAGCCGGGCACAGTGGCTCATGCCTGTAATCCCAGCACTTTGGGAGGCTCAGGCGGGCGGATCACGAGGTCAGGAGTTTGAGACTGGCCAACATAGTAAAAACCCACCTCTACTAAAAATACAAAAAATTGGCAGGGCGTGGTGGCAGGCACCTGTAATCCAAACTACTTGGGAGGCTGAGGCAGAATAGCTTGAACCCAGGAGGCAGAGGTTGCAGTGAGCTGAAATCGAGCCACTGTACTCCAGCCCGGTCAACAGTCCGAGACTCTGTCTCGGGAAAAAAAAAAAAAAAAAGCTTTAAAATTTTATCACCAGTGTAGTTTTGTGTATCTAACACCACAGTTGACTGTGGTGGTAGACCAGCATCGCAAGGGATCCCTGGTGTTGCTCTGGTTTGTTGTTTGGTTTTTCGAGTTTCGCTCGTTGCCCAGGCTGGAGTGCAATGGTGTGATCTTGGCTCACTGAAACCTCTGCCTCCCGGGTTCAAGCAAATCTCTCGCCTCAGCCTCCTGAGTAGCTGGGATTACAGGTACCCACCACTGTGTCCAGCTAATTTTTTTGTATTTTTAGTAGAGACGGGGTTTCACCATATTGCCCTGGTTGGTCTCAACCTCCTGACCTCGGGCGATCCGCCTGCCTCGGCTTCCCAAAGTGTCAGGATTACAGGTGTGAGCCACCCTGCCTGGTCTATGTGGTTTTTTTTTTTTCTTTAAGACAGAGTCTTGCTCTGTCACCTGGGCTGGAGTGCAGTGTCGTGATCTTGGCTCACCGCAACCTCTGCCTCCTGGGTTCAAGTGATTCTCCTGCCTCAGCCTCCTAAGTAGCTGGGATTACAGGCATGCACAACCACACCCAGCTAATTTTGTATTTTTAGAAGAGACGGGGTTTCTCTATGTTGGTCAGGCTGGTCTTGAACTCCCGATCTCAGGTGATCCACCAGCCTCGGCCCCCGAAAGTTACAGGCATGAGTCACTGCGCCCGGCCATTTCTAAATCAATCTTCCATTTCTAAAATTTTGTCACTTAAAAATGTTATAGGCCGGGCACGGTGGCTCACGCCTGTAATCCCAACACTTTGGGAGGCCAAGGTGGGTGGATCACTTAAGGCCAGGAGTTCGAGACCAGCCTGGCTAACATGGTGAAAGCCCATCTCTACTAAAAATACAAAAATTAGCCAGGTTTGGTGGCACACACCTGTAGTCCCAGATACTAGGGAGGCTGAGACAGGAGAATTGCTCGAACCCGGGAGGTAGAGGTTGCAGTGAGCCGAGGTCTCGTCACTGGACTCCAGCCTAGGCGAGAGTGAGACTCCGTCTCAAAAAAAAAAAAATTAGAGAGGTAAAACACAAATGAGGTTGAAAGAGAATAAAGAGCAGAGTGTGAGGCAGAGCCAGGATGGCCGATGGAAGGGCTGCGGCTTGCAAGCATGAGATGGGGCGTGCGGTTCTCTGGAATCAGATGGTACACCACACAGGGACGTGTGCCTTGTGTGTTCCTATGCAGCTCAGTTCAACTGGGTGTGCTTTTGTGTTCACCTAGTGCTTCCCACAGGCAAAATTACACATAAACTCATGTTATGCTCAGAGCATGCCAGCAGGACTGCCCCTCCGCCAAGAGCGCTGACTTGACCCTCTCCTCAACCTCAACCCTAGACCTCAGGCCTGCTTCTGTCCCTCCTGATTTCTACCGTCTGCTAAGCTCTAGCACTGCTCCCTCCAAAGTGATCTTTTTTTAAAGGGAAAGGATATGGGTCAGTATATCAAGCTAGGGAAGTGGACATAGGTGGTTTATTTTCAGTTGCCAAGCAGGTCACTTGGAAAGGGCTCGTGGTCTAGGCAAACTGTGTCAGCCACTATCTACCAAGAATGAACAAGCCCTGCCACTTCCACCTCCCAACTCTCAGAGTAAAATTCTTTTCAACTTTGTGATCAGAAAGAAATGGTAAGTCCAATATGCAAGATTTTTCCACCACCATTTGTCCAAAGACAAACACTTTTTTTTGTACCAATCTTTATGTATTTATTCACACATTTGATAAAAATGTCACAGTTAGGAGTGAAATCATTACAATGACATGAGTAACTGTACAGACAGACCCCAAGTGCAGAATCAAATTGCCCTAAGTCAGAACATGGAGCAACCGCAACTCCTTCGCACTTGTGCATGTGTGTGCGCTCGCAGACGCACACACACACACACATATTCTCTCTCTCTCTTATGCACACATCCATCCACATCCCAACAATTGCAGGTGCTAAGTTTGGACATAACCCAGGGACTCTTCCCTGACTTCTGTCAGGTCCTGGAAAGAAGAAGTAATAAATGAAAAGCAGCTGGGACTGCTCGATGCATCTCTCCTCTTCCAACAATGACGCGGAGAAGGCAAGACATACACTGGGGCAGCTACTTCCTTGGCACAAAAATGAACAGGCAACAAGAAGGTCAAGGAAGTGTTTAAGTTAGTCTCAGGTTTAAACCACTTTTCAACACCACAAAACAGTAGCAAGCAGGAAAACAAAAACAAAAACAAAAACAAAAACTCTGGCCCTCAAGACTCCAGAAAAAAGGGAAGGAGGAGGATTTAAAACTTGATCCCTATTATTCTAACAAATTGCAGCATGACCATAAGCAAAACCAGCTCGGTCAAACTGACAGCATCAGATTGTGACCTTATCTGAACAGTGTAGTTCACTTTTATTTTGGCTCTGAAGAGAGGAAGAAAAACTTTTTAGAGGAACTTAATGGTAACATAAACCAAATCTCCACTGTATTAGTATTTGAGACAAGATTACATCTATGCATTCACACAGCTTGTCTGTAGATCTGAGAGCTCCAAGGGAGTGGCCCAGCCCCCATTCCTCTGACTTTAGCCTTCTGAAAAGAACAAGTCAAACCTGAAATATGAAAAATAATACCTGAATCAAAATGGTGTTTTCTATACAATCGGACTAGGGTAGAATCCTGCTCAATTCCTCAACTCCTATTTGACACAAAAGTTAAAAAATTTTTAAACTAAATTTAAATGTGATGTTTTGAGCATCAAAAAGCTACTATCTAAAAGGATTAGTCTCCCAGTGTTCTTGGTAAATGGGGAAGGTTAGGAAGGAGGCAATGATCCAATGAATATAGAAGAACTGGCCGATTCACAGGAAACTTGCTTTGGATAAGGTGAGTCAATGGGTGATATTGTGCAGGCAGGGAGGGAAATTTCTTTGTACAAATTCATGTCCCTGGCCAGGCATGGCCCAGGAGTTCAAGACCAGCCTGGGAAACAGAGTGAAACTCCATCTCTACTTAAAAAAAAAAAAAATTAATAATAACTTCATGTCTCTAGAGATAAAAGCAAGGTGCGGACAAGGCACTTAACATAGCCAAGTATCGTTCACACCCATTCACATCATGATTGTTACCAAGAGCACTCCCAGTAGCCCCTCATTTGAGAGACTCAACTGGCCAACTATACTTTCCAGGTGGACCTGGAGAACTGAAGGAAATCCAAAGCGCTGCACAATCGATGGTGGGATTTGGAATGTCAGCAGAGGAAACTACTCAGAGAAGCAAATGGAGGTCATCCCCTTCTGGCCTGAGGTGAGAGGTTTGTTCCAGATTAGCTCAGTGAGATACCGAATTTCAAAACAGTTGGCCTGAGAATATGACAACACTCCCACAAATGTAGCCTTCTTCTGTTTTGATAAGAGCAATAAGGGCTCTGAATGAAATGGGACATCAGTTATTGAATTATCTTGCACTGGAAGTTACAGCAGATGCCTTCTAATACATGTGGCATGTCCCCCTTCTACAGCAGAGTGATAACGGACTGAGACAGGGCTAGAAGCACCTTGTCCCTTCTTATCCCAAAGCCTGTCAAGCATACTCAATCCGAGCAGGGCCACAGCTGCCCTCGTTCTTTCGCTCAGAGGACTGGCTGGTGGCCTTGGCTTCACTACTCATTTCCAGAGGCTTAGCTGAGATGTAGTCCTTTACTTTAATCTCCATATTCTTGGCTTTCAGAGTGGCCATGTGCAGCTTCTCCAGGAAATCTGGCATGCCTGTCAGGAGACGAGAATCAGGTTAAGCTGACATACAAACCAACAGTAGGCTCAAAATGAGAAGACCCTATTTCTTTGATGGTAGGGAACTAGTTCTTCCTTATAAAGATCACAACCTGACTAGCCTGTGAATAAGAGCTGCCTCCCGGAATGTGTTCCCAAAGCATGGGTTGTGAAAACTCTGTCTCAGAAAAAAAAAAAAAAGAAGAACCAGAAGAGACGTTTTATTTCCCCATTAGGAAATAGAGAAAAACAAAATGCTCAACCCAGGTTCCAGGCCCTGTATACTTGCCCTTACTTACCACTGGAAACCATCCAACTAACACAGTAGCGAGGAAACACCGTTTGGGGATTGTCACTGTATGTTAGTAAGTAGTCAAAGCCATTCTGGAAAAGAAAAACAGCAAAAATGAAGATCCCTGAATCACCAACCACAACCTCCATATCCAGTACCATAGAATAACTATGATCTGATTCTGGAGCAGGGAGTGTCATTTCTTTTTTCACCCTGTGCAGAAAAGAGTTAACACTGAAGGCCTGAGAGACTACTATCTATAGAAAGGTCTCCTTGCAATGTTGACCCTTGGCCAACTTCGCTCCCAGTCAACAGTTAGCTGATATGGGTGGCTCCCTGTGCATAGACTATGCAAACAACGTGGTTTATGCTGAACACAGGCTTTGCTTTGCAGGGTTTGGAATTCTGGTATGTGCTAAGCAGACGGTACTAAGTGACCAGCTCCCAATAAAAATTTTGGGTGTTAGGCCAGGCATGGTGGCTCATGCCTACAATCCCAGCACTTTGGGAGGCCGAGGCAGGCGGATCACCTGAGGTCAAGAGTTCAAGACAAGCCTGGCCAACATGGTGAAACCCCATCTCTACCAAAAATACAAAAATTAACCGGCCATACTGGCACACACCTGTAGTCCCAGCTACTCGGGAGGCTGAGGCACAAGAATTGCTTGAACCCGGGAGGCAGAGGTTGCAGTGAGCCAAGATCTAGCCACTGCATTCCAGCCTGGGAAACAGAGCGAGACTCCGTCTCAAAAAATAAATAAATAAATAAATAAATTGGGTGTTGGCTGGGCGTGGTGGCTCATGCCTTATAATCCCAGCACTTTGGGAGCCCAAGGCAGGCAGATTACTTGAGGACCAGAGTTCGAGACCAGCCTGGCCAACATGGTGAAATCCCATCTCTACTGAAAGTTAAAAAATTAGCTGGGCGTGGTGGTACACGCCTGTAATCCCAGTTACTTGGGAGTCTGAGGCAGGAGAATCGTTTGAACCGGGAGGCAGAGGTTGCAGTGAGCACAGATTGAGCCACTGTACTCCAGCCTGGGTGACAGACCAAGACTTTTTTTTTTTTTTTTTTTTTTTTTTGAGACAGAGTTTCGTTCTTGTTGCCCAGGATGGAGGGCAATGGCACAATCTCGGCTCACCACAACCTCCACCTCCTGAGTTCAAGTGATTCTCCTGCCTCAGCCTCCCCAGTAGCTGAGATTACAGGCATGCACCACCATGCCCAGCTAATTTTGTATTTTCAGTAGAAACGGGGCTTCTCCATCTTGGTCAGGCTGGTCTCGAACTCCCGACCTCAAGTGATCCACCCACCTTGGCCTCCCAAAGTGCTGGGATTACAAGCGTGTGCCACTGCACCCAGCCAAGACTCCGTCTTTAAAAAACACTTTGGGCTGGGTGTGGTGGCTCACGTCTGTAATCTCAGCACTTTGGGAGGCTGAGGCAGATGGATCACCTGAGGTCAGGAGTTTGAGACCACCCTGGCCAACATGGCAAAACCCTGTCTCTACTGAAAATACAAAGAAAAAAAAAAACTAGCCAGGTGTGGTGGCACACACCAGTAATCCCAGCTACTCGGGAGGCTGAGGCAAGAGAACTGCTTGAACCCGGGAGGCGGAGGTTGCAGTGAGCCAAGATCACGCCATCGCACTCCAGCCTGGGCAACAAGAGCGAAACTCATCTCAGAAAAACAAAACAAAACAAACAAAAACAAAAAAACAAAAAAAACACTTTGGGTGTTTTTTTTTTCTTTTTTTTGAGACAAGGTCTCACTCTGTTGCACAGTCTGGAGTGCAGTGATGCAATCTCGACTCAGTACAGCCTCCACCTCCTGGGCTCAAGCAGTCATCCCACCTCAACCTCCTGTGTAGCAGGGACTACAGGCATGCACTACCACCACAACTAATTTTTTATTTTTTGCAGAGACTGGGTCTTCCCTGTGTTGCCCAGGCTGATCTCAAACTCCTTGGCTAAAGAGATCCTCCTGCCTCAGCCTCCCAAAGTGCTGCGATTACAGGCATGAGCTACCGTGCTCAGCCAGAGTGTTAAATTTCTAATGGCCTTCCTAAACAGAAACATTGCACACATATTGCTACATTTCATTGCTGGGGAAGGAAGCTTCACATGGACTCCTCCAGACTCCTCCTGTGCCTTTTTCTCTTATGATCCAGCTGCATATCTTTACTCTGACACTGTCATAAATCTTAGCTGGGGGCTGGGCACGGTGGCTCATGCCTGTAATCCCAGCACTCAGAAAGGCCGAGGCGGGCGGATCACTTGAAGTCAGGAGTTCGAGACCAGCCTGGCCAACATGGTGAAGCCCTGTCTCTAATAAAAATACAAAAATTAGCTAGGCGTGGTGGTGCACATCTGTAATCCCAGCTACTTGGGAGGCTGAAGCAGGAGAATTGCTTGAACCTGGCAGGTGGAGGTTGCAAGTGAGCCAAGATCGCACCACTGCACTCCAGCCTGCACAACAGAACGAGACTCCGTCTCCAAAAAAAAAAAAAAAAAATCAATATTTTGTACACAGTATGCACATCCTGAAGACAAAAAGACCACAAAATTTTATTCTTCGTATTATTGGTGATCTTACTGTATTGTTATTCTGAGGCTGTGTATTTCAACAAATTAGTAGTTGTGTTAGGGTTCCTGGGAATTGAGTTCTACAGTACAGGGAAAGACAAAAGATAGAAGATAGAAATAAAAACTCCATAGTCCTGAATTTGAATTAAAAGTATTAGTATATACTTAGGATTTATTTTATCTTAAAAATAAACATACCAGTAAAATGTATTACTTGGTTCTGTCTTCTGAAAAGGCCTACAAACAATAAACGACCCAATAGCTATGAATATTCTTAGCAGCCAAATTGTGGTATTTAAATGCCATTTTCCACTAAAAGGAACCAGGACTCCCTAAAGAAATGTTAATTTCCAGGTGTAAAACTAAAAATATACAAGATGAACCTACAACATCTTGTAACACCAGAAAGCAAGACAGCTTCTGGGGTCATGTCAAAGGGGCTTGAGCCAACAAGAAGACTCCCAATGACCAAAACTGGAATCAATTTGAGCATCAATAAGGATAATATATTTAAAAACTAAGTACATTTAAGTCTGTGTCTTTTTTTTTTTTTTTTTTTGAGACGAGTCTCACTGTGTCGCCCACGCTGGGGTGCAGCGGCACGATCTTGGCTCACTGCAACCTCTGCCTCCCAGGTTCAAGCCATTCTCTCCTGCCTCAGCCTCCCAAGTGGCTGGGATTACAGACACGTGCCACAATGCCTGGATAATTTTTGTACTTTTAGTAGAGACAGGGTTTCACCATGTTGGCCAGGCTGGTCTCAAAATCCTGACCTCAAGTTATCTACATGCCTCGGCCTCCCAAAGTGCTGGGATTACAGGCGTGAGCCACTGCGCCTGGCTTTTTTATTTTTTATTTTTTTTTTGAGAAGGGTCTCAAACTGTTGCCCAGGCTGGCATGCAGTGGCACAAACACGGCTTAATGCAGCCTTGACCTCCTGGACTCAAGTGATTCTCCCAACCTCAGCTTCCCAAGCAGCTGGGACTACAGGCACATATCACCATGCCTGGCTAATTTTTATTTTTTGTAGAGACCGGGTCTCTCCATGCTGCCTGGCCCAGAGCTGTTTTACAAATTTCTTACTTGGGCTGGGCACAGTGGCTCACGCCTCTAATCCCAGCATTTTGGGAGGCTGAGGTGGGAGGATTGCTTGAGTCCAGGAGTTTGAGACCAGCCTGCGCAGCATGGTGAGACCCCATCTCTACAAAAAATACAAAAAATTAGCCTGACATGTTGGCACACGCCTATAATCCCAGCTCCTCAGGAGGCTGAGGCAGGAGGATCACCTGAGCCCAGGAAGTCAAGGCTGCAGTGAGTTGTGATTGTACCACTGCACACTAGCCTGGGTAACAGTGGGAGACCCTGTTTCCAAAAAAACCCAAAATCCTTATTTGAGATAAATACTGAAATATATAATAGAAGAACTGGGTTCTCCTACAGTAAAGCTAGAATTTGCTTCAAAATAATCAGGGGAGTGAGAAAGGAAATGGGAAAGGGTATAGATAAAACAATTTTGGCCATAAGTTGATAACTGGAGCTGGGGATGGATACAGGGGGTTCATTATACTCTTCTACTTCTGTATCTTTTGTATCTATTTCAAATTTTCCATGATAAAAACCCCCTACCTTGGCTCAAAGATCTAATTCCCATTTGGCAAATCCAAACTCAGCTACATGGTTTTCGAGTACCCTCTGTACACAGTCAATGCAATTTATCACTTCTCCCTAACCTCTACTTTCCTCTCTAAGCATGTGAGTCTCTCAGTGCATACCTGGCTCATTCCTATCTTTGTCTTTGCTTGAATCATGTCTTCTAACCCTAGTGCCCTGCCTGCTTTCCTCTCTATCCAGTGTACTTTTTTTTTTGTTTTTTTTTACAAGGACCAACTCAAGTCCTTGAGGTGGTATAAATAAAACAACTTGATGAGAATAAGAAAACTACACTAAAGAACACTGTCCATATAGCCCTAAATCGAACACAAGCAATAGGGAGAAACAAAGCCATTATAAGGTGAAGTGGAACTAAAACCAGCAGCCACTAGCATCAATATCTATACTCTCAGTGGAGATTTAGCTTAAAAAGATAAAAAATAAACACAAAACACCTCATTAGGCTGAAATAAATATTCTTTTCAAAGAAAGGTCACAGAATTTTAAAGAAGGCAGACAGCATGAGTCCAATCTTCCCATTACTCTGGCAAGGAAGCAGAAATCCAGAAAAGTTTCCATCCAGTGCTCTGCCCACTGTAGTAAAATGTTGACAGGAGGTACTCGCTCTAGTTCCTGAAGAATGCTACTGATACAGGCTAATGCGTCAGTGGCTATGATTCTTTTAACTATCTCTCAGATAAGAGGGAACCAATGGATTGCCACTACTTTGTCCTTGGGGAACTTCCAGGTACATCACCTACGTCAGGAGTTCCCAAAAAATGGTTCCCAGACCAGTAGCATCAGACTCCCCCGAGCGAGAACTGTTCCTGCGCCACACCCCCTCCTCCCTAGTTCAGGTAAGACATCCCTTGAGAAAATTCCACAGCCATGACATGTTATCTCTTGGATGAGGTAAAACTCACCTCATCAAATGACTTGTGGGGACGGATAACCATTTGGGATTCATATGATCTGACCCTGACGAATTCTGGAGACTCTGGCACACTCGGATGCTCCACAGCACTGGTAAGGAGGAAAGGAGAAGCAAACTCTTAGTAATGTCTATATATAAAACAACAGGAGAGCTAAGTTAAGGGGAAGGCCTAAAAAGCTGGCTCTGATATTTTTAAATACACAAAACAAAGGAGTCACTAAGATGAATAAATACAAACTAAGTTCTAAAAATGAAGCGAAGGCCAGACGTGGTGGCTCATGCCTGTAATCCCAACACTGGGAAGCCAAGGAAGGAAGATCACTTGAGGCCAGGAGTCCAAGACCAGCCTGGACCACACTGTGAAACCCTGCGTCTACAACAAACAAATGAATTAATTAAAAATGAAGTGAGTTCCTTTGGTAATTTACGGCTCACTAGGCTGTGGGTCAAAAACAACAGCACTTCTTTTGATTACCAACATTAAAGAACCCAAAAAAACAGTTTAACTAAAAGCTTGTATCTCTCCATTCTTTCTAGACAGTCAGAGTCCCTCATCTTCTAGCTGGATGGAAGGGGCACTGGCTGCAGGGAAGCCTGTGGGAGACTCATAGGACACTAAGAATATACAAACTCAGGTACGTAGGAATGAAGGCCACAGCTAAAGGAACTCGGCAACAGCCACAGGCAGCCATACATACCGCGACACCAACACCATCATGTTGTTTTCCTGATCCACACTATACCGCCGAACATAAACATAATCCCGTGAGTACATTGGATACTAAAGAAATGGAGGAGCAGGATTAGTGTTCTGCATCACACAAACCTGGACAGAAATAAAATCAGAAGTAAAAATACTCACAGGAAAATGGGTTACCCAGTGAAGAACCTCGGAACCACTAACCACATCCCTCTCAATCACCTCCAGCTTGATTACCAGGGCATCCCATTTTTTTCTATACTCTGTGTCCAGCTGCAGAAAGAGAAAAGACCATGAATACCCAAGAAGACCCAAAACAAAAATGCAGAAAGCTTTCCAGATGCTTTGGTCTCTGATCCAAGAATCTTATTACAAGGAGAGAGTAATCTGACCTAACAGACAGTGCCAGAGTGTGAGAGACATGGCTGTGTTTACTACAGATGTTTCTTTCAAAATCACCTTATACAGGCTAATGTCATTACACTGAATGTGAATCTTCATTAGACAAACCAAGGAAAAGTGTAACAAAATATTTTAATAGACACATCTGGGGAAAATAATATATAGTGATATGAATGTGTAAGGGTAAGACAATTCTAAAAAGTTTTAAACAACAAAAAGTCCAAAAGTATTAAGTAGACACTTCACACACAAAAATGCAAGCAGCATATTTTTTTAAATTTCTGGCATCACTAGTAACTGAAGATTTTCAACTTAAGACAGATATACCATATACATAAAACCAACAAAAATTCACTACAAATTAACAAGATCCAGTACCTCAGGGAAAGTGCACTTGCACGTTAGAGTGAGTGTTATAACCAACGAAGTAGTTATCGGAAGTCAGCAAAACAAATGAAAAATCCAGAAAGAAAAAAATTTTGTTCTAGAACTCTGGGCGATCCCACCTCCCTGTTTCATTTTTTAAACCATCTTCCCCTACAAGGAGGAAAGCAGTCTTTGAACAGATACTCTTCATCTTTATGAAATAAACATTGGGCCAACACAGTGACTCACACCTGTAATCCCGGCACTTTGGGAGGCAAAGGCAGGAGGATCACTAGAGCCCAGGGAGTTCAAGACCAGCCTAGGAGACATAGGGAGACCCTGTCTCTAAGAAAAAAAAATTTTAATTAGCCAAGTGTGGTGGCGCATGCCTGTAGGCCTGGAAGCTGAGGTGGGAGGATCACTTGAGTCCAGGAAACAAAGGCTGCAGCAAGACATGATCACACCACTGTACTCCAGCCTGGGTAACACAGCAGGACCCTGTCTCAGGGAGAGGAAAGAAAAAAAAAAACCCTCCACTATGGAAATGTTCTTGATTTGAGGTTAAACAGATGTGACAACTAAATATAATCCTATCTGTACTGAAGTGGAAAATGCTATAAAGGACATTGAGTCAACTGATAAAACTGATAAATACAAACAGAGGACTACATGAAAGTGTTCCATCAGTGTTAAATTTACTAATTTCAATAATGGTATCATGATTAGTTAAGAAATACGGCATATGGCTAGTTTTAGGAAATACACACTGGAAGAATTTAGGAGTAAAGGACTATGATGTATGTAACTTACTCTTAAGTTGTTTGGGGAAAAAAACAATAAAGCCTCATAAAATACATTAAAGTATTCATATCCATTCCTCTATCTGATATTCCCAACAGTCCTGTGGGAGGGTAAAACTGATCTCATCCCCATGGGACAGATAAAGAAATTCTAAGTCAAATGTTTACCTAAATGCTATGCAATGTGGATGACAGGTAGATAGATGGATGTACTTAAGCCAATGTCACCTGAGTCAGATAAATGATTCATGTAGACAGTAGCAATTGATATGCTAGGAGGCTCCAAATCTGGAGAGAAAAATTAACTCACCTGAACATTGAAGAACTGCCGAGGTGTCACATCTGTGTAGGTTCCAAAAACTAGAATGAAAAGAAAGAATAAGGGATGCTGGCCATACTCCAGTCACTCGCCTTGTTTCTTTCACCTAGCGGCGTTTCAGATCTAAAGTACTAAGAGATCTTAAAGGCAGGTTCAGAAACTAGAAGTCTTAGTAGAGCAACAAAGAAAGACAAAGAGGATGTAAGCAAAGACAACACTGAGACATTTGTCATCTGGGAGAAGAAAAACAATAAACAAAAAACTACGGCAAATTTTCTGAGAAACAACCAGAACAGTTTAGAGAAGTATGAAGAACAGAAATCCCATGCACCTGTGCAACTATGGAACCCAAAAGATAGCCACACTGGGCTCACCTCGGTACTGGTAAAGGTGGGTGCCTGTAATTGGGCGCCGCCACAGCTTAAAGTGTTTCTTATCCATCACCATTTCCCAACGTTGCTCTTTGCCCTCTGAATCTTCATTCCCTTCTGTTTGGGCTTTTGGTTCTGGAGGGTGGTGCTGGACTCCAGAGCTCTGAAACATATTTGACATTTCTTCCAACCGCTTCATCTCATTAATAGATCTGTAAAGGGGAAAAAGAGCCATGGTGAGGTGGTTAGTCAGCCCTGTGAAATGAAGTGTCCACACAAAGGTCTGTGCAAGAAGGTTATACAGTAAACCACAGTATGTAGTATATAAACAGGACACAGTATAGTCAATAAAAACTGAGTTCCTGAGTTTGAATCTTAGTCCAACACTCACTAACTAGATTATTATTTAACCAGTTCCTATTTCTAAATCTATAAAATGGAAATAATAATAGTACCTATCTCGAGGTTGGCTATAAAGATTACAAAGTGTCAAGTGCTGCAGGGCGTGGTGGCTCACGACTGTAATCTCAACACTGGGAGGCAGAAGAGGGTGGATCACGAGGTCAGGAGCTCAAAACCAGCCTGATCAACATGGTGAAACCCTGTCTCTACTACAAACACAAAAATTAACCGGGCATGGTGGCGCGCAACTGTAATCCCAGCTACTCAGGAGGCTGAGGCAGGAGAATGACTTGAACCTGGGAGGCAGAGGTTGCAGTAAGCCGAGATCACGCCACTGCACTCTAGCCTGGGCGACAGAGTGAGACTCTTGTCTCAAAAAAAAAAAAAAAACAAAAAACAAAAAACAACGAAAAAAAAGTAAGTGTCAAGTGCTTAATATCTATGGCCAGGCACAGAGGCTCACTCCTGTAGTCCCAGCACTTTGGGAGGCCAAGGCAGGAGGACTCCTTGAGGCCAGGTTCAAGACTAACCTGGGAAACACAGTGAGACCCTACCTCTAAGAAAAAATTTAAAAAATTAGCCAGGCATAGTGGCACATGCCTGTACTCCAAGCTATAGGCTGAGATGGGAACATCACTTGAGCCCAGGAGTTGGAGGCTGTAGTGAGCTACAATTCTGCCACTGTACTCCAGTCTGGGCAATACAGTAAGACTCTGTCTCTTTTTTTTGTTTGTTTTTTTGAAACAGAGTCTCACTCTGTCACCCAGGCTAGAATAGAGTGCCATGATCTGGGCTCACTGCAACTTCCGCCTCCTGGGTTCAAGTATTTCTCCTGCCTCAGCCTCCCCAGTAGCTGGGACTACAGGCACGCGCTATCATGCCCGGCTGATTTTTTGTATTTTTAGCAGAGACAGGGTTTCACCGTGTTACCCAGGACGGTCTCAATCTCCTGACCTCATGATCTGCCCGCCTCGGCCTCCCAAAGTTCTGGGATTACAGGCGTAAACCACCGTGCCCAGCTACACTGTCTCTTAAAAAATAAAATAGGCTAGGCGCAGTGGCTCACGCCTGTAATCCCAATACTTTGGGAGGCTGAGGCAGGCGATCACCTGAGGTCAGGAGTTTGAGACCAGCCTAACCAACGTGGAGAAACCCTGTCTCTACTAAAAATACAAAATTAGCTGGGCACGGTGGCACATACCTGTAATCCCAGCTACTCGGGAGACTGAGGCAAGAGAATCGCTTGAACACGGGAGGCGGAGGTTGCAGGGAGCCAAGATCGTGCCATTGCACTCTAGCCTGGGCAACAAGAGCGAAACTCCGTCTCAAAATAAAATAAAATAAAATAAAATAAAATAAAATAAAATAAAATAAAATAAAATAAAGCCAAGCACAACGGCTCACGCCTGTAATCCCAGACTTTGGGAGGCCGAGGTGGGCGGATCACCTGAGGTCAGGAGTTCGAGACCGGCCTGGGAAACATGGTGAAACTCCATCTCTACTAAAAATACAAAAATTAGCTGGGCATGGTGGTGGACGCCTGTAATCCCAGCTACTCGGGAGGCTGAGGCAGAAGAATCACTTGAACCCAGGAGGCTGAGGGTG
Source organism: Homo sapiens (assembly GCF_000001405.40). Lineage (NCBI taxonomy): Eukaryota > Metazoa > Chordata > Mammalia > Primates > Hominidae > Homo > Homo sapiens. Next base: position 96,197,345 of record NC_000002.12, read on the forward strand.
CAGTGAGCCAAGATCGCACCATTGCACTCCAGCCTGGGCAACAGAGTGAGACTCCATCTCTAAAATAAATAAAAAATAAAATAAAATAAAGTGTTTGTTATCTGGCACGTAAGTAGCCCTCAAATGTTAACTATGAAGGTTTATGGTTTTAAAATGTCAATTGATATCTTTTGTCCGTTTTTTATTGGGTTGTCTTATTATAAGTATGTATGTATTTTTCCCCTTTGTTTTTAAATTGATAAATTCACATACCATAAGATTCATTCTTTTACAGTGTACAATTCTGTACTTGTTAGTATATTCACAAGGTTGTGCAACCATCACCCCTAATTCCAGAACATTTTTATCACCCCCAAAAGAAACCTCTATCTATCATTAGTCACTTCCCATTCCTGCCTCCTCCCAGTCCTAGGCAGCCACTAATCTACTTTCTGTCTCTATGGAGTTGCCAATTCTGGACATTTCAAGTAAATGGAATCATATGATATGTAGCTTTTGTGTTGAGCTTCTTTCACTTAGCATACTTTCAAGTTCAACCATGCTGTACTTTATTCCTTTTTATAGCTGAATAATATTCCATTGTATGGATAGATCGCATTTTGTTTATCCATTCATCAAATAAAATTTGTTTCCACTATTTTATTATAGTGCTATTATAATAGCACTATATTATATTACTGCTATTATAATACTGCTGGCCGGACGTAGTGACTCATGCCTATAATCCTAGCACTTCGGGAGGCCAAGGTGGGTGGATCACTCTGAGGTTGAGTTCGAGACCCAGCCTGGCCAACATGGCAAAACCCCATTTCTACTAAAAATACAAAAATTAGCCAGGTGTGATGGCAGGAGCCTGGAATCCCAACTACTTGGGAGGCTGAGACAGGAGAATTGCTTGAACCCAGGAGGTGGAGGTTGCAGTGAGCCAAGATTGCACCACTTCACTCCAGCCTGGGCGAAAAGACAAAACTGTCTCAAAAAAAAAAAAAAGAATACTGCTATGGACATTTGTGTACAAATCTTCATATAGACATGTTTTCAATTCTCTTGGGTAGATTCCTAGGAGCAGATTTGATGGATCATGGTAACTATGCTTAACTTTTTAAGCAACTGCCAAAATGTTTTCCAAACAATTACACTATTTTATATTCACATCAGCAATGTTTGAGGATTCTAACTGCTCCACATCCTTGGTTCCAATTGCCCCACTTGTTATTGTCCATCTTTGTTATTCCAGCCAACTTAGTGGGTGTGAAATGGTATCTCATTGCGTCTTGACTGGTATTTCCCTAACCTTTTCATGTGCTTATACTAGTCTTGATAGTATCCTTTCATGCATAAAAGTTTTTAATTTTGATGTTTATTTTTTCTTTGATTGCTTGTTTTTGGTGTTATAGCCAAGAAACCACTGCCTAATCCAAGGTCATAAGAACTTATGCCTATATTTTCTTCTAAGAGTTTTAGAATTTTAGCTTACATTAGGTCTTTACCCCATTTCAAGTTAATGTTTGTGTATGATAATGAGGTAGGAGTCTAAACTCATTCTTTTGCATCTGCTTCTCCAGGTGACCCAGTGTCATTTGTCGAAAAGCCTATTCCTTCCCCAGTGAACTATCCTGGCATCCTTGTTGAAAACTGACCAAAAATGTAAAGGTTTATTTCTAGACTCTCAATTTTATTCTAACAATCTAGATGTCTATCCTTATGCCAGTACCACAATGTCATTACTGTAGCTTTGTAATAAGTTTTGAAATTGGGAACAGTGAGTCCTCCAAACTTTGTTCTCTTTTTTCAAGACTGTTTTTGCTATTCTGAGTTCCTTTCATTTCCATATGACTATCAGAAGTGGCTTGCCAATTTCTGCAGAACTGCCTAGGATTTTGATAAAGACTACACTGAATTTGTAGATCACTTTAAGTGGTATTGCCATCTTAGCAATATTAAGTGTTCTAATCTAATCCATGAACACGGGATGTCTTTCACTTATGTCTTTTTAAATTTCTTCCAATGATGTTTTGTTGTTTTTAGTGTTACAGTTTTAGTTGTACACTTGTTAATTTATTCGTATGTATTTATTCCTTTTATGCTACTGTAAATGAAATTGTTAATTTTATTTTCAGATTCATTGTTAGTGTACATAAACATGACTTCCGTGTATTGATCTTGTATCCTGCAAACTTGATGAACTCATTTATCAGCTCTAATTGCTTTCTGTAGATTCCTTACTATTTTCTAAATATAAGATCATGTCAGCTGCAAATAGAGATAGTTTTATTTCTTCTTTCCAATCTAAATGACTTTCATTTCCTTATGTTGCCTGATTTCATTGGTTATGACCTCCAGTACAATGTTGAACAGAAATGGTGAGAGCAGAATCCTCATCTTGTTCCTGATCTTAGGAGAAAAGCACTAAGTCTTTTGCCATTAACTACACTGTTAGCTATGTTTTTTGTAGATGCCTTTTATCAGCTGCAAGAAATTTCCTTCTATTCCCAGTCTGCTGAGTGTTTTCTTTTTTAATCACAAAAGGAGGCTGGAATTTGTCAAATACTTTTTGTGTTTATTCAGATGATCACGCAGTTTTTGTCCTTTTTTCTATTAATATGGTGTAATAAATTGATTTTTGTATGAAGAACCGACCTTGCCGTTCCTTAAATAAATCCTACTTTTCATGGCATATAATCCATTTCATATATTGCTGAGTTCAGTTTGTTAGTATTTTGTTCAGGACTGCGAAAAGTTGTGTGGTTTTTTTTTGTTTGTTCTGAGCCCAGGCTAGAGTGCAGTGGCATAATCACAGCTCACTACAGCCTTAACTCCCCAAGCTCAGGTGATTCTCCCACTTCAGCTTCCCAAGTAGCTGGGACTACAGACAAGCACCACCACATGCAGCTAATTTGTTTTCTGTATTTTTAGTAGAGATGGGGTTGCACCATGTTGCCCAGGCTGGTGTTGAACTCCTGGCCTCAAGTGATCCACTAGCCTGGGCCTCCCAAAGTGCTGGGATTCCAGGCGGGACTCACCGGCTGCAAAAAGTTTTAAAACATGAAAAACACCACCATATATTGTACTATGTATCACTATGTATCATTCAGGGGTATATACATATGTATAAAAACATAGGGAATTATATACAACAAATTGGGATAATGGTGACATCTTGGGGAAAAATAAGAATACAACTGGAAAAAGGTACAGAGGAACCCTAAGTATACTTGTAATATCTTATTTCTTAACATAGCTGTACTTGCAACGCTCGTGTTATTATTTAAACCTTTTTTATATATCTGAAACATTTTATAATAATAATTTTTTAAAACTTGGCTTGTATTTTTCCCATAACCTCTTCTTTTTTGAGACAAAGTCTCACTATGTCGCCGAAACTGGCCTCAAATTCCTGGGCTTAAGAGATCCTTTCACTTCAGCCTCCCAAGTAGCTGGCACAATAGGCGTGTGCTACCATACCCAGCTTCTCCGTGCCCTCCACCTCACCCTACCCCCTGCAACATTTAAAGAAAGGTTACAGATAAGAAACAAAAATTGCTGGCTGGCTGTCTTATACACTCTATTGCAATTCAAGACTGAAGAAGACCCAAATTACTGCTACACTGTCTGAAATGCCTTTTCACCCTTCAAGCTTCAAAAAACCACAAAGGTAACTGCTAGGCAGAGTTAACCATACACACTGATTTTTATTCCTTTACACAGGCATATTACACTATAATTAATCTATCTTTATATCTGCTTTCCTTACTAAACTATAAATTCCTTAATAGCCCAGAATCAGTCTTTTTCATATTTGTAGTTCCAGCTCCTAGCATGTCCTGGTAAACATTACATGTCCTGGTAAACATTACATACATTACATGAATAAATTTAGTAAATCAAGAAATAATAAAATGAAAATAGGCCTCAGTAATCCAAATTTTTATTAAAAGATTGCATTAAGGCCTGGGGCAGTGGTTCACGCCTATAATCCTCAGCATTTTGGGAGGCTAAGGTGAGCAGATCACTTGAGCCCAGGACTTCAAGACCAGCCTGGGCAACATGCAAAACTCCACCTCTAAAAAAAAAAAAAAAAAATTACACAACAAATAGCTGGGCGTAGTGGCATGCAGCTGTAGTCCCAGCTACTGAGGAGGCAGAGGTGGGAGAATCACCTGAGCCCTGGAGGTCGGGACTGTAGCGAGCCAAAATCATGCCACTGCACTCCAGCCTGGCAACAGAGTAAGACTCTTAAAAAAAAAAAAAAATTGGCCAGGTGCAACGGCTCACACCTGTAATCCCAGCACTACAAAAAAAAATTAGCCAGGCATGGTGGCCTGCGCCTGTAATCCCAGCTACTCAGCAGGCTGAGGCACAAGAATCTGTTGAACCCAGGAGATGGAGGTTGCAGTGAGTTGAGATCGTGCCACTGCACTCCAGCCTGGGTGAGAGTGAAACTGTCTCAAAAATATATATATATTGCATTAATATATTGCTGCAAAAGCCAAAAATTCAAAGGTATAGTGTCAATCCAAGATTAAAAGTTTAGAGCAATTCAAAATAATGGTAAGTCTAAAGATTTGTGTTCTAGTCCTGGCTCTACAGCTGACCAGCTGTGTGATCTTATTTTATTTTACCTTTAAAGTGAGGACGTTATTTCTTGAAGTCCTATTAGTTCTAAAATTGAATTTGCTGAATTTTAAGCTTTGGACTTGGATGAAAATATTTATATAGGGGAATATTTGTCATTTTGACTGCCTGAAATCCCTTTCTATTTGGAAAGAACCCAAATAGGTGAATGCAGCCCCCCTCCCGCCCACAAGCAGTTAAAGCACAGCTCCTAATTTAAGTGAGGTTAGAGACTTCTAGAAGGGGCTTTGCATCTTGAAGATAACACAAAGGCACAGGATCTTGAGGGAGCTGGGAGTCCAGGAGTACAACCAATCTGGGGGAAAGAATGCCAGCAACACTGCTCTAAGTAGATTATTCCTGCTGCAGGTCTTGGTCAACCTGTACCCTGGCCTTGTCAATACTGAGTGACCTAATACCGTTTTGATTAATTCCTTTTTGGCTTAAATTAACCAAGACCAGTTTCTTTGTTACAACCAAGAACCCTGACCAGCTGCAAAACCATAGAGAAACAGAGAAGGAACCTTAGGATAGGCATTTAGATGTTGCAGAAGAAGAGCAAAAGCAAAACCATAGCTAGATTTGCTCAGAGAACAATCAGGCACCATAGGGCATCGATTACAGCATTTTTGAGGTCTATAAAGCATCCTTCAACAATAACTAAGCACAACTCTTGAGTGTCATTCTTTAAAAAAAATTTTTTTCTTCATTGCCCAAGCTGGCCTCAAATTCCTGGGCTCAAGTGATCCTCCAGCCTCCCAAGTACAGGCACATGCCACAACACCTGGCCCGAATTATCATTCTTGCCACATAATAAAGGGGAGCATGTTTCCACTGGTGGAATGTCGTACTAAAACATCAGAGGCTCATAAAATAATTACATAGTTAATAAAGTTTTAAGAAAATTATTAACTATAGGCAACATTTTTTCATGACCTTCTAAGAATCAAGGTGGTTCAGAGCATCTGACCCACTGCTTAATCAAGCTCTCCTATATAATTAAAGGTTACTAGGTGGCTTTGACTAAAATTATGAAAAGGGACGGAAATGTCTTGTGGAGACACAGTATGAATGATAGAGCAAGACTGCTTCACGAAAATGTAAATGATCAAGTTATTTTTTCCCAAGGTTTAGGAATCCCTGAAGGGTCTGAACTTCTAAATGCTAACATGACAAGACCCAATTAACATACAGGAGCACAAAGTCATTCACTAACATATATGTGGAGAAAAGGAAAACCTCTCATGACACATCTCTTTAGGCTGCTGTGCCCAATCTTGTTTGGATGGGATGGGTGGCTAAACCTTCACATCTTAAGAGACTTAAGAGAGGACAGAAGGACAAAAGAGATTATTCCCAAAATAGTAAAATCAGCAGATTAGAAAAAGGATCAAGAAAAGAGAGACCATGCCTTTCTTTCTCCAAAACGAAAATCATTTCAATATCTGAAAAAGGCTGGACCGAAAGCTATAGAAACTGAAAGCAAACAAACCATGAAAACAAAGTAAGTGAAACAACATTTGGTTCATCTAGGGGTCCTGCCCTCAGCATGGAGCTTGGTGTAAGGCTCCAAAATTACTTAAATGAAACCATCCCTACAATTAGGAATTTCAGTCAGACAACAGCCTCACTTCACATAATTCTCCTCCTCTTCAAATTCCAAGTTATTGTCAAAGTCAGGTTCTACTGATACGGGACACACCTAGAAATAAAAGACATAGGAGTCAGGCGCAGTGGCTTATGCCTGTAATCCCAGCACTTTGGGAGGCCAAGGCAGGCGGATCACTTGAGATCAGGAGTTGGAGATCAGCCTGGCCAACACAGTGAAACCTTCTCTTCTAAAAATAAACACACAAAATTAGGTGGGCGTGGTGGGGCATGCCTGTAGTCCCAGCTACTTGAGAGGCTGAGGCAGGAGAACTGCTTGAAACCAGGAGGTGGATGCTTCAGTAAGCCCAGATCACACCGCTGCACTCCAGCCTAGGCAACAGAACAAGACTCCATACCCCCCAAAAAAAGACATAGAGCCAGGCGCCTGGCTCTCAGCACTTTGGAAGGCCAAGGCGTGAGGACTGTTTGAGGTCAGGAGCAGGAGTTCGAGACCAGCCTGGCCAACATGGTGAATCCCCGTCTCCACTAAAAATACAAAAATTAAACAGGCGTGGTGGCACCCCCGCTGTAGACCCAGCCACTGGCAAGGCTGAGGCACGAGAATAGCTGGAACCAGGGAGGCGGAGGCTGCGGTGAGGTGAGATCACACCACTGCACTCCAGCCTGGGCGACAGAGTGAGATTATGTCTTAAGAAAAAAAAGAGTCTGGGCGTGATGTCTCATGCCTGTAATCCCAACTCTTTGGGAGGCCGAGACAGGCGGATCACGAGGTCAAGAGCTGGAGACCAGCCTGTCCAACATGGTGAAACCCCATCTCTACTAAGGATACAAAAAATTAGCCGGGTGTGGTGGCAAGCACCTGTAATCCAGCTACTCAGTGGAGGCTGAGGCAGGAGAATCGCTTGAACCTGGGAGGCGGAGGTTGCAGTGAGCCGAGATCATGCCAATGCACTCCAGCCTGGGCGACAGGGTGAGACTCTGTCCCGGAAGGGGGCGGGAGGGAAGGGGAGGACAGGACAGGACAGGACATCAATTAGCTCATTGCAGTTCTAGGGCAACTAGTTAATGGTAAAATAATGAAGACAACCTCAAAAAATTGAGATCTAATTTTATGTAGCTCTGAAGATCTAACAAGGGGTTTAAGGGTTTACCAGTAAGATACCCTGAAGTGACAATGGCCAAAAAAAAAAAAAAAAGTTCCTTTAAGGCAAAAGGACTTTATGCGGATCATTTATCTAGTCAATAACACACTGAAGTTTAACATATCCCGAATGCCCTGAAAGACAGAAAAGAGAAAATGGCCAATTTTCTTTATGCAACTTTAATGGCACTTATTTACTCAAATTTCTGGAGCAATGAACTGTAACTTTTAAAAAACTATGAGGAGGTTAATGGAACATTTTCCCCTAGCCTTTCATTTCTTAACATCCTTCCTCTCTTTGTTCCTGTAACTTTTCTTTTTAACTGTTCCAAAGCAATCAAAAACATGACTACTGTATTTTTCCATTAGATTTGCCCTGGAATCACAGAATGCCAGCTAGCACCAAAAACAGCAATCCCAAGATATTTTCGTTGTTTAATTTAAGACAACTGGGTACTAGAGCAAGTATTAAAAGATCTGATTTCTACATCTGGCCACAGCAGCCAGTCAAAATCACTTCTCAAATTTTCTTGCTGTTGCTTGATTAATAAGACGCTATTTGGTAAGATGTTCTTAAGCACAAAAGACGAGAAGACAAGTTATGCTTTGTCATTCTGAATAGGACTCAAATAACATAAGGAAAACACATGCCACTTTAAGGCACACATTCAAAAAGACACCCTGCACATTCCACCCGCTTAACCAAAACAGCTATGTTAGAATTAGTTTGTGCCAGGACAAGTTGGTACAGAATCAGCACAGATGAGCCAAAGGCTGTGATTTAGGGGCCATGTGACAATCATGCTCTTTTTCCATTAACAATGAAAGAAATGCACTTGAGACACACTCCAACTGTGCTCCATTATGGAAGCTACCCAAAAATCATCTCACTAGAACAAACGAAATCCAAGATGTTCTAAGCTAGCTATGACAACCTCAGCAGTGCCTACTTTCAAGCAAATAGAATACTTAAACACAAAGCAAATAAGTTAATCTGTACCCAGAATATTTTAATAAAATATAAACATGACAAGCTATCAAAACAAAGACCTAAGGAACCACTGTGCAACCAAGATGTAGTTGTTGAATAGCATATTTGCCTTCCTATCACATTAACAAATATTTTAAAAAGAAAAAAAATCCTCAAGATGAACAACATGATCAAATTTTAATTACATGAAAAACCAAATTCAAGCATGAACCAAACAATGAAATGTTAAATGAGGGCCTTTACTATAACAACCCTAAGAAGGGTCAAAGTGCAGCTTGAAAGTGTTCTGGAGTTCATCTGAACTCCTGAAATTCCAAAGCTGGTTAACTCAGAGCAGTCCCTCTTGAGGAGTTGGAGTAGAACCAAGAGTATTTCAATTGCCTCCAGGTTTCAGGGACAGTCTGACCAGAGGCTCAGTCATGAACTGGTCTGATCTCTCTGCCATGATAAATACTGACTAACTCAAATGCTTACTATGTTCATTTCCTATCTTTTTTCCCCACTAACTCCCCACTAACTCTGTTTAGCACTGCTAAACAGAGGCTCCAGGATCTATTAATATCATCCATAAAAATGCATAAAATAAGCCAAAGAGTGTCATCTACTACGTAAGCCCCAACACTATTCAACTCCCACCCCCAAACTCTCCTTTCCTCTCTTTTGTACCCAGTAGCCCTTTTCCTGGTCTTTCTCCTCTTACCCCAACAATTCCAACTGGAGATTTTCCTCTCAAACTTAACTGTGGAACAAGGATATTTCATCATCAAAACTGAAAATTCAAAGTTAATGATAATTTTTCAACTTAAAAGTGGAACACGGCCGGGCGCGGTGGCTCACGCCTGTAATCCCAGCACTTTGGGAGGCCGAGGCGGGCGGATCACGAGGTCAGGAGATCGAGACCATCCTGGCTAACACGGTGAAACCCCGTCTCTACTAAAAATACAAAAAAATTAGCCGGGCGTGGTGGCGGGCGCCTGTAGTCCCAGCTACTCGGGAGGCTGAGGCAGGAGAATGGCGTGAACCCGGGAGGCGGAGCTTGCAGTGAGCCTAGATCGCGCCACTGCACTCCAGCCTGGGCGACAGAGCGAGACTCCGTCTCAAAAAAAAAAAAAAAAAAAAAAAAGTGGAACACGGACATTTCATCATCAAAAATGAAAATTAAAAGTTAATGATAATTTGTCAACTTAGAAGTTTTCTTCCTATTCTTTTATTTCCCACACCCAAGAGACTGTGATTATAACCAATGGCCAAGTAGCAAAAGAATACTAATAGGAACTAGGCAAAATACCTATCACGCTTTGATAGCTTAACTTTTTTGTGAATAAGGTTGTTTGTGGTTATTATTTTAAGTTGCATTTATAAAAGTTATCTTTCCTGCTAGGAAAAGTATTCCCAGTTCTTAAGATAGACTTGCATTTACCCACAATTCATAGTGTGGCACAAATAGCTGCCTGGCATCTGGGTGTTACACCTCCCACACAGGCCATGGTATAAACTTTATTGGGGTATTTCCATTTTTAACCTAACAAAAAATGTGGAATAACAGGTTGTTTCCCTGTGGAGGAAATATCAAGAATAAACAGGCGAGTGTGGAATCTGCGGAGGGAGGGGATTGTCTCTGGTTCCCGAAATCACGGCAAAGTACTTTCTGTGCAGGGAGGGCACAGTTTAAGAATATCTGTTGCAAAGAAAATACAGACACAAGGTAAACCAAAAACCAAAGCAAAGTTTCCCCATGACATTACCTGGAAACTACAGTCTCAGAACTACAGATTAACAAACGTAATCAATGGTACTGGGCTTTTCACAGTTTTGATGACGACAGCATGACTTCAGAGTCTAATGGGACACTATTCCCAAAGTTCTAGTTAACGTCGCAAAAATCTGACCTAATTCTTACAGGTTCAAATGTCTGGGCTGCTGGTTTGTGTAACCTGGACAAAATCGCTTCCAGGCTCTCAATTTTGCCACGAGTCACGATGACAGAGGGCTCTCCTGGCTTTTCTCACAGGCCTGAGTCCCATCTGGATTGAAGTCATTTTGCAAATAGCAGCCCACCACCCTTAGGCCAAATTTAAAATTTGTTTTGAATTTGCACCTTTCTGGTTGTGTTAAAGATTACAGATTACATGAACAAGGGCCTCCATGCCTTCGCTATCTAATTGATTTCTACAGTGTTGTTTCTTTACTGTCTTGCTCGCCCCACTCAAAGTCTCCCTCCTACACACCAGCCTACACACTTTCAGTTCTATTTTATAACCCGACAAATGCAAATTGACACACAGAGACAAATAACAACGCGGTTTGCTGAAGCAGGTTCAATCGACTGTATTGCCAATTAAAAGACCACCGGGTAAACAAGGGCCAACGACCACAGGGCAGGCCCCAGGGTTCACAAGCCCCCCCACCCCACGGCCCAGAAAGAGCTCGCCGCAGCGCCCACCTCTGCAACTCCTCCTCCTGGATCCTCTCCTCGTCCCAAACGAAGACGCCGGCTAACGCCGCCATCAAGGCAGAGGCATGGCCAGGACGGCCGTGCAGCCGGCGCCAGAGGCGGCCGAGGAGAACGCGGCGTGAGCTCTCGGAGTAGAGGCGGCCGTAGAGCTGCGCGATCTGCTGCGCGCGCCGCACGCGCAGGCCCGTGACGAAGCGGCACTGATTGGCCAGAAGCGCCAGCAGGCCCCCGCCCCGCGTCCCCGCCAGCCAGGCGGCCAGCAGCCTCCGCGGGAGCATGCCGCCTCCCGCAGGGCCCGCCGCGAGCTTCCGGGGCCCAAGGAACCAGTCCGGAGGGGCGCAGGCGGTGGTCGCAGCGTCCCCCTAAATGGCCGGCCACGAACCCGTCTCACGGTCCCGCGGCCAGGAGCCGCCGCTCATCTGTCTCTGCAGCCACCGCTGAGGAAGAGTCTCCTCTGAGGGGAGAGTCGGTCATGGCAGCAGACGCCGGGATGGCTCCGCGACTGCTACACCAGGCACTCCTGGGCCCGGGCAGCAGACCAGTCAGCCCTGTGGCTCCTCGGCGACCTCCAGCGGGCGCCCGGGGCCGGGATGCAGGGCGCGCGGACAGAAACGAGACAGACAGCTCAGGCCCAGCAGCACGCAAGCTCCCGCGCCTTCCGCGACTGCCACACGCGCGGCGCGCGCGCACCCTACTTTTTCTCCGCCACCTGGGCCGTGATTGGGCGCGACCTGGGCTCCTGGGTGCTCATTGGCGCCGTGAAGTGCTCGTCACCGCCCCCTCCTGCCCCTTCATGCATGCGCGGAGGCCGCCTGCTAGCAAGGTAGGTGGCTCGGCGGCGAGAGCCGTCAAGGGCGCATTGGAGAGTGACCCTCGGACCCGGCTGCCGCCGTCGCCGCCATCTTCCGGCCGTCCCAGCCCCGCCCCGCGGAGAAACCTGGCCAGGTTCCTGTTAGAATCCTGCCAGGTGTTAACTTGTTTTAAGAGGCCGGCACGCTGGCCCCCTTCTTTATTAGAGTGCAGGGTGGGGGCGGGGCTCCGCATGTCTCTGCGGGGGCTGGGGGCTCCCAGTGATAACCGCCATTGCAGAATTAAAACTGAGACAGTGAAAGAGATCTGACCTAACCAATTCCATCTTGCTTCTGTCCTTGTTCATTCCTGAGCTTAGGTGAACTAATTTTGGGAGGAACTTAGTTTATAGTTTAAAATAAAGAGGATAACAGCCCTTTCCCAAAACAAATCTTCTTATCTGGGAACTAGACTGCCTTTGTAGGACTAATAAGTTAGCCATAAGATTGGAAATTATGGTTTAGGAGTCATGCAGCTGGAGGCTACGATATTGTGATCCCCCTAAACTGCTCTTAAGATCAGTGCTTGAGATATTTTGCTGACCCCGCACTGGTTGGATCCTGGCACCACCCAGATGGATAAACTGGCTCATCTGACCTTGTGGCCCCCACCCAGGAACCAACTCAGTGCAAGAGGACAGCTTCAATTCCCTATTATTTCATCTCGACCCAACCAGTCAACACTCTGGACTCACTGGCCTTCCCCCACCCACCAAATTATCCTTAAACACTCTGATCCCGGAATGCTAAGGGAGACTGATTGAGTAATGTTGAAACAAACTCCAGTCTCATAGTGGGCTCTGCGTGAATTACTCTTTATTGCAGTTCCCCTGTCTTGATAAATCGGCTCTGTCTAGGCAGTGGGCAAGGTGAACCCATTGTACGGTTACAAATTTGGGGGTTCGTCTGGGATACCCCTTGTGGCTACCTGTCCATGGTTCGGTAGCCCCACCTCTGGTGACAGATCCAGAGGCCAGCCTAAGCGGCCACATAGTTCTCTTGGACTAGGGGCTAACTCTGGCACCGTCTCTGCCAGTGGGGCACTGCTAGCCCAATATGCATGGACTTAATCGCAATGGAGAAATAGTCCTGGGGAGACATCCCATAACTGTAGCCCTGTCACAGGGTATCTGTAGCTCCATAGCGGGGCGCTGTAGCCAGGTCATGGAGTGTCTGTAGCTATAGCCCCATCATGGGGTGGCAGGTTGCTGAGTATCCTAGGTGCTGCCAGTGCCTCCTTCCTTCTCCGGACTGATTCTGTAGCCACATGGTGGGTGTCTGTAGCTCCACCATGGGGTGTCTGTCTCAGTTTGGCTCCTGGGGCATCCCAGTTGGCTGTCCCTAACTAGGAAGAGTCTTGGTTCGGGAGACTTCTCAATCAGGAATATTTCAGGGAGATTTGTCAGATGGAGAATAGGAGGATAGTTTGGAAGGGGTACTCTTGGAGTTCTTGGTTAGGGACCTTAATTTGGAAGGCCTTCTGTCTGTCTTGTCTTCGTGTGTGTGTTTGTATATATGGAGGGGATCTCTGAAGGAATTGCTGATGAAAATCCAGCAGGCCTAACTTGGAGAACACTCCTTATTTATCTAGTCACATTCAGTGAGCCCTGAAAGAAGTTTAACAGGCCTGATTCAGGGTGACTGCTCAGAGACCACCCATTGAATTCACGATTCAATGACCCACCGTGCCTGGCCTTAAAAGGATTTTTTCTTAGAAAAAAGAGCTCTAGGCCGGGCATGGTGGCTCACACTTTTAATCCCAGCACTTTGGGAGGCCAAGGCGGGCGGATCACGAGGTCAGAAGATCCAGACCATCCTGGCTAACACGGTGAAACCTCGTCTCTACTAAAAATACAAAAAATTAGCCGGGCGTGGTAGTGGGCACCTGTAATCCTAGCTACTCGGGAGGCTGAGGCAGGAGAATGGCGTGAACCCGGGAGGTGGAGCTTGCAGCAGTGAGCCGAGATCGCGCCACTACACTCCACCCTGGGCGACAGAGCGAGACTCCGTCTCAAAAAAAAAAAAAACAAAGTTGACTTATAGAGCCAATAAGCCAAAAAATTGACTTATAGAGCCCCTTGGGAAATCTGGCCTCATACTATGTCAACACAGTCCCTGTACGAGGTTCCTGACCTGTGGTAAGTAAAGAATGTCACTTTCTAACAGGCTCAGGAGACCTAAGTTATCTTGACACCTCAAGAGGAGAGGAATTTACCCAACTCATAGGTATTCGAGGGTACAAACCCATGGCTGGGCTTGGCTTTAAAAAGGTCTTATCTAAGATTTCTTATGGAACAGAGTTCCATCAAAGCCAATTTTAAAAGCCTATGTGAAGGCCAGGCGCAGTGGCTCACACCTGTTATCCCAGCACTTTGGGAGGCCAAGGCAGGCAGATCACAATGTTAGGAGTTTGAGACTAGCCTGGCCAACATGGTGAAACCCTGTCTCTACTGAAAATACAAAAAGTTAGCTGGGCGTGGTGGCAGATACCTGTAATCCCAGATACTTGGAAGACTGAGGCAGGAGAATCGCCTGAGCCTGGGAGGCGGAGGTTGCAGTAAGCCACGATCGCACCACCGCACTCTAGCCTGGGCCACGAAGCAAGACTTCATCTCAAAAAAAAAAACAAAGCCTATGTGAAAAATAATTATTCTTGCTTCACTTTATGCAAATCATCAGGCCAAGTACAATAAGACTGCGGTTTATTTTGTAAACAAATCAGTTCTATCATGATTTGTTTTTAGTAAAAATGGGAACTGGAGAGAGAAAAATTATGCTTCAGAAGAAAAACTGTGGTACACCTTTTGTTAACTGTTCTTAAGTTTTTTTCTGCAGTTTGAACTAAATCCTAAATTCTTTGTGGGCTACAAGTTCCCAGGCTAATGCTTTTAAATCTTTACTTTTAAAACTGGGAACTGCACTCCTTACCCTAGTACTCATTATTTCCCTTATAGTACACGGTTCCCTTAAACACAGTACGAAAACTATAGGTGGCAATACTAATGCCTTTGCCATGCAAGCCTTCGAACCCCAGTCAGGCCTGCAGGAGTACACTCAGACAGTTGCAAAGTGGTTCCACTCCTCTCACCTTGGAGTCAACACCTACCCCTCACTACACCCCTGGTTAGTAGGAAGAAGTTAAGGTCTTTGCCCTTTTTCCATCTTCATTAACAACACCTTAAGATAAAGGTGTTATAAACCCAAAGGGAGGGATTAAAACCACCATTGCAAAATTATAACTGAGACAGAGAGATCTGACCTAACCAACTCCATCTTGCTTCTAACCTCCAAGTTGTCCTTATTCATTCCTGGGCATAGGCTGAACTAACTTTGGGAGGGACGTAATTTATAGTTTAAAACAAAGAGGATAACAGCCATTTCTCAAAACAAAGGTCCTTGCCTGGAGACTAGACTGCCTTTGTAGGACTAACAAATTAGCCACAAGGTTAGAAGTTAAGGTTTAAGAGGCTACAAGATTCTGACCCTCCCTGAACTGCTCCTAAGATCAGTGCTTGAGATATTTTGCTGACCTTGCACTTGATGGATCGGCTGGCACCACCCAGATGGATAAAATGGCTCATTTGATCTGTGACCCCCAACCGGGAACCAGCTCAGTGCAAGATGACAGCTTCAATTCCCTATGATTTCATCTCGGACCCAACCAATCAGCACTCTGGACTCACTGACCTTCCCCCACCCACCAAAGTCTCCTTTAAAACTCTGGGTTGGGGCCTGGCACAGTGGCTCATGCCTTTAATCCCAGCACTTTGGGAAGCTGAGGTGGGCGGATCACCTGAGGTCAGGAGTTTGAGACCAGCCTAACCAACATGGCGAAACCTCGTCTCTACAAAAAATACAAAAATTAGGCATGGTGGTGGGCGCCTATAATACCAACTATTTGGGAGGCTGAGGCAGGAGAATCGCCTGAACCCAGGAGGCCAAGGTTGCAGTGAGCCACAATAGCGCTATTGCACTCTAGCCTGGGTAACAGAGCGAGACTGCGTCTCACAAAAAAAAAAAAAAAAAAGGTCTCTTGGCCAGGTGCAGTGCGGTGGCTCACGCCTGTTATCCCAGCACTTTGCTGGGAGGCCATGGCAGGCAGATCACTTGAGGTCAGGAATTCAAGACCAGCCTGGCCAGCATAGCAAAATCCCGTCTCTACTAAAAATACAAAAGTTACCTGGGCATAGTAGTGCACCCCTGTAATCCCAGCTATTAGGGAGGCTGAGTGAAGCAGGAGAATTGCTTGCACCTAGTAGGCAGAGGTTGCAGTGAGCTGAGATCACGCCACTGCACTCCAGCCTGGTCAACTGAGCGAGACTCCATCTCAAAAAAAAAAAAAAAAATTGATCCCCAAATGCTCAGGGACACTGATTTGAGTAATGATGAAACTCTGGTCTCCCGCACAGTGGGCTCTGCGTGAGTTACTCTTTCTCTATTGCAATTCTCTTGTCTTGATAAATCAGCTCTGTCTATGCAGCAGGCAAGGTGAACCCATTGGGTGGTTACACCAGGATGGGGTAGGGGGCAGTAAAGACACCACTGGTGAAGGGGGACTCCTCAGGCCTTCGACGCCTGCCATCAAAACCTTCCTTCGACGCCTGCCATCAAAACCTTCCCCGGCCTCCCCTCCTGGCTCTCCCAGAAGCACCCCAAACATTCCTCTCTGCTAACTCCTCGGTCCAAGAATGGACCCGTGTCACAGCCTGAGCGCCCAGGACAGTCCAGAGGGAGTCACATGGGCAGGTGGCCCGTCGCAGTCTGCAAATATGTCAGCCTTTTGGTAAAAGAGCAACAGAAGAGAGTTTGTTGGGGCAGATGCCCTAGGTCAAGTAGTAGCTGTCCCTCTCTTTTTGACCCAAAGGTGACAGTGTTGGAAGGTAAACAGATTTACTCACCTGTGAGCAACCTGGCTAAATGATCTCAAAGTGTATTAAATTACTATTCTGTATCCAGCCTCATTAAAACAAAGCTGCTAAGTTGTTTCCTTACCCTTTTAAATCTTATATTTAAGCACCTTATTGACAGAAGAAAAAATATTATAAACTGTCTTGGTGTGAAATGGACTGCTGGTTCCAAGGCATTTAGGAATTTTACTGTAGCTAAAGAGTTATGCGATTTTAGACGTTCTTAATAAAAGTAACTGTTTCTCCAAAGAGAGATTATGCTTTCCTGGGAACCGAAATTTAGGTCTTTCCTATCCAGCCTGTCCGATTTTAGGTTGGATTAATGAGGTTTTATTTCATCTGGAAAGCAGTGAAGAAGAAATGTGTATGTAACAGAAAGTAGTATTTGACACCGTGTTTAGCCAGGGGTTTTTTGTTTTGTTTTGTTTTGTTTTGAGACGGAGTCTCACTCTGTTGCCTAGGCTGGATCTTGGCTCCCTGCAACCTCTACCTCCTGGGTTCAAGCAATTCCCATGCCTCAGCCTCCCAAGTAGCTGGGATTACAGGCCCATGCCACCATGCCCAGCAAATTTTTTGTATTTTAGTAGAGACGGAGTTTCACCATGTTGCCCAGGCTGGTCTCGAACTCCTGACCTCAGGCGATCTGCCTGCCTCGGCCTCCCAAAGTGCTGGGTTTGCAGACATAAGCCACTACACCCTCTCTCTAAAAACATTTTTAAAAGGAGCCAATGAGGCCTGCGCAAGCCCCAACCCATTGGTGGTTTGTTGTTGCTATCTGCCTCATAAAGCAGAGTGGAGGGTTTGTCTTTTGGGAAGATGAAGTGTCTTCTCTAAAAAAGCCTCCTACATAGTTGGCCTTGGCATCTGCCAGGAATAGAAGGGCAGGGCTTGAGGCTTCCTGAGTCTGGGTTTTCAGTTGAGGTGGAGAGTGAATACAGTGATTGTAACCAGAAAACCCGGAGTGGGGTGGAGTTACCTCCGGAACTCATCACTGTTAACTCAGCCTGGACTTTGTGACAGTTAGAGAAGTGGATTTCTTAATAATAATAATTTTTTTAAAGGAGCACTTTGGCCGGGTGCGGTGGCTCACGCCTGTAATCCCAGCACTTTGGGAGGCCAAGGCGGGCGAATCACCTGAGGTCAGGAGTTCGAGACCAGCCTGGCCAACATGGTGAAACCCCATCTCTACTAAAAATACAAAAGTTAGCCAGGTGTGGTGGTGCATGCCTGTAATCCCAGCTACTTGGGAGGCTGAGGCAGGAGAATTGCTTGAACCTGGGAGGCGGACGTTGCAGTGAGCCGAGATCATGCCATTGCACTCCAGCCTGGGCTACAGAGGGAGACTCTGTCTCAAAAAAAAAAAAAAAAAAAAAGGAGTACTTTGTGGGTTTGATTTTATATGTATACATAAGTTTTCTACCAATATCCTATAAACCAAACGAATCCTCAGAAACTCCTGCTGAGCCTCTCTAATGCAGCCATTTTCTCCATCCTACTGCCTGTTTCCCATCAGTACATAAACATAATCGAGTTCATCTTCAAAAAAGGCTTTGGGGATAAAAGTCTTTAAAAAGAGGCTTTAACTCTTCCCCTTTCTAGATACCACTTCTCTTTCCACTGCTAAGTTGTTTTTTTTTTTTTTTTTTTTTTTTTTTTTTTTTGAGACGAAGTCTTGCTCTGTTGCCCAGGCTGGAGTGCGGTGGCTTGATCTTGCCTCACTGCAACCTCTGGCACCCGAGTTTAAGCGATTCTCCTGCCTCAGCCTCTGAAGTAGCTGGGATTACAGGCGCGTGCCACCACGCCCAGCTAATTTTTGTATATTTAGTAGAGACAGGGTTTCAGCATCTTGGCCATGCTGGTCTTGAACTCCTGACCTCGTGATCTACCCGCCTCGGCCTCCCAAAGTACTAGGATTACAGGTGTGAGCCACCGCGCCCGGCCTATATATTTTTAAAAACAATGGCATATACAGGTGGCCCTTTGTATTTACGGGTTCTGCATCCAGGGATTCAACTAATTGTGGATGGAAAATATTTGGGAAAAAAAATTGCATCTATACTAAACATGTACCCACTTTTTTGTCATTATTCCCTAAACCAGCGGTCCCCAAACTTTTTGGCACCAGGGACTGGTTTCATGGGAGACAGTTTTTCCACGGACGGGGTAGGATGGTTTTGGGATGAAACTGTTCACCTCAGATCATCAGGCATTAGTAAGATTCTCATAGCAACCTAGATCCCTAGCATGCACAGTTCACAATAGGGTTCGCTCTCCTGTGAGAATCCAGTGTCACCGCTGAACTGACAGGAGGCAGAGTTCAGGCGGTAATGCGCTGTGAGCACCCCTCCCCTAAACAATACAGTATAACAACTGTAGAGCATTTACGCTGTATTAGTTATAAGGAATCTAGAGATGATTTAAAGTATATGGGAGTATGTACATAGATTATGTGCAAATACTATGCCATTTTATATCAGGGACTTGAGCATCCACAGGAGGTCCTGGAACAAATCCCCCGCAGATACCAAGGGACAACTATATGTTTCCTGCCTCTATTTCTGTACCTCCCTATCATTTCTTCCTGTTTAGAAATTAAAAAATCAATTTTTTGACAGAATTCTGTCACTTTTTTTAAGGTTCTAATAGTACTGTCTCAGATGACCTCCCTTCAAATAAACCAACTTTTTTTTTTTTTTTTTTTTTTTTGAGACAGGGTCTCACTCTGTCACCCAGGCTGGAGTGCAGTGGCTTGATCTCTGCTCACTACAACTTCCGCCTCCCAGCTCAAGCAATTCTCCTGCTTCAGCCTCTCAAGTAGCTGGGACTACAGGTGCATGCTACCATGCCTGGCTAATTTTTGTATTTTTTTGTAGAGACAGGGTTTTGCCATGTGGACCAGGCTGGTCTCGAACTCCTGGGCTCAAGAAATCCACCTGCCTCAGCCTCCCAAAATGCTGGGATTACAGGCATGAGCCATGGTGCTCCACCTGTTATCAACAAACTTTGTTTACTTGTGTATCCCCAGAACAATGTTGAAAAACTATATCCCCACTTTGCATTTTTTAAGGTGATCCAAGATTATGAGTTTAAATGATTGCACATTACACCATTTCTGGATTGTTGTAAATATTATTTTAAAATAAAGATGTTACATCATTTTCAAATGTATCCAATGGAATCTATATCATAGCAATTTAGTACCTATCATTATTCTTTTTAACTTTTTTTTTTTCAGTTGCAGGATTTAATAGAGTGAAACAGAGCTCCCATAAAATGGGAGGGGACCCAAAGGGGGTTGCCGCTCCCTGCTCGATTGCCTGGGTTTATATCCCGATCATTGTCCCTCCCCCTGTGCTCTCAGGCAATGTATGATTTGACTATTTCTTTACCTTCTGCTTTAGCCTCATTTGTATTTTAGTGAGCCCTCTTTACTGCCTGATTGGTCGGGTGTGAGCTGAGTTACAAGCCCCATGTCTAAAGGTGGGTGCAGTCACCTTTCCCAGCTAGGCTTGGGAATTCTTAGTTGGCCTAGGAAATCCAGTTAGTCCTGTCTCTCAGTCCCCCCTCTCAACAGGAAAACCCAAGTGATGTTGGGGAGGTTGGCCGACGGCCGCTCTGCTTCCTGCTGAATTTGGGCATACTAGGGATCATGCCGTTGATATTTCCTCGGGAGGGGTGCCTTCGATGTCATTAACATCGGAGCATGGGCTAGCAGGGGTCCACAGTAGATCTTAGTCATGGACTGCATCCGGGGCTCCATTTGAAGAACGATTTGTAGTTTTACAGCTTCGATTCTGGAAGAGACAAACTTAACAAGGAGGTTAAAGATACAGGGATTGAAATGTGTAGCCTGAAGTGCAGGGGCATAAGGGTGTGGGCAGTGAAAGTGGGGTTTCCGCAACTTTAGAAAAACTCCTATACGATGGGGCATCAATATTTCCGGGAAGCCGCATTCTTCATAGAAGCTCTTGGTAAGGGGAGCTACTGGTAGTACAGCGGCATACAGGGGGTGCAGTAAGAGTGAAAGGTTTGGTGAAGGCTTTTACATAATTTCTATTGATTAGCCGCAGGCAAAAGTATTTTTCCTTCTTCAGTGGCTAGCCATCCTGAGGGGAGGAAACTATGTCCTCCTGAGGTTCCCCGTTCTATTTCTTCTGCTGAGTACTGGGGCTTGGTTTCCCGGAGAGGATTACCCCATACTAGGGATCCTTCTATAAGCATTTCTAATGGAGGGTCCTGCCTTGCGGATCTTTGGCTTCAATATCCGCTTGGCAGTTCCCTTCTATTTCCCTTTACTTTCTGATGACCCTGGCAGTGTAAGACTGCCACCTCTTTAGGTTTCTGTAGAGCCAAGAATAATCTCCTAATGGCTTCCTGATGTTTGATAGGTGTTCCCTCGGAAGTTAGGAATTCCCTTTCTCTCCATATTGCTGCATGGGCATGGAGGACTAGGTAAGCATACTTAGAGTCTGTATATATATTTACCCTTTTTTCTTCTCCTAATTCTGGTGTCCGAGTGAGGGCTATTAGTTCTGCCAGCTGAGCACTAGTTCCTGGAGTGAGGAGATTACTTTCAGGTATTCCATTATCACTGACCACTGCATACCCCGCTTTTTGAAGTCCTTTTTCTACAAAGGAATTTCCATTAGTATACAAGTTGAGGTCGGGATCAATCAAGGGAACCTCTAGAAGGTCGCCTCGAGCAGCATAGGTTTGAGCAATCACCTATTGACAGTTGTATTCTGTCTTTATTGTTAGGAAGAAATGTGGCTGAGAGTTGCACAAATGTGCATTCGCAACACTGGCCCTTCAAGTAGTAGAGCCTGATATTTAAGGAAACGGTTGTCTGACAGCCACAAGTCTCTTTTAGCAGTGAGTATGCCGTTCACATCATGAGATGTCCGCGCAGTAAGATCTCTTCCCTGTATTATTTTAACTGCTTCAGATACTAAGACTGCTACTGCCACCACTACCCGTAAACAGTGAGGCCAACCCTTTGTCACTATATCAGTTTCCTTACTCAGTATGCCACGGGTTGCAAGCTGGTCTCTTGGACCTGTGTAAGGACTCCTAGAGCTATTCCTTTTTTTGTTTGCTTTTTGTTTTTTGTTTTTTTTGAGACAGAGTCTTGCTCTGTTGCCCAGGCTGTAGTGCAACGGCACCATCTGGGCTCACTGCAAGCTCCGCCTCCCAGGTTCACACCATTCTCCTGCCTCAGCCTCCTGAGTAGCTGGGACTACAGGTGCCTGCCACCACGCCTGGCTAATTTTTTGTATTTTTAGTAGAGATGGGGTTTCATCGTGTTAGCCAGGATGGTCTCAATCTCCTGACCTCGTGATCCGTCCGCCTCGGCCTCCCAAAGTGCTAGGATTACAGGCATGAGCCACCGCACCCAGCCGCTATTCCTGTTTTTTTCTGTGACATATAAAGAAAAGTCTTACCTTGTTGGCAAGCTTAACACTGGGGCTTGGGTTAGGGCCCTCTTTAGGGCCTGGAAAGCCACTTCTGCTTCAGATGTCCATCTTACTAAATGGGTATTGGCCTTCTGAGTTTCCTTAATTAGTGTATATAATGATCTGGCTATTTTGTCTTACCTGGGAATCCATATTTGGCAGAAGCCTGTTATGTCAAGGAACCCTCTTAGTTGCTTTAGGGTTTTGGGATGAGGATAAGCCAGTATAGGCTGGTTACATTTCTTATTGAGGGCCCTGGTGCCTTTGGATAATTTTAGCCCTAAGTATTTAACCTGCTGTGAGCAGAGCTGAGCCTTTGGTTTGGAAACCTTGTAGCCACAGGTGGCGAGGAAATTTAAGAGCACTTGGGTGGCTTGATGGCACAAGGTTTCTGAACGGGCAGCTAAAAGTAAATCATCCACGTACCAAAGGACAAGAGTGTCCAGGTATTAAAACTGTCTGAAGTCTTGGGCTAATGCCTGGCCAAATAGATGGGGGCTACCCCTGAATGCTTGGGTAGCCCCTGCTTTTGCTAGAATGTCTCTCCCTAACAAGGGAGTGGGGCGTTCAGGCATAATTAGAAAAGCATGTGAAAAGAGTAAAGTTCCCCAGTCACAACTTAGTGGCTGGGAGAAGTATCTAGTGACTGGTTGTCCTAGGACCCCTCAGATAGTGACAGATCTGGAGGACAGGACAGGAGAGTAAGACTGAGAAGGCCACAGCAGTGTCCAGGAGACAGTTAACCTCCTGGCCCTCAGTGGTCAAGCATACCCCGGGCTCTGTGAGGGTGATGGCATGGGCTGGCACTTGCCCCGGGCACCCTCAGTCCTGCTGCTTGGATCATCTGGTTAGTGGCCTCTGACTCAGAGGACCTTCATCCCCTGGGGCAGTGGGCCTTCCAGTGATTCCCTTGACATAAGGGGCATGGACGAGGGGGTGGCTTATTTCTATTCGGACAATCTTTTTTAAAGTGTCCTTGAAGACCACACTGGAAGCAAGCCCTATTAGGCATTTGATTTGCCCAGCCTTTCCGTGTTCCAGAGCTTCCAAAGTCTGCTTGCCTGAGAGCCCTGACTAAAGCAGTGGCCTTTTTCTTATCCCGTTTATCCCGTTCCACATGCTCCTCCTGATCTCTATTATAAAAAACCAAGGTTGCCAAATTCAATAGGGTTTCTAAGTTTTGCTCTGGGCCTAAGGCAGACTTTAGACGTTTTTTTCTAATGTCTGCAGCTGAATGAGTGATAAACTTATCATTTAAGATTAGTTGGCCTTCAACAGAGTCAGGTTGACAGAGAGGTATGCTTCCTCAATGCCTCCCTTAGTCTCTCCAGAAAGGCAGTAGGATTTTCTTCCTTTCCCTGTGTTATGGTGGACATCATTGAATAATTTATAGCCTTCTTCCTAGTTTTCCTTAGTCCTTCTAGCACGCAAGTTAGTAAAGGTCTGCGGCACCAATCTCCATATTCTGATTCTGCGTTCCAGTGGGGGTCTACACTGGGAACTGCCTGCTGGCCTGTGGGGAATTGTTCTCTTTCCTCTGTTGTCATCCTATCATTGACCTGACTGAGATACCAGAGATCGCCGAACTCTCGGGCTGAAGTTATGGCGGCACTTCTCTCATTTGGGGTTAGTGTCTGATCTAGCAGTAACATTATATCCCTATCAAGATGCATTCCCTTAAACAACAGTTCTTATGCAAATTCGTTTCAGAGAGGGTGTAGGTAACCTTTTGAGTAAGGATTGAGATAGAGTTTTTTGATTCTGTAAGTACTTTAAGGCTTGGCTGAGTGCAAACAGCTTGCACATTTGAGCAGACCAATTATTAGGCAATTTTCCTAACTCTGCTTCCACAAGAGTCTCCCTGTCAATTACTGAATACCCAGAGTCTCCCTATCAATTACTGAATACCCATTGTGGTTTGTTTCTCAATCATCTGGGAGGAGCCATCTATAGTCCTGTCCTGAAGGGAGTTCCTCCTAGATCTGGTCGGACCTTTGTATGGTAATTGAGATTTAAATCCCCTATTAGGAAATCTGCTGGGTTAAGGGAATTTTTAGTGGTTAATGTTAAATCACCTTTTTCTAACAGAATAGCCCCATACTTTAAGATTTTTGAGTTAGTGAGCTACCTTTTTGCTTTTTTGACTTAGAATAATTCTGAACTGGTGAGGTGTGCTCACAGTGAGGTTTCCTCTAAAAGTTACTTTTCTACTTTCTTCTGTTAGCAAAGCAGTTTCTGCTACAGAATGAATGCATTTGGGCCATCCGTGGGTTCCTGGGTTAAGGATTTTTGATAGGAAGGCTACTGGTTGTCAGTGGTCTCAGTGTTTTCAGACTATGCCCTTGTTTACACTGACAACAAGTTAGTATTGGAGTGTTATAGGGTCACAAAGAAGACCTTCAATTATCAATTATAGGCTTTAAATTTACCCTGGCTTTTAAAGGAATAGGGCACACTGTTTTTTTCTTTACTACTTCTGTCTCTTTTTTTCCCTGTCTCCCTCTCTTCTCTCTTTTCTCTCTCTGTCTCTCTCTATCTCTTCTCTCCTTGACTTACTCAATTTGCTTTCATTCTGATCTATTATGTTGTCGTAGACCCAGTTCCAATTGTTAAAGTACTGGGTCATCAGTTCTAAGGCCCTGGCCAAGGAGCCAAGGCTTAGAGATTGCATTGCAGAGGGGTAAGCTGGGTAGAAATCGGGGGAGGAGAGCATCTTACACAATGGAAGAGCAATCCTCCTAGGCATTTACAAACTTGGGGCCTTGGCAAGGGTGGTAGGGAATGGGTCCCACATAACTGCCCATGTCAAGAGCTGTATGCCTAAATTGGGAGGGACACCAGGGACAAAACTCCCTGGGTTCATAGCCTAGATGCCTAAGGACACAGCATAGAGCTTCCTTAGATCCCTTTGGAGATACAACTTGCTCTAATACTTGGGAAAGGAAATGAAAGTCTGAACCATTAGTACCTAGGAGGCAGGGATCAGAGGAAGTAGATTCAGAGGTAAGGAGAATTTGGGGGCTACACTTTCAAGAAAGTCATGGTCGGGACCCAGGACGTATGGGTCAGAAGGAAAGGTAGGGGTACACGCATGGGCAACTGTTGAGTAGAGACTTCTGGCTGTGCCATGAACTCAACCGGCTAATGCTGGGAGTTTGAGATGACAGCTTTCTGCCTCTAGTAGGCCCTCAGTTTCCCCAGGAAAATTGAAAGCAGAAGCTGGTTCCAGGCAGACCAACGCTTCCAACTCAGAAGAATTGGGGGTTGTTAGAAAGCCCTTTCCCAGACAGCCTCACACCTGAGTGTTAAGTCTGGTGGCCACACTAATCGTTTTTAACTAGCCGACAGGTGCCTGGTATTTTCCTCCAATTCTAAGGAAGCATAGGACAGAATAGCAAGTGAAAGTGGTCCAATATTACTCACTGCTTTGGAGGTCCCTTCGTGGTCACCAAAATGTTACCGGGGGGGTCCTTGTTCTTAGAGCTCCCAAGGTGGTGGTGGGCCGCTTCCAAGGTGGTGGCAAGCCTCTTGTTCTCTGACCTGGGGTTCTTGGCCTCACGGATCCCAAGGAATGGAACCTTGGGCCATGCGATGAGTGTTATAGCTCTATTGGAAGCCGTGGGTCATGGAAGAGAACCGTGGAACCCAGCGACTAGTGTTCAGCTTGATTAGGACGAACCCGGGCACTTAGCCATGTAGGAACAATAGTGAGCCTTTAGCCTGATCAGGAGAGGCAATGGGCACCTCACTGGATCAGGAGCACAGTGGACACCCTGCTGGATCTGGAGGGGTGGAAGTCAGCAGCAGGTCTGCAACGGTGGCAAACAGCAGTGGGTGGACAGTGAGCAAAAGCTCAGCTCGAGCCATAACAAACACAGACCAGAAGAGTATGTGGTTGCAAGATTTAATAGAGTGAAAACAAAGCTCCCGTAAAATGGGAGGGGACCCAAAGGGGGTTGCCCTTTTTTAACTTTTTTTAAGAGACAGGGTCTCACTATGTTGCCTAGGCTGGTCTTGAGCTCCTGGGCTCAAGCAATCCTCCTGCCTTGGCCTCCCAAAGTGCTGGGATTACAAACGTAAGCCACCACACCCAACCCTAGTCATTATTCTTTTTTTAAGAGTTGCTAATTTTACTTTTCACCTTCATCTGCTTACCCCACAGAATTTTATCCTAATGAAGTATATGTACAGCATAAATTCTTCTGTTGTTTTTGTTGAGATGGAGTTTCGCTCTTGTTGCCCAGGCTGGAGTGCCATGGTGTGATCTCGGCTCACCACAACCTCCGCCTCCTGGGTTCAAGTAATTCTTATGCCTCAGCCTCCCGAAGCTGGGATTACAGGCATGTGCCACCATGCCTGACTAATTTTTTGTATTTTTAGTAGAGACAGGGTTTCTGCATGTTGGTCAGGCTGGTTTTGAACTCCCGACCTCAAGTGATCCACCCGCCTCGGCCTCCCAAAGTGCTGGGATTACAGGCGTGAGCCACCACACCCAGCCAGTATGATCTTGGCTCACTGCAGCCTCCGCCTCCCAGGTTCAAGTGATTCTCCTGCCTCAACCTCCTGAATAGCTGGGACTACAGGTGTGCACCATCATGCCCGGCTGATTTTTGTAATTAGAGATGGGGTTTCACCATGTTGGCCAGGGTGGTTTCGAACTTCTGACCTCAGAAGATATGCCCGCCTCGGCCTTAAAGTGCTAGAATTACAGGTGTGAGCCACTGTGCCCATCCATAAATTCTTTATTGATCCCCCATCATATGCTCCTGTCTCTCACACACAAAATAAAAATTAAAAATTTTTTAAAATTTCTTATAAGTCTTTAAGGGTTCATTATTTTTCTGGACTGAATTTTTATTTCTATTATTAGCATACAAGATTAAAACAAGCCAGGCGCGGTGGCTCATGCCTGTAATCACAGCACTTTGGGAGGCTGAGGTGGGCGGATCACGAGGTCAGGAGTTCAAGACCAGCCTGACCAACATGGCGAAACTCCATCTCTACTAAAAAATACAAAAATTACCCGGGCATGGTGGTGCGTGCCTGTAATCCCAGCTACTCAGGAGGCTGAGGCAGGAGAATTGCTTGAACCCGGGAGGCAGAGGTTGCAGTGAGCCGAGATCATGCCACTGCACTCCAGCCTGGGTGACAAGAGTGAGACTTCATCTCAAAAAAAAAAAAAGATTAAAACAACATGTATCTCAAATGTCATTAAAAATCATAAAAATGTGTCCAGGTGCAGTGGCTTACACCTGTAATCCCAGCACTTTGGGAGGCCAAGGCAGGCAGATCACAAAGTCAGGGGATTGAGACCATCCTGGCTAACACGGTGAAACCCCGTCTCTACTAAAAATACAAAAAATTAGCTGAGCTTGGTGGCAGTTGCCTGTAATCCCAGCTACTCGGGAGGCTGAGGCAGGAGAATCTCTTGAACCTGGGAGGCGGAGGTTGCAGTGAGCCGAGATCATACCATTGCACTCCAGCCTGGGTAACAGAGTAAGACTCCGTCTCAAAAAACAAAATTATAAAAATATGTTGGGCACTTCTCATAATGAGATAGGTAAAACTGATAATTCTTTTCAATTAGTATTATTAGTTGAATATTATTAGGCTAGAAAATACAGTGTTGATCATCAGATCTCCTATTTTTCGTTTTTATTGAGATAACACTAAGAAAAGTTATGTAAGTACTTTGTAATGAAGGATGGTTCTTTAAATTTTGTGTGTGGATGCCGTATTGTTCTATTGTCAACTTGGTCAAGCTAGGTATTTCCCAGAATTCTCCTCCACATATAGAGTTGGCCAAACAGAAACTT
This sequence comes from Homo sapiens, assembly GCF_000001405.40. Taxonomy (NCBI): domain Eukaryota; kingdom Metazoa; phylum Chordata; class Mammalia; order Primates; family Hominidae; genus Homo; species Homo sapiens. Next base: position 96,225,181 of record NC_000002.12, read on the forward strand.
GTTTGGAAAGCAGAAGTGAAACAGGGCCGTTATACTTTTGGAAACTCCACAGTCAGATGGAGTGATAAATAAAGGCAGAGGTAACTGGCTCATTCCAGCTTGTACTGACTCTTCTCTGCTTTAGTTCCAGGACTTCTTCCTGTATTACGAGCCTAATGACCAGCAAGGGCCTCACACCCACAGAGGCAACAGCTTCTCAAACTTCTCTATGACTTTCCAACTCCTTGTCCTCAACTCAAGGAGTCAGTTGGCCTTCACTTGGGTTCTCTCTTCCTATGCTGCAAAAGGGAAACTCTCCAGGCAGTCAAGGGGTAATCATAGATTCACTGCCACAATTATGCTGTGAAACATTACATTACCATCATTCTGAAAAGTTCCCTGTGCCCCTTCGCAGCCAGTCCCTTTCCCCAACCCCTGGCCTTTGACAGCCATAATCTGCTTTCTATCACTATAGTTTTGTCTTTTCTAGAATTTCATATGAATGAAATCATATAGTATGTTGTATCTGGCTTCTTTCCATTAGTGTAATGGTTTTGAGATTCATCTATTTTGTTGTATCAGTAGTTTGTAGCTTACTATCCCATTGTATGAATATACTGACATTTGTTTATCCATTTGATGGACATTTGGATTGTTTCCAGGTTGGGCTGCTATGAATATTTGCATGCAACTCTTTCAGGTAAATACCTAGAAAAGGAATTGCTAGGTTTTATGGTGTTTCACTTTTTTTTTTTTTGAGACGGAGTCTTGCTCTGTTGCCCAGGCTGGAGTGCAGTGGCAGTGTTTCACCTTTTAAGAAATTGCTAACCTGCTTCCAAAGTAGTTTTATCATTTTGTATTCCCACCAGCAGTGTATAAGAGTTCTGATTATTCTGCATCCTTGCCAGTACTCCATATTGTCAGTTTTTAAATTTTATTTAGAGACGGAGTTTCGCTTTTGTTGCCGAGGCTGGAGTGCAATGGTGCGATCTCGGCTCACTGCAACCTCCTCCTCCTGAGTTCAAGTGATTCTCCTGCCTCAGCCTCCCAAGTAGCTGGGATTACAGGTGCCCGCCACCACGCCCAGCTAATTTTTTGTATTTTTAGTAGAGATGAGGCTTCACCATGTTGGCCAGGCTGGTCTCGAACTCCTGACCTCAGGTAATCCACCCACCTTGGCCTCCCAAAGTACTGGGATTACAGGTATGAGCCACCGCACCCGGCCTTATAGTAATACTTCATTGTGTTTTTTCTTTTGGTTGTTTTTGTTTTGTTTTGTTTTTTTGAGATGGAGTCTTGCTCTGTTGCCCAGGCTGGAGTGCAATGGTACGATCTCAGCTCACTGCAACTTCCACCTTCCGGGTTCAAGTGATTCTCCTACCTCAGCCTCCCAAGTAGCTGGGATTGCAGGCATGTGCCACCACACCCAGCTAATTTTTATATTTTTGGTAGAGACAGGGTTTCGCCATGTTGGCCAGACTGGTCTCGAACTCCTAACCTCAGGTAATCCTCCACCTGCTTCAGCCTCCCAAAGTGCTGGGATTACAGGCGTGAGCCACTGTGCCTGGCCTCATTGTGATTTTAATTTGTACTTCTTTGTTGAGTAGTCTTGTTAAGCATTTTTTCATGTGCTTATTGACCATTTGTTTCTCTTTTATGACTTGTTTTTTGAAATATTTTGCCCGTTTTTAAATTTAAAAAAAATTATTTTTTATTATTTAAATTGTTTATATATTCTGGATACAAGCCCTTTATTCAGATATGTTTTGAAAATATTTTCTCCAGTTCCAGGCTTGCCTTTTCATTGTCTTACTTGTGTCTGAAGAATACAAATATTTGATTTTGATGATGTTCAGTGCATCAAAAAAAAAATTTTAATGGTTTGTGTCCTATCTAAGAAATCTTTGCTTATCCAAACATAACAGAGGTCTATGTTTTCCTTTAGAAATGTTATGGTTTTCATTTTTACACTTATATCAATGATACATATTGAGCTAATTTTTATATATGATATCAGGTAAGGATAGGGGTTCATTTTTTCCCCATATAGATATCACGTTGCTGTAACATAATTTGTTGAAAAGATTATCTTTTTCTCCCCATTCTAAAGGCCTTTGCACTGTGTTGAAACCCAGTTCACCATATATGTGTGGGCCTACTTCTAGACTCTGTTTCATTGATCTATATGTCCTTATGCCAGTTTCACCCTATCTTGATTAGTGTAGCTAATAAAGTAATTAGTGTAGCTATAAAGTAAGTACTGAAATCAATTAAATATAAGTCCTCCAACCTGGTTTTTTGTTTTGCAACGTTTTTTGCCTGTTCTGAGTCCCTTGTGTTCCCATATACATTTTAGAGTCACCTTGTCAATTTCTACCCCAAAAAAATGCCTGATCAGATTTTGATTGGGACTGCATTGAATCTTTAATTTGGGGAGAATTGATGTCTTAGCAATATGGAGTCTTCCCAATTCATGAACATAGCATATCTCTTATTTATTTATTCCTCCATTTAACTTTCTCAGCCATTTTTTTAGCTTTAGTGTATAGGTCTTGCATGATTTTGTTTAATTTATCCTTAAGTGTTTTTCTGATTTTTGGTCCCGTTGCAAGTGGTATTTTAAATTTTTCAATTTCCAATACTTCAATACTAGTATATAGAAATATAAAAGGTTTTTTTTGTTTGTTTGTTTGTTTGTTTTTTGAGACAGAGTTTTGCCCAGGCTGGAGTGCAACGGAGGAGATTTCAGCTCACCTCAACCTCCACCTCTCGGATTCAAGCGATTTTCCTCCCTCAGACTCCTGAGTAGCTGGGATTACAGGCATGTGCCACCACACCCGGCTAGTTTTGTATTTTTCAGTAGAGACAGAGTTTCTCCATGTTGGTCAGGCTGGTCTCGAACTCCTGACCTCAGGTGATCCGCCCGCCTTGGCCTCCCACAGTGCTGGGATTATAGGTGTGAGCCACTGTGCCCAGCTGAAATATAATAGTTTTTATGTTGACTTTGTATTCCACAATCTTTATTTCTTTTATTTATTTATTTATTTATTTATTTATGTATTTATTTATTTATTTTGAGACAGGGTCTCACTCTGTCACCCAGACTGGAGTGCAATGGCACGATCTCAGCTCACCGCAAACTCTGCCTCCCAGGCTCAAGCGATTCTCCTGCCTCAGCCTCCTGAGTAGCTGGGATTACAGGCATGTGCCACCATGCCCGGCTAATTTTTGTATTTTTGGTAGAGACAGGGTTTCACCATATGGGCCATGCTGGTCTCGAACTCCTGACCTCAAATGATCCACCTGCCTCAGCCTCTCAATGTGCTGGGATTACAGGTGTGAGCTACTGCGCCCAGCTGTCCCACAATCTTTCTATTAGTTCTAATAGCTTATTTTGATAAATTCCTTAGAGTTTTTTATATACACAATTATGTTTTCTGCAAATAAAGACAATTTTCCTTCTTCCTTTCCAGTCTGTATGTATGAGTCCATTTTCTGTTGCTTATAACAGAATACCTGAAGTTGGGTGATTTATAGAGAAAAAGAAGGTGATGGTGACACTAAAAGCTTAGACTTCACCACTATGCAGTATATTCATGTGACTCAACTGCACTTGTATCCCTTATATTTATACACATTTTTAAAGGGAAAAAAAGAAAAAAGATTTGTTTCTTATAGTTATGGAGTTCTCAGAAGTCCAAGGTTGAGGGGGCATATCTGGTGAGAGCCTTCTTGTTGATGGGGACTCTACCGAGTCCTGAGGTGGCCACAGGGTGTCCCATGGCAAGGGGGCTGAACGTACTAATGTGCTATGCTCACGTCTCTCTTCCTCTTATAAAGTCACTAGTTTCACTCTGATGATAACCCATTAATTCATTAACCCTTTAATATACTGATCTATGAATTAATCTATTCATGGGGGTAGAACCCTCTTGATCCAATCACCCTCAAAGGCCCCACCTCTCAACACTGCCACATTGGGGATCAAGTTTCAACATGAGTTTTGGAGAGGACATTCAAGCCATAGCACTGTACTTGTTTCTTTTTCTTGCTTTATTTCACTGACTAGAACCTTCAATACAATGTTGGATAGAAGTAGTGAGAGTAGACACCCTTCACTTGTTCCCAGTTTTAATGACAAAGCATTCAAACTTTTACCCTTTTCCAATCATGTTTCTCTAATGTAGAGCTACAACTCTGACCATCTCTCCTTCTAGGTAAAATGAGCAACCACATGCACCAATCAAAGTTTTGCCCACTCGGAAGATTTCCTTTGACCACTGTTCTCAGGACCACCTTGAGTGGGGTTATAACAATATGTGATGCAGAAACATCTGTAACAAGGAACCAGACTTGAATTTTTTTTTTTTTTCCTTAGGCAGGGTCTCACTGTCGCCCAGGCTGAAGTGCAGTGGCACGATCACCACTGCACTTCAGCCTCAACCTCCTAGGCCCCAGTGGTCCTCCTGCTTCAGCCTCCCAAGTAGCTGGGATCACAGGTGCATGCCACTGCACCCGGCTATTATTATTATTATTATTATTATTATTATTTTGTATAGGTGGGATCTTACCATGTTGCTCAGGCTGTTCTCGAACTACTGGGCTCAAGCAGTCCTTCCGGCTGGGCCTCCCAAAGTGCTGAGATTATAAAATGTAAGCCACCGTGCCCAGCCAGACTTGAATTTTTTTTTTTAATTTTTACCTCCTTGGTCAACTGGTGATAGGTGATTTCCCATGAGGCCATAGATGTGGGTTGAGAGAGAATAGGCAATGTAGCAGGAGTAGTTACTCAGAGAACTTGCTTCTGCATTTAGGACCTGCTCAGACCCAATCTCATTTATACCATTTCCATTTCATAATGACTCCATCATTAAGTAGATGGAGTGCAACTTTCTGGCTTGATGAGTCATATAATACCCAATTTAATTTATCATTAATAAATAATGATATTTAGGCTTAGCTCAGGACACTTGATAATTTGGTGGCCCACAGCCAAGGGCTTTAGTGTCCACTAGGGCCAAGTGACATGCTCGAAGCTGTATCTCAAAAGGAGAATAGTTACCTGCAGAAGATAGTATTGTGTTTCTTCTGATTTCATCTTGAGGCCTCTTTCTGGAGAGTGGCTGTAAACTCTAGCCCTGTCCTGACTCCAGGGCCCCAGGAGAGCTGGCCATGGATGTTTGCAGTGCGCCATTGACAGGATACTTCATTATCTGGCAGATGGCCTAATTCCTAAGTGTCAGACCCATGACCAGGTGTCCGTCTCACAGGAAACTTGTTGATACTGGCAGACACCTGTGTGGCTCTTGTCTGACTTGTGTCCAGTTTATTCCTACCAAGATAGCCACTCTGTAGGAGAACCCTCTATGGAATGAGAGTTGGGTTCAGGTATGATGGTCAGGTGAGTTGCAGAGGAGGCAACACAGCAAAACACATGAAGTAACAGAAGCAGTGTATTGCTTACAGAGCTCTTACAGAGAAGAGGGCAGCACGCCTCTCAGGGCCAGTGGGGAGAGAGCTGGCCAGGACACACGTGCTTAGCTGGGGAGCAGGGAATGAGAGAGAAAGCAAGGGGCCTGAGGGCTAATGTCTGTATTGGGTCCAGGCCATTACCCAAGCAGGTTTCCTGAGAGGAGTTTTTGTTTTTTTTGTTTGTTTGTTTGTTTTTGGTGGGGGGGGGGTTGGTTTTTGGTTTTGTTTTTTTTGTTGTTGTTTTTTTTTTGAGACAGAGTCTCACCCTGTCACCTAGGCTGGAAGGCAGTGGTGCAATCTTGGCTCACTGCAACCTCCGCCTTGCAGGGTCAAGTGATTCTCATGCCTCTGCCTCCCGAGTAGCTGGGATTACAGGTGCCCACCACCACACCTGGCTAATTTGTGTATTTTTAGTAGAGACATGGTTTTGCCATGTTCCCCAGGCTGGTCTCAAACTCCTGACCTCAGGTGATCCTCCTGCCTCGGCCTCCCAAAGTGCTGGGATTACAGGCATGAGCTGCCATGCCCAGCGGGTTTTTGGTTTTTTGAAATGGTCTCATTCTGTTGCCCAGGCTGGAGTGCACTGGCGCTATCACAGCTCACTGCACCCTCTACCTCTCAGGCTCAAGCAGTCCTCCCACCTCAGCCTCCTAAATATCTGGGATCACAGGAGTGCGCCACCATGCCTAGCTAATTTTTAAATTATTTTTGGTAGAGACAAGGTCTCGCTATGTTGCCCAGGCTGTCTCAAACTCCTTGTCTCAAGCAGTCCTCCCACCTTGGCCACTCACAGTGTTGGGATTACAGGCGTGAGCCACTGCATCCGATAGGAGTTCTAACTGGTAAGTTTAGAGCAAGCAGGCACAAGTATCATGGGGTCATGCTGTGACTCAGAGGTGGTCACTGCAGCATGTCTGGGCAGTCCATGTGGGGCGAGGGGGTTGGAGCAAGTCACATATGTAGTATCTAGGTGTCCACAGGGAAGTGGTCATCAGGAGGTGGTTGTATAAGGCAGGTATCTAGATTGATCACACTGAGGAGCTAGGAGGAGGTGGAGAACTGGACAATGTGTCAAGGGTGACTGAGTCCTGCTTTTTATATGAGAAAGGCTAACCTGTATTTAAAACAGATGCTGAGACAACATACAATTATAAAAATTTCGCCAGGTGCAATGGCTCATGCCTGTAATCCCCACCCTTTGGGAGGCCAAAGCTGGAGGATCACTTAAGCCCAGAAGTGTGAAACCAGTCTGGGCAACATAGCAAGACATTGTCTCTACAAAAAAAAAAATTTTTTAAGTTAGCCAGGCATGGAGGCACACGCCTGTAGTCCCAGCTACGTGGGAGGCTGAGGTGGGAGAATGGCTTGAGCCCAGGAGATCGAGGGTGCAGAGAGCCATGCTTGCACCACTGCAGTCCAGCCTGGTGAGACAAAGTGAGACCCTATCTCAGAAAAAGAAAAGAAAATATCCTGAGTTGCAAATGCCCTGAATACACCTAACCTACAGGACATCATAGCTTAGCCTAGCCTACCTCAAACATGCCCAGAACACTTACATTGGCCTACAGTTGGGCAAAGTGATCCGTCCATACAGCCCACTGTAGAATATTGGTCATCCAGCCTAGTGATCCTGTGGCTGGCAGAGCTGCACTCACTGCTGCTGCCCAGCATCACGAGAGAGCATCGCACCACATATCACTCACCTAGGGAAAGATCAAAATCCAGCATTCGAAATACAGCTTCTACTGAATGCACATCGCTTTCGCATCATTGCTGAAGTAAAAAAAATTAAGTTGAACCTTCATAAGTCAGGAACTGTCATGACAATGTCATCTTTTCTTCTGGGCCCCACTCAAAACTGATAGCCTTTTAAGTTATTCAGAAAATGGGTCAGAGAAGAACATTGAAATGAGGTATACATTGCCTTCAAAATCCAAAACCACTGGGCATTGTGCCTCTTAGTGGTAGTAGGGCCCAGCTTAACATGCCCCAGACCGTTAGGCCCCCCAGAAGGTTCACTGAATGTTTGTGGGATTTATTTCCCACCCTCTGGCATACATATATCTCGTCAAGGTGGCTAGAATAGTTACTACTTCTAATCAGCATATTATCAACACATTAGATGAATGTGATGTCCTGTGGAGTAGAGAAGAGGACAAGGTCTCCACAAACTAGATGATGACAGATGACTGCGAATTGATACAGTCCTGAGTTTGGATAACGAATAGGTATTGCTAGCCCTGTCAGCTCAAAGCAAACTGCTTTTGATGGTCTTTACTAAAAATTGCTGAGGAAAAAAGCATTCATCAGATCAATAGCTGCATACTTTGCTCCAAGGGATGCATTGATTTGCTTCATGAATGAAGGCACACCTAGAATAGCAGCTGCAATTGGAGTCACAACCTAATTGAGTTTATAATAATCCACGCCATTCTCTTGGATCCATCTTGGATCTGCACAGGCTAGAGAGCTAAGCTGAATGGAAATCATCAGCTCTGTGTCTTTCAGATCATTGATTAGTGGTGGAACTAATTTCTGCAATCTCTCCAGGAATGCAGTGCTGCTTTTGGCTCACTGCTTTTATAGGTAGAGGCTAACATTTATATGGTTTGTCTTTTTTTTTTTTTTTTTGAATAGAGTTTCGCTCTTTTTGCCCAGGCTAGAGTGCAATGGCACTATCTCAGCTCACTGCAACCTCTGCCTCCCGGGTTCAAGCAATTCTCCTGCCTCAGCCTCCCAAGTAGCTAGGATTTCAGGCATGTACCACCATGCCCAGCTAATTTTGTATTTTTAGTAGAGATGGGGTTTCTCCATGTTGGTCAGGCTGGTCTCGAACTCCGACCTCAGGTGATCCACCTGCCTCAGCCTTCCAAAGTGCTGGGATTACAGGCGTGAGCCACCTCGCCCGGCCTCCATTTTTTTTCAATTCAGCATAATTTGTATTGTCTCTGAAACTCAGCTTCCTCATCTGTGAAATACAGATAATGATGCCAGCCTTACTTGTGTTCAGAGGTTGTTGTAAGACTCAAATAAGATTGTGTAAGCTAAAATACATTACAAACTGTAGAACCCTCTACAGGGTATAAGGAATAAGCGCTAGAATTATTATTACCTCCTTCCATCCCCTCTTATATAGAAAATTTAGATTATAGTCCCCTTGTTACTATTTCAATCTATGTTTTTTGTTGTTGTTTTTGTTGCAAGTACTTGGAATCCACTCAAAGTAGTTTAAGCATAAATATGGAATCGAATTTGAAAGATCCAGGAGTGTCTCAAGAAGCTCAGAATTCACAGGCAGGAAAGGCACTTGCGCATCATAAGGTGGTAGAAAAAGGAACTGAAAAGGCATTGGGAGCTGTGGCCATGAGAGTGCACTGCTCACATCTCTGAATGCAGGGGAGCGTAACATGGCCCCCTGCTGCTGGGCTATGAAATTCTGCCACTGCATTTGCACTGAGACCACCCTTCTTGTGAGCTGCTCCCACCCGGTGACTGAGTGCAGGCCTGCCATACTAAGGCAGGCCCATTTCTGGGATATGGGGACTCCTCTGACAGGTGGCTTTGGCACAAGCACACCTCATCAGCTCTTGCAGAGCTTTCTTAGAACTACACTACGTTCTAAGCTGGGCATGGTTAGGCATGTGTAGTCCCAGCTACTCAAGAGGCTGAGGGAGGAGAATTGCTTGAGCTCAGGAGTTTGAGGCCAGCCTGGACAACAAAGGGAGACTGTCTCTGAAAAAGAAAGAACTACACTGCGTTCTAACACCTCCTCAACCCAGCCCTCCTCCATTCCTGTCTCCTGGCAGGGGCTACACCTGCATTGCAGCTCTCCCAGGCTCTTCCGGCTTCCTGCTATTCGCTTCACAAGTGTTTTCCCAGCACATCTCTTGCACATTTAGTCCTATCTGGGCATCTTCTCAGAGGACTCAAACCTTAGGACAGGAACCTAAGTAATTCCTCTTTTGCAACTCCAAGTCTATGTGGACTCTTATTTTCTTTCTACTTTTCTACTTCCTTTCTGCTTTACTCTTTCACCCAACCCCTACCTAATCTTCTCAGCTTTTCCATTTATATAAAGAAAAATGTCTGACCCAGTTTCTAAATTTACAAATCCTTCCAGTTTGAGCACTAATTGACACTGATGTCTTTGAATCCTCACTTCAAGCTCCCAAAAGAAAGAATCAAGTGCCTTCACTTGGATTAGGAGCTCATCCCCGGTCCGGTTGTGGTAATTATGGCCAAGGAGACAGGTCTCATGATACAGACAGTATTACTGAGATTCACATCTCAGCTGATGACTTGCTTTGTTTAATGAGAAAATGGAAGCAACTCAGGCCAGGTGCAGTGGCTCAAGCCTGTAATCCCAGCACTTTGGGAGGCCAAGGCGGGAGGATCACTTGAGCCCAGGAATTTGAGACCAGCCTAGGCAACATGACAAAACCCTGTCTCTACCAAAAATAATTTAAAAATTAGCCAGGCAGGGTGAAGCACTCCTATGATCCCAGCTATTTGGGAGGCTGAGGTGGGAGGATCACTTGAGCCCAGGAGATTGAAGCAGTAGGAGTTAGTGAGCCATGATCTCGCCACTGCACTGGGCAACAGATTGAGACCCTGTCTCGGAAAAAAAAAAAGAAACAACTAGACCAGAACTGCCTCATTTTCCCATCACCAAATCTACCAGCCTATACCTGGACACACACTGCCTTTGTTCCTTTTAAGATGAAAGCCCACCAAATGAGTGTGCTCCCTGGGGTGATTTGTTATTCCACAGTAGATAACTAATATAACCAGCCAACATAAGAAAGAAAAGGCAGACTGGGTACAGTGGCTCACGCCTGTAATCCCAGCACTTTGGGAGGCCAAGGCAGATTGATCACTTGAGGCCAGGAGTTCGAGACTACCCTGGCCAACATGGTGAAACCCCATCTCTACTAAAAATACAAAAAAATTAGCCGGGCATGGTGGCACACACCTGTGGTTCCAGCTACTCGGGAGGCTGAGGCATGAGAGTCATTGAACCCGGGAGGCGAAGGTTGCAGTAAGCCGAGATTGCATCACTGCACTCTAGCCTGGGCAACAGAGCGAGACTCTGTCTCTAAATAAATAAAAATACTGCATCCCAGGGGAATGGCAGAGATTAATGCCACCTTCAAGAACAAAGGATGCAGGGGTAGTGTCCTCCCTCAAATCTCCACTTAATTCACCCATCTGGACCCTACGAGATCCAGGTATGTCCTGTAGTGTGAAAGTAGACTACAACAAACGAACCGAATATCCCAATTGCAGCTACTGTGCCAGATGCATCCATGCTAGAGTGGATTTACATAGTCTACACAGTGTGAGGGAACTGACCACTGATCTGGCAAATGCACAATTTCCCATCCCCACCAAAAGGAAGATCAGAAACAGTAGATTCACTTGGAATTGACAAAAGTATATATTTATGGTTTTCCTACAGGGCTGTGTTAACTCTGTCAAAATACAGTCTAAAGACATAAGAACTGTCTGAATATTTCTTAGAACTTCGTATTAGTTCCTATGTTGATGATATCATATGCATCTTGCTAATGAGGCCAGGTGAGCAAGAAGTGTCAAGTACTTTGGGTGAGACACATACACTCTAGGAAGTGGAAGAAACGTCCTATGATATACAAGAGCTTGCCTCATCAGTGAACTTTTTAGGAGTCCAGTGGTCTAAGCGTGCTGAAACATTCTAAAGCAAGGAACAAATTACTGAAACTCATACCTACCACAGGGAAGAGGGAAGCACAACTTCTAGTAAATCCATTCATATTTTAGAGGCAGCATATTCCACAACTGGGAATACTGCTTAACCTAACACCTGGTAACACAAGAGGCTGCCATCTTTGACTGGGGGGCCCAGAATAGGAGAGAGCTCTGCAGCAGGTCCGGTTGCTACAAGTGGCAGACCCTACAGTCTTGATGTTTTAATTGATCCTCATCATTTCTCTTCCTCTGCTGTCCATTTTAGATTCCCCTTAACCTCAGGAAGCACCTCTGCTAAGGCTCTGGTCATTCCATTATATTACAGGTATCCAAGGTGGAGTTTCTAGCAAGCCCCAGCAGGACAATCACAATATAGGTCTTCAGGGTTCTGGAGCAAGACCATACTATCTGCAGCAGAGAATTAGACACCTTTTGAAGAATAGCTCCTGAAGGGCTACTAAACCCTGGCAGAGATGGAACACTTCACCAAGGGGCACCAAGTGACCACGTGTCTAGAACCGTTCGTTATTAGTTAGGTTCTGCCTATCAAACTCACCAAGACATAAAGTTGAATGGGCCTAGCCATAATCCATAGTAAGATGGAAATGGTATGTCCAGAACTGGGCATGAACAGAGCTACACAGTCAGATGGCCTAGACACACATGTCACCTGCCAGTGTGGCACCAGTGCTTCTCCCTCAGCTCATGCCTGTGGCTGCACAGGGGGGCAAAGTCCCTTTATGATCAGCTGACAAAAGAGGAGAGCCTTTGCTTTTTCTTGATTCACAGATGGGTCAGACAGGTATATGGCTGCAAGCCAAAAATGAGCTGTGACTACAATACAGCCCACCATAGGCTGATCTTGACAAAGAGTGGCAAGGGAAATCCCCCCAGTGGATCAGTCCTCTCACTGGTGCATCTGTTCATCCACTTCGTATGGAAAGACATGTAGCCCAAGGGTACACTTTATATTCATTCATGGCTACTAGTAACTGCCTTGATGGGTTGATCAGGGGTCTGGAAGGAGAAAGATTAGAAGATCAAGGACAAGGATGTCTGGGACAGAGGCATGTGGATGGACTATTTGAGTAGCTAGGAAGTGTGAAGAGGACCACCAGAAAGCATCTAACTTGAAAGAAACACCAAACAACCAGCTAGACAGAATGATTTAGCCAATTTGATGTCAACCAGATGCCATCAGCCACCCCAGAACTGACACAACGGGCATGTGAAGGAGCAACTGTGGTGGCAGGGATGGGGACAAACACATGGACCGTCACTCACAAGGGCTGATGTAGCTACCACCACTGCTGAATGTTCAGCCTGCCAGCAATGCATCAGTGCTGATCCTCGGAAATGGCAGTAGCTCTCAAAGTAAATAAGTAGCCGCTTGGTAATAAGTTGACTACAATGGGTCCCTTCCATCCTAGAAATGGCAGAAATTTATTTTGACTAGAATGGACACATGGTTTACCTTTTCTGCCTGCAGGGCCTCAGCCAACGCCACTATCTGAGGGCTTACTGAGTGTTTTACCCACTGACATAGGTTCCCACGTAACATCACATCAGACCCAAGGGCCCGTTCATTGCAAGGCGAAGGAGGCATGACAATGGCACGTGACCATGGGATCACTGGTCCTGTCACATTCTGCACCACCCAGAAGATACTGGCTTGAACGAAGAGAAGAAATGGGCTGTTGAAGGCGTAGCTGAGATGCCAGCTCAGAGACGATGATACCAAGTAAGGAGGGGTTACTACCTTCCAGGGCACAGTGTACACTCTAATCAACAACCAATAAGGCGCTATGTCCCACTGGGAGGAATATATAGGTCCAGGAACCAAGGGGTAGAGATAGGAGCGGCTTCACTTTACATTAATCCCATTGGGGTATTTCTGTTACCACAACTCTAAGCTTTGAGGGTTTTAGGTTCTGGTTCCCAATAAGGAAATGTTTCCATGAAGGGATACAGCAAAAGTACACCAAGGAACCAGTAGGCAAGAAGCAGGAGCCACCATCCTGGCAGGAGTAGTGGACCCTGCCCACCAGGAAGAGATGGGGCTGCAGTTGCACAGTGGGAGCCAGAAGGAATATGTCTTTGTACTCTTGCCCCTTGCTGATGATAAATGCACAGGTGCAGCAGCCATAGCCTGAAAAGGGTGTGGTGGCCAGGGGCTCAGCTGAGGTGCTTCCTGCAGGGAGGAGAATCTAAAATGGATAGAAGCCGAGGCGGGCTCAGTGGCTCACGCCTATAATCTCAGCACTTTGGGAGGCCAAGGTGGGAGGATCACCTGAGGTCACAGTTTGAGACCAGCCTGGCTAACATAGTGACACCCTGTCTCTACTAAAAAAAAATTACAAAAATTAGCCAGGTGTGGTGGCATGTGGCTGTAATCCCAGCTACTCAGGAGGCTGAGGCAGGAGAACTGCTTGAACCTGGGAGGCGGAGGTTGCAGTGAGCCGAGATCGTGCCATTGCATTCCAGCCTGGGCGACACAGTGAGACTCAGTCGCAAAAAAAAAGTAAAATAAAATAAAATGGATAGAAGTCCAGGTGCAGTGCTTCATACCTGTAATCCTAGCACTTTGGGAGCCTGAGGCAGGAGGATCACTCAAGCTCAGAAATTCAACATCAGCCTGGGCAACATAGTGAGACCTCATCTCTTAAAAAAAATTAATTAGTTGGGTGTAGTGGCACACACCTGTAGTTCCAGCTACTCAGGTGGCTGAAGCAGGAGGATCACTTGAGCTTGGGAAGTGGAGGCTGCAGTGAGCTGTGATCACACCACTGCACTCCAGCCTGGGCAACAGAACAAGTCTCTAAATAAATAAATAAAGATAAAATGGATAGAAGAGGGAGATGGGGAGTATCGGTGAGACCTCAAGAACAGCTGCAGTGGTGGGGGCTGTGGTCATCTGATGAACCATTAGTTTGTTCCAGAGAAAGACGAGCTGCTCCCAGAACTTACCCAGAGGAGTGGATCTGAGTGGCACAAGAGGCTGTGGACGCCCTGATAAACAATCCAAATCCCCCTCAAGACAGGCTCTGCCCCAGCTGCTGGGAGGATTGCTGGCTCACAGCCCTCCTCAGGAATTGCCCCCAAGTGAAGACAGCTTCCCCACCCAATGTCCCACCACCCCTCTGGGGACAGTGTGTACCCAGTGACTGGCTGAAGCTGGGGTACAAAGGTCTGGCCCCTCAGCTCAGTGGGGGCTGGGGGCATCTGAAGCTGGGACGGCCATGAGACTTTTCTAATGCTTCAACACCTTCCATGGGTTCAGCTGAGGGGTGTGTCGAGACTGCCTTGCAGCCCAGCTTCTCCCTGTGAGCAAGTCTGCTTCCTTCCCTTCTGTAGGTGCTGAACCTGAGAGCAGCCCCAGTACACTCCCTGCATGGGAATCTCCATCTCAAAGTCAGCCTCCAGGGAGCCCGCCCTGAAACAGATTCTGTCATGGAACTCAACAGAGTATCCTGGTGCGGATAACCAGTGTTGGGAGTTAGAGCACGGACTCTCTCCACCTGCACGGTGCTGGAGCTCTGCACACCCCCTCTGCAGCCATCCCTCGCCGCTGTCCCTTAGCTGACGCCCTTGCCCTCTGTGTGTCCTTCCTCATGGCCTGCAGGTTTCAGATCCCAAGCTACAGATCATGTCTTCTAGTCTGGGCTCTGGCAGAGAGTTCGGAAGCACTCTTATTATCTTAGCAGCAGCATGTGTGGAAATCATTTCTCATTACAGCGGAGGGCAGGCATTGTGCAGAGGGTTAAGTGGGCCTGCTTGAAGTTGGTTGTTGTTAGCTCTCATGTCTATGCCTTGGTCCCTTTCCCCTCAGGACTTGGAGAGCAAGCTGTTTGAGTCTGATGCAACCCCTGGGCTTTGACTATCATGCCAAAAGGCAGCAAATAAGTGCCTTTTCTTCCCTTCAGAATACATGGACAATCCAAAGCTCTATTAGTCTATTATTCAGAATGAAAAGTGTTTACAATATTCGTCCTCTTACTCCTCAGTATGTGAGACTGTTCCTCGTAGCAGGTAATTTCTTCCGAATTCAAAAACTCCTCATGGAAGCATCTGTTTTTGTCATCAAGGAGGGGGCTGTATGTGGAATTGCAAGGCCAAAGACATCTCGGGTCAACTCTTCTCAGGACCAGATCCAAGTCGCCAGTGAGAACACACATTCAGGCAGCCTCCACCAGCGCCCTGCCTCAGGAGCGAGGCTCCCTGCTTCATGTGGGCAAGAGCTGCCCTTGTTTTCCCAGCGGGCAGTTGGGGGTCTGGAGCCTAGGAAGCAAAGTGAAGCACACACTCCTGCTTCCTTCCTTCCCTGCAGTTGGTGAGTATCTGGCTCAGTTTAGGTTAATATCATCTCTTCAGCCTGGCCCAGTTTACCACTATGGGAAGGAGCCCAGCAGCAGGGGCTGCCAGACCTGGAAATAGATCTGCTCATTGCAGTGTGGCAGGTGCAGAGAAACAGAGCCAGCTATAGCTGGAAGAGAATCTTAGGGCACAGAGATGCACCAACATGTATGAACAAGTCGAGACCCAAGTACCAAGCTGTAGAGTTACTGCACCATAGCAACCCAGGCCAGCAGGCAAGGCAAGAGGGCAGTTATTACAGAGAGCCATGGGGCAAGAGTGGAGCCACCTTGACAGTGGGGGTGACCAGAAGCCACATCTAGGAGTGTTGGCCCAGAGTCTCTGCATTTCCTCCTGCTCAGGACCTTAAGAGAGGCCCATCTTAAATGCCACTGTCTCCATGAGCTTTTGGAAACCTTACCAGTTTCCTCCCCTGTTCAGGGAGTTCCACTAGGGTAACATTCCTGCCTTCTCTCCACCCCTCTATTACTTTGCCCCAGGGAAAATAAAAGATGACTGCTTGGATAGGTAGGTGGGGAGGGGAAACTGGTCCTGTGTAGGCCAGTGGGCCCCTCCATCACCTTGGGGGTGAGCTGCATGCAGGGTATAAAATCCCACTGCTCTCGCTGAGGGGGCTGCACTCCTGCAGGACTAAAGGAGGCTTTCTCTGGTTGAGGGCTACCATGGCTGGGCGGGTGAGCCTGCCTCCTAGTGGGATTTGCATTAGCAGCTCACTTAGTTCACAGGTCTAAAGCTGTGTCCTCCAGCCCAGCCCTCTAGCAGTAATTAAGAGGATATTTTGGTTCCTGTTGCCACTCCTTTGTTTTATTTCTCAGGGCCCTCAAAGACACCCCAGAATAGATTTCCTGTCCCCTTTAATCTTGCCCTTCTTTGAGTCCCCATTGCATTTTATGGTATATTTCTAGCATGACCTTTCATTCTTTCAGTAATTACCTCCTTATTTCCTTCACCCCTGCATTTAAAAAAAAATTTTATAGATGAGGTCTCACTCTGTCACCCAGGCTGGAGTGCAGTGGTGCAATCATAGCTCGCTGCAGCCTTAAACTCCTGGGCTCAAGCAGTCTTCCTGCCTCTGCCTCCCAAGTAGCTGGGACCACAGGTGCACATGACCATGCCCAGCTAACTTTTTTTTTCTTTTTTGTAGAGACGGGAGTCTTACTTTGTTGCCCAGGCTGGTCTCAAACTCCTGGCTTCAAGCAATCCTTCCACTTTGGCCTTCCAAAGTGCTGGGATTACAGGCATGAGCCACCATGCCCAGCCTCCTTCTCTTACTAGCTGAGAACTAAGAGAAGACACTCTGGAGACAGAGGAGGAAACAGTGACGATGCCACATGATGAATACATAATGGAGGGTGAAGACAAGGCTCCGTCAGGGGCACCAAGGAGGGAAACCCAGTTCTGTGGGGAAGGTATGGGGCAGCTTCACAAGCCCAGTGTCTGCTCCCTTTGTGGGAGACGTGTTGTTTCAGCATCCATTCCCCCTTCTTTTAGGAAAAGTGCTTGAATTTCCTTTTCATGGAACCACCCACCTCCCTCTCATCCATGCATTCTATTCCCAGTATCAGGGGTAGACAAGTGACTTCAGGCTTGGCCAATTAGGGTTCTGACTCTTGGTCAAATCAGAGTGAATCCTGAGTCATTTGTAAACTCCAAGGAAAGGGCTTGCTTTGTTTTCTGTTGAATGCAGTGCTCTGAGATAGCCGGAAATGAAACTGCTCTCTTGCCACACTGAAGGCTAGAGAAGGGCCTGGCCAGGAAATGATGCCAGTGATCAGGGGTGGAGCTGGAAGAGGGGGAGTGAGGAGGCCCAGACATCTTGGGAGCCCCAAATTCACCTCAGGATTTAACTTCTCCGCTGCTCAGCCAATAAATTCCTTTCTTCCATGACTAATTTGAGTTGAGTTTTTAGTTTTTGCAACTAAAACAGCACTGACTAATACACCCTTAGGTAAGATTAGAGCAAGAATTTCCAATATCTGTGTTCTTCATCCTGAAATTTGGTGAGGATATCTAAGGTTCTTTTGTCTTTTAAAAGAATTCTGTTGCAATGGAAAGTATCAATCCATATTTTTCCATTTCTCCAAAATGTTTTAGTGTATATCTATGGGGCACAAACTTAATCTCTGTAGGCCCTCTGCCATAGTTGCTCTGTGCCACTTGATAAGGGGCTGGTATCTAGAATATATAAAAACTCTTAAAACTCAGCCGGGCATGGTGGCTCATGCCTATAATCCCAGCTCTTTGGGAGGCCGAGGCAGGCGGATCACCTGAGGTCAGGAGTTTGAGACCAGCCTGGCCAACACGGTGAAACTCTATCTCTCTAAAAATACAAAAATTAGGCGGGCGTAGTGGCTCACTCAAGACTGAGGCAGAAGAACCACTTGAACCCAGGAGTTGGAGGTTTCAGTGAGCCCAGATGGCTCCACGGCACTCCATCCTGTGCAACAGAGTGGCACAGGATGGCAAAAACAAACAAAAGCTCTTAAAACTCAACAATAAAAGACAACCCACTTTAGAAATGAGAAAAGGGCCAAGTGTGGTGGTAATCCCAGCACTTTGGGAAGTTGAGGTGTGTAGATTGCTTGAGCCCAGGAGTTTGAGAGCAGCCTGGGCAACATGGCAAAACCACATCTCTACAAAATACAGAAAAGAAAAAAAAAAAATCAGTCAGGTGTGGTGTTGCACACCTGTAGTCCCAGCAACCTGGAGGCTGAAGTGTGAGGATTGCTTAAACCTAAGGAGATAGAGGCTGCAATGAGCTGCGATTGTGCCACTGCACTCTACCTTGGGCAACAGATGAAGACGCTGTCTCAAAAAATAAGAATAAAGAAAGAAAGATGGGAAAAGAATTTATTTCTTTCCTTTTTTTTTTTTTTAGACAAGGTCTGGCTGGTCCCCCAGGCTGGAGTGCAGTGGTGCAATCTTGGCTCACTGCAACCTCTGCCTCCCAGGTTCAAGTGATTCTCCTGCCTCAACTTCCCGAGTAGCTGGTACTACAGGAGCAAGCCACCACACCCAGCTAATTTTTGTATTTTTAGTAGAGCCGGAGTTTCACCATGTCGGCTAGGCTGGTCTCGAACTCCTGACCTCAAGTGATCTGCCCACCTCGGCCTCCGAAAGTGCTGGGATTACAGGTGTGAGCCACTGAACCTGGCCTTTTTTTGCTGCTGTTGTTGTTCGTTTTGTTTTGTTTTTGTTTTTGTTTTGAGATGGAGTCTCGCTCTGTCACCCAGCCTGGAGGGCAGTGGCTCAATTTTGGCTCACTGCCACTTCTGCCTCCTGGGTTCCAGTGATCCTCCTGCCTCAGCCTGCTGAGTAGCTGAGACTACAGCCGAGACACCACCATGCCTGGCTAATTTTTTTTTTTTAAGTAGAGATGGGGTTTCAGCATTTTGGCCAGGCTGATCGTGAACTCCTGACCTCAAGTGATCTGCCCACTGCACCTGGCCTTTTTTTCTTTTTTTTTTAATAGAGATGAGTACAATGGACTTTAGGGACTCAGGGTAAAGGGTGGGAAGGGGGTGAAGGATAAAAGACTACACATTGGGTACAGTGTGCACTGCATAGGTGGTAGGTGCACCAAAATCTCAGAAATCACCACTAAACGACCTATTCCTATAACCAAACACCACCTGTTCCCCAAAAACCTATTGGAAAAAAAAAAACTCACGTAAGTAAATAAATAGAGGCCAGGAGCAGTGGCTCACACCTGTAATCCCAGCACTTTGGGAGGCCGAAGTGGGCAGATCACCTGAGGTTGGGAGTTTGAGACCAGCCTGGCCAACATGGAGAAATCCTGTCTCTACTAATAATACAAAAATTAGGTGGGCATGGTGGCACATGCCTGTAATCCCAGCTACTTGGGAGGCTGAGGCAGGAGAATCACTTGAACCTGGGAGATGGAGGTTGCAGTGAGCAAAGATCACCCCATTGCACTCCAGCCTGGGTGACGAGCGAAACTCCATCAAAAGAAGAAAAAAAAGAAAGGAAAGAAAGATGCGGTCTGGTGGTGCTGCCCAGGCTGGAGTGCAGTGGCTATTCATAGGTATGATCATAGTGCACTGCAGCCTCAAGACTCTTGGGTTCCAGTGGTCCTCCTGCCTCAGCCTCCTGTGTAGCTGGTACTACAGGCTACAGCTAAACTGCTCAGTTCCTCAGTCCTTCTTCATCTCCCACAGTGGATACAGAGCGTGGCAGCCCCCTCTCAGGAAGTCATGGATCTTTATGGCTGGCAGGACTGTAAAGTCACCCAGTTCAGCCCCTCATTTACATATAAGGAAACAGTCCTATAGAGAAGGCGTGCCTTTTTAAGTCACACATTTGAGCAAATAAATAATTATCTCCTCACACATTTAAGATTGCTATTACATCCTTTTCTCTAGAACTTTTAACCTTTCATCCACTCAGAATGCTTGCCTGGACCCTCTCCAATTTCTCAATATCTTTCTTTTTTTTTTTTTTTTTTTTTTTTTTTTGGAGACGGAGGCTTGCTCCGTCACCTAGACTGGAGTGCAGTGGCATGATCTTGGCTCACTGCAACCTCTGCCTCCCAGGTTCAAGTAATTCTCCTGCCTCAGCCTCTCAAGTAGCTGGGATTACAGGCGCCCACCACCACGCCCGGCTAATTTTTGTATTTTTAATGGAGACGGGGTTTCACCTTGTTGGCCAGGCTGGTCTCAAACTCCTGACCTCAAGTGATCCACCCACCTCAGCTTCCCAAAGTGCTGGAATTACAGGCGTGAGCCCTCGCGCCCAGTTCAACATCTTTCTTAAGTGGGCCCAAGGTTGGGGGGAAAATCTCACCGTAGAGATATTTGTTAGATATCGAGCATGTGCTGAAGAAGGCATCTGTGATGATTAATTTTATGTGTCAGTTGGACTGGACCATGGGGTGCCCAGATATCAGCTTGAACATTACTCTGGGTCCATCTGTGAGGGCGTGGGGTAGGACTGGCATTTATGTTGGTGGAGCAAGTAAAGCAGGCTGCCTCCCTAACGCAGGGGATCCTCATCCATCAGCTGAGGGCCCAAATAGAACAAAAGGCTGAGTTGGAGGGCGCCCCTCCTGCATGACCAACTTTCAAGTGGTGACATCAGCTTTCTTCCTGTTTTTGGACTTGAACTGAAACATCAGCTCTTCCTGGATCTTCAGCCTGCTGGCCTTCAGACTAGAACTACAACCTCGGCTCTCCTGGGTCTCGGCTTGCTGACTCACCCTGCAGAACTTGGGACTTGTCAGCCTCTACATTTGTATGAGCCAATTCCTTATAATGTCTTTCTGTATATATACATATATCTCCACATCTTATTGTTCTGCTTCTCTGGAGAACCCTGAGTAATACAGCATCATTCCAAGATCAGCAGAAATGTTAGTGCTTCTGGGGAATTACTGCAAAGGGTACCTGAATAGCAGCACATGCTCTCAGTACCCCCGCCTTCTGTTGTCTGCTGTTGCCTGCTCCCTCCCCACCCTTTGGGTTGATTTCAGGATAGAGATATGGGGATGGGACTGGGGTTGGGTGTGCGGTTACCCAGAACAGCCAGGATGTGTGCACGCTGTGACCCAGGAGCATCAAGCACTGCTCAAGCTGCTTGGAAAAGAAAACAAAAGTCAGGAAAGTGAGGAGCTGGGAGGGTGCTGGAAAGGAGCAGGAAGAAACGGGCAAGGGTAGGAGAGAAGCAGAAAAAACAATCCCTGAGACAGAGCTGGTGTAACCAAGGCTCTGTTTCCCCCACGGTTTGAGAGTGGGTGAGCCTGACTTCAAGGCCCAGCTCTGTTCAAAGATAGGACACTGATTTTCTTCAAGAAGGCAGAGCTGGTGAGTGGCCTCATGTCTTACCATCATGGAAAGGCGAGGGCTGGGGGAGAGAGAAGGGGCAGCCAAGGCCTCAGAGTGGTGTAGGCCTCACCCTTGTGCTCACATGTCCCAACCACTGCCAGCGGTGCCACCTCTGAATCCCAGACCCCACATGTAACCATCCTCTACCTGGACCACAGGAGGAAGCTCCACGTTCTTTGCCAGGGTTCAGGGTAAGGGGCATGATCTAAGTTGGGCAAAAGAGAGTCATCCTGTTACCTTAAAAAGGAGTCTAGGGTGAGCCCCAGTCTGCTGGTGGCCATCTTCACCACCTTTGGGGAGAGATGGCCTGA
This sequence comes from Homo sapiens, assembly GCF_000001405.40. NCBI lineage: Eukaryota > Metazoa > Chordata > Mammalia > Primates > Hominidae > Homo > Homo sapiens. Next base: position 96,246,884 of record NC_000002.12, read on the forward strand.
GCAGACACACAAAGCAAAGAGGTGGAGAGAAACTGTGTCTTTGTGTCATTGTTTGAGTCCCTGGACCCAGCCCAGTCCCCCCGACTACGCTGAACTTTTCAATTGTGGAAAACAATAAATTCCATTTAGTTAAGAAATTTTCAGTTCTGGGTCTTGCAGCTGTGAGCATTCTGACAACCTTGATGTTCCAGGCCCTCCTGGGCTAGGTCCATGAGCTAATTGCTTGCCCTGCACCTCCAGTGGGAAGGAGCTGCTCACATCAACTCAGTGTTCCCCAAAGCCACGCCCTTCCTTTCCTGCTTTCACACCACTGCCTACACCATGCTCTCATGAAGGCCTGCCCCTTCTCCAAGGCCCAGATCAAGTCTCTTCTTTAGGAAGTGTTCCTTGGCTATCACGTTTCGGTGTCATCAGGTTTCCTCTTTCCTGGTGGCTGGATTGGAAGGCCTTAGAGGGCAAGGATCATATGTGTTAGAATTTCTGCATCCTCCACAAGGCACTTGTGTTCAGTGTATTTGCTGAATGAATGTCACATTAAAAAGCGTGACCCAGCCGGGTGTGGTGGCTCATGCCTGTAATCCCAGCTTTTTGGGAGGCCAAGGCAGGCGGATCACCTGAGGTCAGGAGTTCAAGACCAGCTTGGCAAACATGGTGAAACCCCATTCTCTACTAAAAAATACAAAAATTAGCCAGGCATGGTGGTGTGCGCCTGTAATTCCAGCTACTCAGGAGGCTGAGGCAGGGGAATTGCTTGAACCCAGAGGTGGAGATTGCAGTGAGCCAAGATCGCACCACTGCACTCCAGCACTCCAGAGCGCACTCTTGTCCACTCGCAACAGAGTGAGACTCCACCTTAAAAAAAAATAAAAACAACAACACGACTCCTGGCCTAATGGACTGATAAGGTAAACAAGAAGAAAGACACAGGCCTGTACACATAATAGAAATTGGGTGTGTACCAGCCTGGGCAACATGGCAAGGCTCTGTCTCTGCAAAAAATAAATTAGCCAGAGGTAGTGGCTCACACCTGCAGTCCCAGCCACTCAGGTGGCTAAGGTGGGAGGATCACTTGAGCCTGGGAGGTTGAGGCTGCAGTGAGCCATGATTGCAGCACTACACTCCAGCCTCCAGACAGAGCAAGATCCTGTCAAAGAAAAGAAAGAAAAAAGAAAAGAAAAGGAAGGAAGGGAGGGAAAGAAAGGAAAGAAAGAGAAAGAGAAAGAAAAAGAGAAAAAAAGGAAAGAAATTGCATGTGTGTACATGCAAGCAAATTTCCCATACCCCGTTAGAATATGAGGAAGCAAACAGATGGAAAGAATCAATAACGGGGCAGGGCGCAGTGGCTCACCCCTGTAACCCCAGCACTTTGGGAGGCCAAGACGGGCGGATCACCTGAGGTCAGGAGTTTGAGACCAGCCTGGCCAACATGGCAAAACCCCATCTCTACTAAAAATATAAAAATTAGCTAGGCATGGTGGTGCATGCCTGTAATCCTAACTACTTGGGAGGCTGAGGTTGGAGAATTGTTTGAATCGGGGAGGTGGAGGTTGCAGTGAGCCGAGATCTTGCCACTGCACTCCAGCCTGAGCAACAAAGTGAGACTCCGTCTCAAAAAATAAATAAGAAAAAATGAATGAGACATTCTTCTTTTATTAAAATAAAACCCATCCACCACCCCAAGGTTATTCCAGAAGGAAACTCTCCACCAATAGTGGTGGCACTAGACATATACTGAGAGACCCCCAAGAGGGAAGTGAAGCCATGGGGGCATCTGGGGCTACATGGTCTATCTCGCTACACAAGGAGGCCCTTTACAAGGCTAGCTGCCATTTTCTACCAAGACAGAAGGACAGGAACCTTCCAAACAGGGCAGCCTGCAGGCCCTGCACCTTCAGGCCCCATTCTCAGACACCTGTACAACCCCTTAAGCCAGACGGACTCACAGCTGTCTCTGGAAAGTTCTTCGTTACCTGACTCTTTAGACACAGGGTTGGCTGGAGGGGCCTCTCCCTCATCTTGTACATCTTATGAAGCCCCTTACCACCCACTGTGTTGCTGTCCCACTCAGCTGAAGGGGCTGGCCAGTCCCGCATAAACCCTCCAGCTCTGAGATCAGCCAATCTTCCCTGGGCACTGCTCTCTCCCCCAGCAAAAAAGCCAAGAATTTTCCCCAAAGCTTATGGTGAGGAACCTGTGTGTGTGTGTGTGGTGTGTGTGTGTGTGTGTGTGTGTGTTTGAGATGGAGTCTCACTCTGTCAGGCTGGAGTCCAGTGGCATGATCTCGGCTCACTGCAACCTCTGCCTCCCGGGTTCAAGTGATTCTCCTGCCTCAGCCTCCCGAGTAGCTGGGACTACAGGCACCTGCCACCATGCCTGGTTAATTTTTGTATTTTTAGTAGAGACGGGGTTTCACCATGTTGGCCAGAATGGTCTCGATCTCCTGACCTTGTGATCCACCCACCTCGGCCTCCCAAAGTGCTGGGATAATAGGCGTGAGCCACCGCACCCGGCCAGAACTGATCTTAATTCTCAAACCAGTAACCCTAATGAAGCGTCTTCGTTTCAGGTGGGCTCATTCAAAACGACATTTTCAGGCTTGGTGCAGTGGCTCAAGCCTGTAATCCCAACCCTTTGGGAAGGGAGGCAGAAGGATTGCCTGAAGCCAGTAGTTTGAGACCAGCCTGGGCAACATGGTGAGACTGTCTCTACCCACCCCCACAAAAAAAACATTTTCTCTTCTCCACAAACCTCCTGCCTCCCATTAAAATGTCACTCCCCCCAAAAAATGCAGAGGAAGAGGTAAGATTGCAGGCTATTTGAAAACAGGGGCATGAAGTTTGTCAGTTCCCTTCTGTCTCCCCATAGCATCTGTGTTCCATTAGTGTAGTGGCTGAGAGCGTGGATATTTCAGGCAAGATGCCAGCTGAAGATTCTCTAGTCATCTTGGGAAAGCCGCCCTGCCCCAGATGCACCACCTCTTCCTGTGTCCCAGGGTCCTCTCCTTGCGGCCCTTCACATCCCATGGCTTCTCGTGTGCGGGCCCCTCTTCGCCTGTGCAGTTGATGCCACCTTCCAGCTGCCACGTGACAGGTGGGCAGAGACTGGGGCTCCCGCATTCCCAACTCCAGCACCTGGCTGAGACACTGGGCCCTGGGATTGACTGTGACCGCCCTCTTCCCCTTTGGCAGGTCCTGTCTCCCACTTTCAACACCCTCACTTAAGGCCAGGCAGAACCCTTCCTACTGTCACCAGTCATTAAAATAAGGTTGCATCCCTCCCTTCCCTTCTGAAAATCCTTCCTGGGCTCCTTCTGCTGTTAGTGCCTTAAATGAGCACCCCTCACCTTTCTAACCTCGGCTCTTACCACCTCCTGGCCACCAGTGTGCTTTTGCTCTTGCCATTCTCTCAGCAGGAGTGTCCCTATCCCAGTTCACTCCCACATCAAGTGTGGCTCAAGCTGCGTCCTCCAGGAAGCCTTTCATTATCACTCAGGTCAGAACTGGCTCCCTTCTGGGCACAGGACTTTTCCGAGCCGGCCGCCCACTTCACTCTGCCTTTCTGTGGACAAGTCCATCTCCTGAACTAAGGACATAAAATCCTTGCAGACAGGGTCCTGTCCGTCACTGTATATTTCATGGTGCCTAATGGTGCTTTGTCTGAATGGACATGAAATGAGAACACACTCCCAGCTTCCAAGAAAGATGTGTATTCTCCCTAACAACAACAAAAGAGACCTAAATGGGCTGCTCCCTGAAGAGAGCCCTCAGCTCTTTTACCGTGATGCACACTCGGGGCTGGGTGTAGGCTGTGTGATCAAATGTATGAAGGAAGAAGGAACGGAGAGAACGTGGGCAATCAAGGCCTGGCACTGCCCTACAGGAGGCTTACAGGTCACACTCCCAGAACTGTCTCTATCCCCATGCCTCTCCTAGTAAGATTCATTACCTATGGTTTCAAAGAAAGTGCAGTTTCTAGGGAGTGAAGGAACACGTGAAATACAGAAAATAAAGACAGAAAAACACACAAATTATTAAATAAAATTTAAACAATAGAGGGAAAAAAAGTGTAGTTTGTTCTGCAAGCCACAGCCCAAAGAAGTCTATTTCCTCCCACAGGATGGCTAGAGTTTAGGAGCCACGTTCTCCTCTATAGCTCACCAGAGGATGCAGCCTGAAGAGCTCAGGGTTTGAAGGTTGGGCCTTGGGCGGGAGTCAGCTACTATTTCTAGCTGTTCTAGAAAGACCTAGAAACTTCCTGTGTGAAAACAGGATTAGGAAGCTCTGGGGGTGAAAATGCCATGCACGGAGCTGGCCCATGCCAAGTCCCTTCTAACTATTTTAAATTACATCTTTGGCCAGGCACGGTGGTTCATGCCTATAATCCCAGCACTTTGGGAGGCCAAGGTGGGTGGATAACCTGAGGTTAGGAGTTCCAGACCAGCCTGGCCAACATGGTGAAACCCTGTCTCTACTAAAAATACAAAAAAATTATCTGGGCATAGTGGCGCATGCCTGTAATCCCAGCTACTCAGGAGGCTGAGGCAGGATAATCGCTTGAACCCAGGAGGCAGAGGTTGCAGTGAGCTGAGATCATGCCACGTTACACTCCAGCCCGGGTGACAGAGCGAGACTCTTGTCTCAAAAACAAGAAAAAGAAAAAAAAATACAGCCTCATCAACATCTCCTGCTTCTCTGAGACAAAGGGAACAAACCAAATCAGGAAAATCGTGACAGAAAAATGACAGGCAGCCATTGTCATTTCCATTCTTATTCGTGGTTTCTGGTTTTTTTGGTTTTGTTTTCCCTTTTAATTTTTTTCTAGAAAAAAAAACACAACCCGGGGAATTTATATGACAAACTATCAGTGTCAGGATGGCAGAGGGAAAGAGAAAGAAGAGGAAGGCCAAAGACATGGGGAGTGAATAAAAAGTGGGTTCCGGATCGTGCGGAACAGTCCACAGGGTCATTTACAGGTCCTCAGGAGATGACCAGTCCCTTTGGCATGCAGGTCCAGTGCCTGGTCTTCTGGTCTGCCTGCTCAGACACCCAAGGGCAGAGAGAGCTGGCCACAAGTAAACCTGCCAATGACAAACTCAGGACTTAACAGAAAGACTTAGTTCAGTTCCTTGGCTTTGTGCTCAGGCATCACATAGCAGGCAGCCTGCAGCCTTTCTTGCCTGAGAGAAGAGTCCAGAAGAGCAGGAGAGTCACCTTTGAACACACTCTGGCATCACAGCAGTGAACTGCAAGCAGCCACTGGCTCGTGTGCAGATGTGGCCCTCACCACCCATGCAGGCATCTGTCCGGACATCCCCAGTCAATCTGGCCAAAGGATGGGACATGACAGTCCCTTTCTAGCCACAGCTTCATAGTGTTGTCCATTCTCCAGTCTTGCTCAAACTATCTATCACCTTAAAGGTTGGAAGAGATTGGAATCCATTTCCTTTTCAGCTCAGCAGGGGACACTGATTCCCAAGAAGCAAGTAACTTAACAAGGACAGGTTGGCCATCTGGATCTACACTGAAGGTCTTTCAAGTTTCATCCACTTTATGCCCAGATCTCAGGGCAGAAAATTCAGCCAGACCCAGAGCAAACAAGGTGACCAGAGTGATGGCTGAGCAAGAAAGTCCCAGCAGCACACTGCAAGACCAGAGTACATTCAAGAGGGGAGAGGGCACGTGGCAAGCTGGAGTCCCGAGTCAGAGTCTAGGGCAGCACTGGGTCTGAAGGACACAGCCCGGCCTGCTGGGCTGACAGTGTGGGTCTGATGCCTCACATGATGTGGCCCCACTGGTTGTATTCCTATGTGGAGGGTGGTGGGTTCCTGCCCTGTTGTGGCCCCTGTTCCTAAACTGAGGCCAGGTTCCATCTCAGTGCTGCAGTCCTGAGGAGCACCACGCTGGCCCGCCAGCCAGGCCACAGTCCTCAGCCCCTCTGGGTTCCACGAGAAGGCCCCAGGGAGTCACCGTCACTGAGAGGGAAGGGGCCAGGGAAGGGAGGCTGCATTCTACTGGGAGAGACTCGGGGAGGGACTACCATGGGCTTGGAAGGAGCTACAGCCCCAAATATTGCAGAGCCAAAAGGAATGGGATACATGTCTAAAAAGTGACAACAGTCTTGTCCCTATTTTAAAAACAGAATATTGTTGCTGTTGCCTGGTTTCATTTTTTTCCTTTTAAAACCACTCATATTTAAAAGGTGAAGGGCTGGGAGATGTAGTCCCCTTCACTCTGGTCCTTGATAGGCACCAGGGGGCCTCAGTCTCACGCTGGCTCCTGCTCTCCTTGCCTGGGCTCCAGCCACATGAAGCAAGGGCAGAGAGGGTTGCAACTGCTCTGCCTTCCCAACAGCGATTCCCTCTCCCCATAAAACCAGGGCACACGTGAGGAGAAGTCCAAAGAGTAAAGTGCACAGAACTCCCCGGAGCAGGTGGCCTGGGGGCGGGTCACTCCGAGAAGGAAGGGGTCTGGGGGGCGTCAGCCCAGAGCTACAGCTGTGGAGCAAACACTGATCCCTGTGAAGTGAGCCTCCAGGGCACAGTCCCCTTTCCCTTGGGCCCTTTGACACTTGTTTTTGGGACTGTCCGCTCTCAGCAGCTCTCCAAGGAAAGTCTCGGTCCCAAAGATATCGCCCATGCTGGAGGAAACTTGGATGACCTTCCCTGGCTGGTAATGACTCGTGAATGTGAAGGGGGCAGGATGTGGCAGGAGGGAAAGAGTACATTATAGAAAACCAGTGGACCTCCGGTTCTGAGAGCAGGGATACTTGGATGACCCTAAAGGCAGAGTCTCTCCTGGGGAAGGTTTGGAGAAGATGGTCAGGATCCTACCAGTGAGGCCTGCTGGGGAAAGGAGCTCCTCTGGGTGCGAGAGGAGCTGCAGAGTTGAGGGAGGGGCTGCCGAGGAAGAGAGCCCAGGGCTGGCATTAGGGTGTGTAAGCAGGGGGTGGCTGGAACTGGTTGATGACCTCATATTCCGCCGGGTAGGGCTCGTTCTCTTCCATCTCTGAGAGCAGCTCCAGCGCCTGCTCCTCTTCCTCTGTGGGGTAGTGGCGCAGGAGGTTGGCTGCCGTGGCCAGGATTGAGGCTCCACCAGCTCCTGCCACCAGGTAGAAGCTAACGGCGAAGGTGACATAGACCTGGGATCCATGGTACTTCTTATGCTGCTGCTGCTGGGCCAAGATGAGTTCAGAAGCCCAATAAGAAAAGCCAATGACGGTGGCACACTGCAGAACTAGGAGACAGAGGGACAGCACAGAAGGGGAATTAGTGAGCACTCCACAGCTAGGATGCTTGAGGACCCAATCACAGCCTCTCTACCCAAACCCCATTCTCAGAGAACCTGCCTGGCCCCAGACTCTGCAAGGAGGAGCTCTCTTGACCATGGGATTCCTGGCCTGAGGTTGGGGACAGCAGTCTGACCTGATCTAGGCCAGTCAGATTCCATCTGTCTTAAGGAGCAAATAGGGTCATGCAGCTTGGGAGCTGGAGTAGGCACACCACAATTCAAACCAGCACAGCAGTGCAGGCACGAGGGAGGACAGCAGCTACATACAAGAAAAGGCGGGTCTGTAGGGAAGCAGGAAGGTGGAGAGGAGAGAATCTGACCAGGAGCTCCAGGGGAGACACGGGAGACTGCCTGGTTCCTTCTTCACTCATGTCAGGTCTGAGCTTCAAATGCCATTTTAGAGAGCTGTGAGCTTCCTTGTGGAATTTCTAGCAACATTTCCCCTCTACAGCTGGGCTGAGTGGGTTTGTGATCCTGGCAAGTTAGCAGCTAGACTGGAGCAGGCTGCTGACACCCTGACACTCTGGGAAAGACTGGAGCTTGGCACATGAGCTCCTGGAAGGGTGCCTGCTCAGAGAAACCAGAGCCCCCACCGGCAACTCAGACAGGATGCCCCCACCCTGTAGCAGTTCCTCTCCCACTGTGAGCAGGCTCACGGCTTACCCGTTAGGATATGGGCGAAGGCATAGCGACGAGTGATCTTCAGAGCAGGATGCTTCGGCCCAAAGACATCCAGAAGGAAAGCGGAGAGACTACACAGGATGCCCAGGAAACAGAAGGCGGCGATGACCCGCAGGAGCAGCACTGTCTGGGGATTCATGCAGAAATCTGTAGAGGGAGAACCAAATTTTCACGGCCCCAAGTAACACTTGGTGCAGGAAGTCCCCACCTAGAAGGAGTTTGATTCCCCTCCACCACAGTCCTGGGAGCCAGGGCAGTTCTGGAGGACGCTGTCTTAGCCCCTGCTCCTGGGTGGTCTGCAGGGTAGCTGGAGCAAATTCCACATTAGCAGAGGCCACTGCTCTCCTGTACCTCAAGTCCTTCTCTTTCCAACAGGACTAGCCTAAGTGCAGGATTCTACTTCACTGTGTATGCCATGCCCTTCTAACCATTTTTAAAGACACTGACAGTTAACCTGACATGTTAATGCATTCTGCTAAAGGATATTTTGAGCTGGCAGGAAAAGCCTGACTTTGGAGCTGAGACAGCCAGAGAGGCTAAGACCATACAGGTCAATTAATGCTGATTCTCCATTTACTCACTCATTCATTCCCTTTTTGTTCCAAAAAGAAGTTGAACTTGAAGATACTATGCTAAGTGAAATCAACCAAATGTAGGACAAATATTTTATAATTCCACTCATATGAGATACCTAGAATAATCAGTTTATAGAGACAGAAAATATAATGGTGGTTGCCAGCAGGTAGGGAGAGGGGAGAACAGGAAGTTATCATTTAATGTGCACAAAGGTTCAGTTTGAAATGATGATAGTTTTGGAAACAGATAGTCATGATGCATGTGCTTAATATCAATGAACTCAACACTTAAAATGGTTATTAATACTTTGGGTGGCTGAGGCAGGAGGATTGCTCGAGGCCAAGAGTCTGAGATCAGCCTGGGCAACATAGTGAGACCCCGTCTCTTTGAGGAAAAAAAAAAAATTAGCTGGGCATGGTGGCGCATGCCTATAGTCTTAGCTCCTTAGGAGGCTGAGGCAAGAGGACTGCTTGCGCCCAGGAGTTACTGTAAGCTATAATCACACCACTGCACTCCAGCCTGGATGACCGAGAGAGACCCTGTCTCTTAAAAAAACAAAATATTGGCCAGGCATGGTAGCTCACGCCTGTAATCCCAGCTCTTTGGGAGGCCGAGGCGGGCAGATCACGAGGTCAGAAGATCGAGACCATCTTGGCCAACATGGTGAAACCCCGTCTCTACCAAAAATACAAAAATTAGCTGGGTGTGATCGCATGCGCCTGTAGTCCCAGCTACTCTGGAGGCTGAGGCAGAAGAATTGCTTGAACCCGGAAGGTGGAGGTTGCAGTGAGCCGAGATTGCACCCCTGCACTCCAGCCTGGTGACAGAGTGAGACTCTGTCTCAAAAAAAAAAAAAAAAATGTTGGCAGGGCACGGTGGCTCACACCTGTAATCCCACACTTTGGGAGGCCAAGGCGGGCAAAACACCTGAGGTCAGGAGTTTGAGACAAGCCTGACCAACATGGGGAAACCCTGTCTCTACTAAAAATACAAAATTAGCCGGGCGTGGTGGTGCATGCCTGTGATCCCAGCTACTTGGGAGGCTGAGGCAGGAGAATTGCTTGAACCTGGGAGATGGAGGTTGCGGTGAGCCGAGATTGCGCCTTCACACTCCAGCATGGGCAACAAGAGAGAAACTCTGTCTCAAAAAAAAAAAAAAAAAAAGTTAAAATGCTAAGTTTTATGTTATGTATATTTTACCACAATTTTAAAAAAAAGTAAAATAAAGAAAAGAGGAAGAAGGAAGTTGCGGCAGTTTAGAGAAATGTGCAGCTACAAGAAAGTATTACATAGATTAGGAAAGTTGGTAGACTATATCACATTTAGTTTAGCTCCCTCCCTGAACTCTACGAGAACAAAAGAATTCTTTTAAAAGGCAACCCACACAAAAAGAAAGGGAGGTATAAAACAAGGTTCCAAAAACTGGAAAGTAAAGGGAAATAGACCTACCTAAAAGGGACTCAGCAGACTCGGCAGAGCTGGGGACAAGCCATCAACAGGAAAAGCTAGGAAGCCACCACATTTATACCACAAAAGCCCCAGAAGCCTTGGACAGTGCCAACGTGCACACGTCAAGGGCATAAATGAAGGAAAAGGAAGAGGCTGAAAGAAAAGACACAGCACTCAAGGGGTTCCTGGGGGTCATGGTGCAGGGAGAGCCCATGACAACAACCACGCAGCAGACACACAGCAACTTGTATTTCCCTCCAGTACTTTAGCCATTCTTTAAAAAAACATTTCAACTAGACGACACTACCAGGCACAGTGGCTCACGCCTATAATCCTGGCACTTTGGGAGGCCGAGGCGGGTGGATCACCTGAGGTCAGGAGTTCGACATCAGCGTGGCCAACATGGTGAAACCCCGTCTCTACTAAAAATACAAAAATTAGCCGGCCGTGGTGGCGCGCGCCTGTAGTCCCAGCTACTCGGGGGGCTGAGGCAGGAGAATCGCTTGAACCCTGGAGACGGAGGTTGCAGTGAGCCGACATCGTGTCACTGCACTCCAGCCTGGCGACAGAGCGAGACTCCATCTCAAAAACAAAAAACAAAACAAAAAAACAAAAAACTAGATGATACTGTCTGTCTCCTTTGATAACTATGCAAACTGCAAAAGCTCCCAGAAGCATAGGGTAGAATAAAGGCTGAACCAAAAAGAAACCAGGCCATGATTAAGTATTTTAAGCTTTCATAAAAAGTAGAAATGGGGTCGGGCATGGTGGCTCACGCCTGTAATCCCAGCACTTTGGGAGGCCGAGGTGGGTGGATCGCCTGAGGTCAGCAGTTTGAGACCAGCCTGACCAATATGGTGAAACCCTGTCTCTACTAAAAATTTAAAAAATCAGCCAGGTATGGTGGCGTGCACCTGTAGTCCCAGCTACTCAGGAGGCTGAGACAGGAGAACTGCTTGAACCTGGGAGGTGGAGGTTACAGTGAGCCAAGATCACATCACTGCACTCCAGCCTTGGTGACAGAGTGACTCCGCCTCAAAAAAAAAAGTAGGAAATGGGCCTTAACTTCCTCTCCTTCTTCTGTTACAGCCACTGGCAAGTTCTTCTTTTATTTAGGCCATGGGTCACCAAGTGATTTAGGAAAATTTGGAAAGGGCTGGCAAGACTCAGGCTATATAGCGTCCTTTCCTGAACTTGATCTCAGGCTGAGAGGGTGTGGGGTGTGATCATCAATCTCTAGGGCATACCCAAATCACTGTGGCACTGGCTGAAAGCGTGTTCCCAGGTCCCCAGAGAGTCCGAGTTCTAGGTCTGGAGCAGGGCCTAGGAATCTGGATTTTAACAAGCAGCCCAGGTAATCCCCATGCAGGTGATCCAAGCCCCACACTTCAAGAAACACTGGTTCCAGACCTCAGAGGAAGGTGGACTGATGGGGGAAAGTCCAGGAACCTGGGGAGGGGACCTAAACCCAGCAAAGCTGACTCAGCCCAACAGATGCCAGCATCACAGGTTCTGGGTAGAGAGAAGCCCTGAGCCTCTAGGATTGAGCACGCATACCCTGCCTCAGGCTCAGAGTTCGCCCAGCAGAGGCTGGCTGGGCCCAGACAAGGCTCATACACCTCTGTCTGGCTTTGGGTCACCCACGAAGCAGCCCTCAGAACTATCTGTCATGATCTCTTGTCTGCTGACCATCTGTTTTGGGCCCAAGCATCCAGCCTGGGTAACTGTCTACTGCCAGAAAGCCTGCCTGTGTGTGAACCCTGCCAGCAACTGGGACCAGCCTTCATTGAACCCAGCCCTGCAGAGCCATAGTGCATGGGGCCTCACTGAAAGAAAAGCTCTAGGAGACAGGGGCTATCTCCTGGCTGTATTTTAAATCTTATTAAAAGCTAAGAGAGTTCTTCTTGGGGTCCACGTGGCATGTGGCAGGGATGGGGCAGTGTTCTTATAGTGCTTCCAAGAATAACCTACCAGAGGTCACATGCCGCTCTGCAGTAGGCCGTGTCAGATTCCACTCACATTACTGATGAGGCCAGGCAGTTGGAGTAAGAAAAGTAATATGTGCAGGCTTCAAGGAGCCTGTATTGTTTCTTTGGCTGGATGGTGAGCACAAGGATGTTCATTTGATTATCCTTAAAAATGTACATCCATGACATATACTCCTATTGTCTTATGTTTCATTATACATGAATTTTACTAGTAAGGAGACATGCACATGATAAAAAGCTTCCAAGAGGACATCCCTCCCCTTGCGGATGTCCACCTGCTCCTCTCCAAAGGCAAATATTGTTGGAGGGGCCTTGTATACCCCTCCTGGAACAGCCTGTGCACACAGATGGGTGAAGTGCCCCCCTGGGGGATTTACCACACAGCTCAGATGAGGAGTCGGGGGCTCCAGAAGGTGAAGTGGCTTCCTCCAGGCCACACGCTGCAGAGCTAGATTCCAAACCATGATCAGGCTCCCCTACACTGTGCTGCTCGGAATCACTAAGTACCAGACTCGGCCACTGTATTTTTCCCTGGAGATAATCAATCAATTCCTAAAGAGTTGTGCGTGAATGAGGGGTCAGAAGCTAACAGGAATACTGTTGGAGCCATCCTCAGAGCCAGCTGCTAAGCTCACTAGAGGAACAGCTTGAAGCAATGAAATCTCTCTAAGAAGCAAAAAAGGTTTGGGTCATTAAGTCCTCACATGGGGAATTATTGGGCAAAACCTGCCAGGCATGGTGTCTAAGCTCCTGCAGCATTGCAACCATCAGAGCCTGCTCTAGGAAGTGGTCAGGACACCGGAAAGGCTTGGGACCTGGCGCCGAATCCTAGCTCTAGCAGAGACTGTGTTACTTTGAGCAAGTCCCTTGAGTGCGCTGGACCTCTGTTCTCTCATCTATCAAATGAAAACAATAACATCTGCCCCACCCACCACCAGGGCATGCTGGGTCAGCTGACACCGTGCCCATGAAAGAGCAGCCACCTGTGCTGTTATTAACCAGAGGCTGTTTCAGCTGGGCCAGTGTGTCACCTCAGCATGCCTTTCCTTCTTCTACCAAGACTTCCTTGACCACACGTCAGCCCGTGTGGACCAAGGCCTACTAAAGCCAGACTAAGGGCCTACCCTACAAGTATGACAATATGATAGAGAGAAGAGACTTTTGACCTAAAACTCCAATAGGTTTTGTTTCAATATAACTGCCTTTCCCCACTCCAAAGCTGTGAGTAAACCCTCAGGGTTAGTGAGAAAACCAAATATGAAATTCCCTTTGGGTAACGTTAACAGATACCCCAGGGGCCTGCCCCATGTAACAGGTGGGTTTTCCTCAGAGGGTCTCAGAGCACACCGGAAGAACAGGCAGTTATCCTAGACAGGCTTGGAGCCCAGCTCAGAGACTCTTCTGGAGTCAGTATCTCAATGTCTTTCTCTCCTCCCTTCCTAGACGTCGGTACAGCAGGGAAGGCAACAAGCACCTGCTCCCATGAGGGGATTGCTAAAGAAAACCCCTGAAGGTTATGTATGTAGGATTTTATTCGAGAGAGAAATGGCATGCAACGCAGGACCCTAACTTGAAATTCAAGCCAGTGGTGCAGTCCACGATGCCCTGGCTAGACACAGAACACCTCCTACCTTCCAGCTGTGCTCTGGCCTGTTGATTTTGGTAAACACTGCTTGGCGGTGCCCTCTAGTCATCAGGGAAGTAGGCAGCTGTAATAGGATCCCATGGAACTGACTTTGCTCAAGGTCACTGGTGAGTCACCAGGCTAGATTTGTTTTGAAGGTCCTGCCTCTTCCTGTCTATCTGCCCATTGCTCTAACCACTCCTGACCCAAACAGTCTGCAGGCAGAAAGGCTTAAAAGGACTTCTGTCCCACCCCGCCTCCCTTCTTGCTGGAGTCCCTCTGAATTAGAGACACTTCCCCAATGCCCCAATCCCTCTTTATGCATCTGTGCAACCTGCTCAGCGTCTCCTCACTGTGACCTTTTTAGCTTCCAGACAGGCCTGCGACACAGGCCTCTTAACAGAGCCCTCTAGTGCCCAGCCAGGTTATCCCACAGACACCAACAGGCCCCGCAGGGCCTGGCAGTGTCAGCTGCCCCAGTCACCACCTATCAGGCACACAGGCTCTCCCTGGAAGGCCCTTGATCTTCCAGTGGCTGCTGTCAATTGTGATTCACCTGACTTCTACTCCCCAACTTCCTCATTCTCCAAAGATGCTTCCTGGGGCTGTTGCCAGTGCCCTTTGGTGGCCACACTTGAGAGGCAGAAAGGCTCAGAAGAAATGACTATCTGCGGCCCCTCTTTCTGGGGTCTAGAGGTGTGAGTCTATCTCCACCCAGGGCCAGGTTGAGAGCTGTGTGAGAAGCAGGCACCGCTTGCAGGGGCAGTGGAGAAAACCCAGGATGAGGTCTTTTTTTTTTTTTTTTAAAGGAAGGGTCTCACTCTGTCACCCAGGCTGGAGTGCAGAGGCACGACGATAGTTCACTGCAGCCTTGAACTCCTGGACTCAAGTGATCCTGCTGGCCTCCTGCTTCAGCCTCCCAAAGTGCTGAGATTACAGGAGTGAACCACCACACCCAGCCCAGGATGGGTTCTTTGGAGCCAGCTTTCATTGGCTAAAGCCTCTGAAGCTTTGTGAATGACAATGGGAGAGTGGCTTTGCCCTGGGATCACCAACTAAAGCCTCAACACTGAGGCGATGAAGTTATGACAAAAAGCACAGCTTTGGCTGGGCTTATGATAAAACTCAACTAGAATAGGAAAGTGATAAGCCTCAGGCAGCTTTGATGGGAAATAAACTCGGAGCTCACTAAGGTGTTGCAGTAAGAGTATGGACTTTGGAGTCAATGTCCACTCAGATTAGCTGAGCAAACTACCTAGCTTCCCTGAGCTGGGACCTTTTGAAGTGGGGCTGAAACAGTACCTACCAAATAAAGATGCTGTTTAGGAGGAAAAAAGCAGGCATGGGGTGTGCTTAGCATAATGTCAAAATGTGGCACTCAGGCAGGGGCTGAGAAATGGTAAGGCTGCTCCAGGGCCTGCTGGCTGCCCAACTCCCATCACCGGCAGAGACCTGGCAGGGTCTGTTCTCCCTCTGGAAGTATCTACATGTGGCCAGGAGCGGTGGCTCATGCCTGTAATCTCAGCACTTTAGGAAGCCAAGGTGGGTGGATCACCTGAGGTCAGGAGTTTGAGATCAGCCTGGTCAACAAGGTGAAACCTCATCTCTACGAAAAGTACAAAAATTAGCTGGGCATGGTGGAGCACCTGTAATTCCAACTACTCGTGAGGCTGAGACAGGAGAATTGCTTGAACCCGGGAGGCGGAGGTTGCAGTGAGCTGAGATGGCGCCGCTGCACTCCAGCCTGGGTGACAGAGCAAGAGTCTGTCTCATTTAAAAAAAAAAAAAAAAAAACTCTATATGCACCACATCTGTGCTTGACAGCTCTGCTCCCTCTTGAGATGTGGAATACTCCAGGCTCTCAGGTCAGGATATCTGTTAGGCCCTGAGGATCAGCACAGTCACACAGGATACTACATGTCTGAAGGCCCACTGGGTACCAAAAAACCAGTAGGTACAAAGAAAAGGGAGAGAAGATGCAATCAAGGACTTCCGGATTCCTTACTGATTCTTCTGTGATAGCTCATGAGGCACCACTGCCAACTCTCCTATTAATGGGCACAAACTGCTCTTAGGAGATGGCCACAGGCAAGCAAGTAGAAACTATACACAGGTTAAGGTCTCTAAATATGTGAGCAAATGTAATGTAAAGGTTAAGAAAACATGCTTTGCAAAAGACAAAACGGAGCCTGAATAATTTCTTTCTTTTTAATTTTTGAGATGGAGTCTCACTCTGTAGCCCAGGCTGGAGTGCAGTAGTGTGATCTGGGCTCACTGCAACCTCACCTCCCAGGTTCAAGCGATTCTCCTGCCTCAGCCTCCTGGGTAGTTGAGGCACCAGCCACTAGGCCTGGCTAATTTTTGTATTTTTAGTTGAGATGGGGTTTCACCATGTTGGCCAGGCTGATCTTGAACTCCTGACCTCAGGTGATCCATCCGCCTTGGCCTCCCAAAGTACTGGGATTACAGGTGTGAGCCTCCATGCCTGGCCTGGCCCGAATAATTTCTTAGAAAGGGTAAATACACATGTGAACAAAGAAGAACCTGCACCAAGAATTTACTTTTTTTTTTTTTTTTGAGATGGAGTCTTGCTCTGCTCTGTTGCCCAGGCTGGAGTGCAGTGGTGTGATCTTGGGCTCACTGCAACTCCTCTACTTCCTGGGTTCAAGCGATTCGCCTGCCTCAGCCTTCAGAGTATCTGGGACTACAGGCGTGTGCCACCACACCCAGCTAATTTTTGTATTTTTAGTAGAGACAGGGTTTCTTTCACCATGTTAGCCAAGCTGGTCTCCAACTCTTGACCTCAGGCAATCCACCCGCCTCGGCCTCCCAAAGTGCTGGGATCAGAAGTGTGAGCCAGTTCCTGGCCTTTCTTTTTTTTTTTTTTTTTTTGAGATGGAGTTTCGCTCTTGTTGCCCAGGCTGGAGCGCAATGGCGCGATCTCAGCTCACTGCAACCTCGGCCTCCCAAGTTCAAGCGATTCTCCTGCTTCAGCCTCCCAAGTAGCTGGAATTACAGATGCCTGCCACCACGCCCGGCTCAAAAATTTACTTTTATTTTTAACATGCCTTCGACAAGGATGCACACCAAAGTGAAATAATTATGAGATTGCTCCTTATGACAGCTGAAGTAAAACAAAGGATAAAAACTATAAATGACACGGCATCATTTTATATTGGCATCAACAGAGGTGGGGTAGTCCCAGCTCTGCCACCCTAAACTGGGTAGCCTTGGGGAGATCCTTCATTTTTCTGAGCCACAGCTAAGCACACCCCATGCAGTGCTAGATTTCGGAGATCTAGCTTTCTAGATCTGATGGGTCTAGTGGTGGGAAGGTGGTATGTGTGCTTCAAAGAAAGCAAGTACAGGGCAATGTGCTAAAAGAAAAACCACCAAGACTCACTCAAGCTTAATGCTCTTTGTGCCATTAGCAACATGACAGAGAAAAGGCTGCATATAAGGCCTCTGTCGTGTGCATAACTTTGGCTTTAATGAGCCAACCCAGCAAAGAGTACCATTAAGGTGAAATCTGGAAACAACCAGTTGTCCCCAACCTTCTACAAAATCACCCTACAGCTTCTAAAACTCAAGAGAGATGCAAAACAGTAAGAGAACACTCAGAGAAAGGCAACATTTGGCCACAAGGATGAGGCTTTTCAGCCTAGACCTGCAGAAGCAGAGTATGGTCCGATGCACAGCGGGGAACTTGGACCTTTTCACCAAATCCCAGTGCCTGAATTCTTCAGGAGGTAACACGCAGATATCTAACAGGAAGTGCTTCTGATAGGCGGTGCAGTAAACATCTGGAATGCATCACAGCCAGGGAATAGCACAGACAGGATAGCACAGAGAGGATATAAGACCTTCAAGATGGCTCAAAAGACCTTGGGGTTGATGAACTATGCTGTTACTAAGGACTGTTTGGGGTACATTGATCATTGTTAGGGTAAAAAGCAGGTGATACAGTCCAGTCCTGTCCTCACACTTCACAATTTTTACTGGAGACAAGAATGGGCAGGATAAACTATGGGGCCCATAGGACCCTCCCATCGTCTGCTGTCTATCTGGCCGGAAAGCATGATGATGAACAAAGCAACCTTGCCTCTGTCAGGCACACCTATAATGGTTCCAAGAGCCACATTCCGACTGTTGTACTGCGGGTGGCAATGGAACGGTCTTCCGATTACCTAAAATGCCACAGATTCCCTTCTTCTCTAATACGCATCCGATTACCATAGAACTCTAAGATATCTTTTAAAACCTAGTCATATTAAAAGTTCCTTTTTCTCCATTAATCAGTCTGCCCCAAAGAAGCTTTTCCGTATTTCACAGGATCCTTAGAAGAGGCCAGCTAACTGTGATACCTAGCACCCTTATCTTTTCTCGATACACAGCGTCCTTCCTCCAGCAGAATCCTAAAATAGCAGCAGTCCGGATTAACATGGCTGTGAGGAGTAGGTGCTTAGCTGAATAACATCAGAATTAATGAGGGGCCGGACCCCAAACAGAGCCACCTGGTGGGCATGAACACCAGGCAGTTATGGGGCCGTTTCCTTCAACCAAGTGTCTGGTCCCTGGCTATCTCTGCTTCAGCCAGAACACATTCTGTCCCCCACCGAGGCTTTAAGGGCCAGCGCGCAGCACCCTCACCTTTCAGCAGGTCCGGGTGCACATAGCCCAACACGTCGGAGACCCCCAGCTCCTGGCGCGAACAGGTGCCTCCGTGGATGTGCAACCAGGCGGGCTCGGCGAGGGCAGTGCACAGCGCCGTGATAGACAGGGCGCCAGGCAGGGCCGAGGCCAGGCTACGCTCCGGCTGCTTGGGCAGAGCGCTGCCTCCCGGGCTCCTCCGCCGGCGCCCGCCGGGCAGCCCTGCGCCTCCGGGGGCGTACATGCCCGGGGCCGCCCGCCGTCGCTCCGCAGTCGCTGCTGGTCGCCGCCGACCTCCGCGGGGCGCGCAGAGCCTGACAGTCCGGTGGAGGATAGCAACGCTCCGGGTTCGCTGCAGGTGAAGCCGGGACTGGGCTGTCAGGGTTGACACCAGAGGATAGGGGGGTGGGACCCGGGGCTGACGGAGACGGGGAGGGCTGCGGGAATTCGGGGGGCGGAGACAGGAGACTCCGGAATGGGACTGCGGGACGACAACCGAAGAGGGCCAGGGGCCAGATGGGGTCTGGGCAGACTCGAGTGGGGGGCGGAGGGATCGGGGATCGGCTACTGCTAGAGCAAAGACCCGGAGTCAGGGTCTCAGCCAGAGGATGCCGAGGGGCGGAGGACCGGGCTGGGCCGCGGGGATCGGGGACCCGTGATCTGGGACCGGCGGTTTGGGGTGCGACCTGTGCGCAGAAAAGACCCTCCCCACGCCGCCCACTGTTCCTCACCAGTCAGCAGGCCCCAGGGCTGGGATGGTGCTGCTCAGCCCAGTCACGGGCTTCTCGGCTGCCGGGGGCCGAGCGTTCCCAGGCCCCAATCCCGCAACGCCCGGACAGACCCGGGGCCGATGCACTTCCGGCTTCCTCCTCCTCTGCCTCCGCCTCCTCCGGCTCCCCGCCCCGTCCCCCGCGCGCGTCACAGCCTGGGCGCGCCGCCGGCTCTGCGCAGGGCCTCACGGGACTGGTAGTTCGAGGCGGTCCCGCGATGCTTTCCCTGCCGAGGTGAGGGGAGCGACTACAACTCCCAGAGGGTATGGCGGCCGCAGCAGTGGGCAGTTGAGTTTCCGGGGCGACCCAGGTCCTCCGGCGGAAGCGGGAGCCTCTGTCGGCCGCGGAAGCCTGGAGTGGGCGGTACGCAGACGCGCGCGGTGAGACCCGCTGTCTGCTCAGCGGACTCTGCCCGCCCCCACCTCCCCCTGCGTCGGGCCGACATGAAGGACTCGCTGGTGCTGCTGGGCCGTGTCCCGGCGCACCCGGACTCCCGCTGCTGGTTCCTGGCCTGGAACCCCGCGGGGACCCTGCTGGCCTCGTGCGGCGGCGACCGGAGAATCCGCATCTGGGGCACGGAGGGTAAGGCCCAGCCTGGTTGCGCGGCCCTCAGCGCTGAGGGCTCAGCCTGCGCGTAGTGCAGGCGCTCAGCCTGCAGGGGAGGCTGAACCTGTTCCTGGCGGAGGGAGAGTGGGATGTTAGCCACGCCGAGAAGGGCTTTACAGGCAAAGAAGTCTGCGACTGTTGGGAGGAAAAACGTCAGCAGACAAGCTGAAATGTCAAGGGAATTGTGTTAGCTGCAGAGGCAGGAAAATGGGAAAAGAGAGGTGTTAGGAAAGTGGCCTTCAGAGTAACTTGCGACTGGATGGTCACATTTTATCCCGAGGGCATTGGGGAACCAATAGCAATTTTAGATCAGATTTGTTTTAGAAAGATGCCTCCAGAGGTTGGGCGCGGTGGCTCACGCCTGTAATCCTAGCAGTTTGGGAAGCAGAGGCGGGTAGATCACCTGAGGTCAAGAGGTCAAGACCAGCCTGGCCAACATGGTGAAACCCCGTCTCTACTAAAACTACAAAATTAGCTGGGCGTTGTGGCGGGCACCTGTAATCCCAGCTACTCGGGAGGCTGAGGCAGGAGAATCCCTTGAACCCAGGAGGCGAAGATTGCAGTGAGCCGAGATTGTGCCATTGCACCCCAGCCTGGGCATCAGAGCAAAAACTCCGTCTCAAAAAAAAAAAAAAAAAAAAAAAAAAGCTTCCAGACGAAGTAGATTCATTTGCATCTTTGTAAAAGCTGTGAAATACACTCCCTGAGCTTTCCCCCACTAGCTTGATTCCAGTGCTAGCCCCTGATATTGAATGGCTTCATGGTGCTGCACCCAGCTCCAGAGCCTGGCCTGCGCTCCGCCTTTAGGTGACAGCTGGATCTGCAAGTCTGTCCTTTCTGAAGGCCACCAGCGCACCGTGCGGAAGGTAGCCTGGTCCCCCTGCGGTAATTACCTGGCCTCTGCCAGCTTTGATGCTACCACTTGCATTTGGAAGAAGAACCAGGATGACTTTGAGGTACCCAGGCTGGTTGGGACCAGAATTATTGCCTGTTTCCTCCCCAGGGCTGGTTCAGGAACCTGAGCCAACCTGCGCCAGTTGGGCTGTACCCATGGGAAGGGGCTTAGGGGTGTTAGCTGCTGTTAATTCTCATTTTCTTTCCCCTTTCACAGTGTGTAACCACTCTCGAGGGCCATGAAAATGAGGTCAAGTCAGTGGCTTGGGCCCCATCTGGCAACCTCCTGGCCACTTGCAGCCGAGATAAGAGCGTTTGGGTCTGGGAAGGTGAGGCCAGGTCCCTCCAGGTGGATTGGGAACCACCTGACAGCCCCCTCTGTGTCCCTGACAGGGTCGGCTCTTGGGTCCCCTTTTTCTCTCCCACAGTTGATGAAGAGGATGAGTATGAATGTGTCAGTGTTCTCAACTCCCACACACAGGATGTCAAGCATGTGGTTTGGCACCCAAGTCAGGAGGTAAGAGTCAAGCAGGGACTCTTGTGGGAAGGGCTCTGGTGTGCAGGCTTGTGCCCAGCCTTCCTCTGCTTTTCAGCCTTAATCTAGCTTTTACGGAGAGTTCCATCTGTGAACAAAAAACATTAGTCCCTTTATAAAAACAGATCCGGCTGGGTGTGGTGGCTCACACCTATAATCTCAGCACTTTGGGAGGCCATGGTGGGTGGATCATCTGAGGTCAGGAGTTCGAGACCAGCCTGGCCAACATGGTGAAACTCCGTCTCTACTAAAAATACAAAATTAGCGGGCATGGTGGCACATGCCTGTAATCCCAGCTATTCGGGAGGCTGAGGCAGGAGAATCACTTGAACCCAGGAGACGGGGGTTACGGTGAGCCGAGATCGTGCTATTGCACTCCAGCCTGGGCAACAACAGCAAACTTCATCTCAAATAAATAATAAAATAAAATAAAAGCAGATACCTGGAACTGACCTGTCCTTTGCTTCCTGGGCCACACAGACACATGTTGGGTTTCCTTTCACTCTTCCCCCAGCTCTTAGCTTCTGCCAGCTATGATGACACAGTGAAGCTGTACCGGGAGGAAGAGGATGACTGGGTATGCTGTGCCACCCTTGAGGGCCATGAATCCACTGTGTGGAGCTTGGCCTTTGACCCGAGTGGCCAGCGCCTGGCGTCTTGTAGTGATGACCGTACTGTGCGTATCTGGCGTCAGTATCTACCAGGCAATGAACAAGGTGAGGTCCATTAGTAGAGCTAAAGAAGACCCATCTCTCAAGGGGTTCACAGTCTGCTAAGACACGTACATGAGTCAGAGCAAATGGGGGTAAAAGGTAAGATGTGCTACAAGAGGGCTCTGGATAGAGTGCTGGAAGAATCAGGAAAGTTTTGTAGAATGGGTTGTTTCATCTGAATTTAAAAGGGTATGTAGGATTTTAACATGAGAATTTCACGTGAGAATTCAAGTGAAAACTCAACAGTGTGAGTAAAGATAACAATGGCGGGAATGCTTAGACTGAGGGGTGGTAATGCATTTAAATGGGGCATAGGACGTCTGGGGTTTGGAGAGGAATAAAGTGGGTTGGGTCGGCTGGTGGGTGGCCTTCACAGGCACGCAAAGTAGTTACATACAGTCTGCAACAGAACAGGGATGTTTCCTCGGAATTCTGCTTGAGAAACGCCAGTCTGGCTATAGTGTGTAAGGCAGATAAGCAGGGATGGGGACACGAACGGAGACACAGACTCATAATCAGTTGAAGATGAGGGTGAGGGAAGGTAAGTTAGGTTCTCCTTTGAGGTGCCCAGGACATAGGAACGTTTAAGGGCAAGAGAAGTCTGTCTTGCAGGGGTGGCATGCAGCGGCTCTGACCCCAGTTGGAAATGTATCTGTACTTTGTCCGGCTTCCACTCAAGGACCATTTATGACATTGCTTGGTAAGACTCCATCCCCCCACCCCATCCCATCCCCATAAATCAGGGATTTTAGAGAAGGCATACCCTATGCAGTCCTCTGCAACCCTGGGGGAGTGCTTGGGAATTGAGGGCAGCCACCCCCATTCCTTATCAGGCCTGACTCTACCATGCTGGTTTACAGCTGGCTGGGCTGGCATTCACAGGAGCAGAGAACAGTCCCAGGCTGTGAGGGTAGCACCAGCGCTAGAGGTTCGCACAGCTCGTGCTGTCCAGAAGTTATTATTGAATCTGCATTCGTGGCTGAGGGTTTTTTTTTGTTTTTTTGTTTTTTGAGACAGAGTCTCACTCTGCAGCCCAGGCTGGAGTGCGGTGGCGTGATCTCATCTCACTGCAAGCTCCGTCTCCCGGGTTCACACCATTCTCCTGCCTCAGCCTCCCAAGTAGCTGGGATTACAGGCGCCCGCCACCATGCCTGGCTAATTTTTTATTTTTAGTAGAGACGGGGTTTCACCGCGTTAGCCAGGATGGTCTCGATCTCCTGACCTCATGATCCGCCCACCTTGGCCTCCCAAAGTGCTGGGATTACAGGCATGAGCCACCGCACCTGGCAGTGGCTGGGGTTTTTATAGGTAACACTGACTCTGGCCTTGTGGAAGCTGGAAAAGCTGCACCATTCATATAGGAGAGTAGGTTAGAGGGTAGTTCTGGCCCTGAGAATTGATCCCTAGGAAATCCAAAACAGTGAAAAAAACTGAGCACTTAAGCTTGCTTTATATTAGCAAACATTTGGGAATCACCTATTCAACAAAAGTGAACTTAAGTAAATTATGGTAGAACTCAGCTTGTTGTATCACTGTTTAAAGAAAGGGGTTAAGAATACTTTATGATGGGGCCAGGCGCTGTGGCTCACGCCTGTAATCCCAACACTTTGGGAGGCCAAGGTGAGTGAATCATGAGGTCAGGAGTTCAAGACCAGCCTGACCAACATGGTGAAACCCCGTCTCTACTAAAAATACAAAAATTAGCTGGGCGTGTTGGCACGCACCCAATCCCAGCTACTCAGAGGCTGAGGCAGGAGAATCGCTTGAACCCGGGAGGCGGAGGTTGCAGTGAGCCGAGATTGCGCCACTGCACTCCAGCCTGGTGATGGAGCAAGACTCCATCTAAAGAAAAAAAAAAAAAACTTTATGATGGCTGGGCCCAGTGGCTCATGGCCTGTAATCCCAGCACTTTGGGAGGCTGAGGCAGGTGGATCACTTGAGGTCTGGAGTTTGAGACCAGCCTGTCCAATGTGATAAAACCCTGTCTCTACTGAAAATACAAAAATTAGCCGGGCATGGTGGCACATGCCTGTAGTCCCAGCTACTCAGGAGGCTGAGGCAGGAGAATCGCTTGAACCTGGGAGGGGGAGGTTGCAGTCAGCCAAGATTGTGCCACTGCACTCCAGCCTGGGCGACACAGCAAGACTCCATCTCAAAAAAAAAAAAAAAAAAACAACTTTATGACATGGGAAACTGCTTATGCCAAGTGAGGAAAGTGCAGTTCATAATTGCATGTCGTTTTTTAGGATAATCATAGTAGGGGAAAGAACTAGATTGCAGCATCTGAAGATATAAGTGGGTGATATTTGTGACTCCTTATTAGTTAAGGAAACATTTTAATAAGAGGTTTTTAGCTGAGGCCTGAAGTTAGGGAAGAGAACAGGCCAGGAACTATGGAACAGGTCTCTCTGGCCTAATTAGTCAGGTATACCCACTGATGTCACTTTCCTTCCAGGTGTCAGCTGACAGGGGCTCTGGCCACAGCTTGTGGGGATGACGCGATCCGCGTGTTTCAGGAGGATCCCAACTCGGATCCACAGCAGCCCACCTTCTCCCTGACAGCCCACTTGCATCAGGCCCATTCCCAGGATGTCAACTGTGTGGCCTGGAACCCCAAGGAGCCAGGGCTACTGGCCTCCTGCAGTGATGATGGGGAGGTGGCCTTCTGGAAGTATCAGCGGCCTGAAGGCCTCTGAGCTACCTCGACTTTGGACAGAGTAATGACTCCCCAGAAAACGTCATATAAGACTTTACCAGCCCCTGAGAGGACCAGGAGGAGCATCCTTGACCTTCATTTAACTTGGCTCACTTCTCTTCAGACTTGGGTAGAAGTGCAGAGCCACAGAATTGCTTTCCTTCCCCGCCTTTGACATGAGGCCTTCAGTAAAGAGCTACAGAACATGAGTACATTGTTATACCACAGATTTTTCTTGCATTAGGGCACAGTGTTAAATTTTTTGGAGGTAAATATACTATTTATAATCACTATATATAGTAGGAGGGGGTATGTGTCTCAGGCTTTTCTGAAGTTGCAAGACTTAAAGAAATAATCCATCTGCATCCCAAGTCCTATTTTATAAGGATATTCATAAAAATTCCATGGTGAATCCTTGTCTGAAATAGGTCCTCCCTTCCCAGTTTCTGTGTAAGTCTTTGCATTTAAGACATCCAATCAATAATGAAGGAAATTTTTTTCTGAATGTAGGTTTGAGTGAGGGGCACCTCTGCTTTCCCTTAGCAACCCTCATATACCTCCCTGCACCGTTACGCTGTGATGGCAACTGGGGATAGAAAAAAAATGGGGAAAGACAGGAATCCTAAAAGGGAGAGTTATTACTGGCCACAAGCCCTGTATTCTCAACAGGGATGCAAATTGGTTCTTCAGTAAGGATAAAAAAAAATCACAAGCAGTTGTTTGTGGCCCTCCTAAGGCCCACAGCACATATAGTGTGTCTGTGATATTCCATTTTCATGGCAGGGAGTGATCAGGAAGAAGGCTTCCTAGGGGACTGGCGATTTAAACCAGTTGAGAAACACTGCCATCAGCAGGCAGTTTCAGACTCACTCAAGTTGTCTCTTGACAGTCACTTCTAAATGGGTTCTAATGTGACAATGGCCTCCAAAACTACAGCCTTCCCTGAAGTTTAAGCTGTGACCTTAGATTTTAGAAGGACAGTGGGGCTGTACCTAGAATAGTGGTTCTCGAAGAATGCGGCCTGCAGATCCTGGGAGTCCCAAGACCCTTTCAGGGAGGATCTGTGAGGTCAACTGTTGGCACTGTGGCATGAATCAAGGTGGTGGCAGCAAACTTCTAGTAGTTTTGATATGTCCTTGATAGAACAAATAGCAATGGTTAACTATTAAATGTTGACCTAGCCAGCGCAGTGGCTCATGCCTGTAATCCCAGCACTTTGGGAGGCTGAGGCGGGCGGATCACCTGAGGTCGGGAGTTCGAGGCCAGCCTGACCAACATGGAGAAACCCCGTCTCTTCTAAAAATACAAAATTAGCTGGGCATGGTGGTGCATGCCTGTAATTCCAGCTACTCGGGAGGCTGAGGCAAGAGAATCGCTTGAATCCGGTAGGTGGAGGTTGCAGTGAGCCGAGATCATACCATTGCACTCCAGCCCAGGCAACAAGAGTGAAACCCTGTCTCAAAAAGAAAAAAAAAGTTGACCTTGAGAATTTATAATATTCTGAGAAAACTGGAAGCATGCATAAAGCCCCTCTGCTGTGCACTGAAGTATGGGTGCCTTGAGGAAAAGCAGTTACACAGTTGAGTTGCAAGCTGAATTGGCTGTGTTCAAGGCATGCCCTTTAGAATTGAAAGAACTAGCAGATTACGGTATTTAGACTTGAATATTTGGCTGATATTTTCTGGAAATTAATGGAATGAGCCTCTCACCTCAAGGGAAACAACTGATAGTGTTGCCAGTGATAAAGCTTTCAAGCAAAAATTGGAATTTCCGAAAATCTGTACTCCACCATGAGCTTTATTGTTGGGGATATTAACAAATGTGATTTGTATAATGAAATGCATTTCATTTGGAAGAATTCAATGAACCATTTTTCCAAGTGACCAGTACGTGATGTTACAAAATCATGCATGGCTCAAAGATTGATTCAAAAGTGTAAGACAGGCCAGTGGATTTTAATGTATTAACAATATAAGAGTGCATTAAGTTTTCGGAGTCTACATTGCCTTTAAGAAACTATGACTTGTAGTAAGCCGGGCGCGGTGGCTCACGCCTGTAATCCCAACACTTTGGGAGGCCAAGGTGGGTGGATCACAAGGTCAGGAGTTCAAGACCAGCCTGGCCAATATGGTGAAAGTCCGTCTCTACTAAAATTACAAAAATTAGCCGGGCGTGGTGGCAGATCCCTTGTAGTCCCAGCTACTCGGGAGGCTGAGGCAGGAGAATAGCTTGAACCCGGGAGGTGGAGGTTGCAGTGAGTCGAGATCGTGCCACTGGACTCCAGCCTGGGTGACAGAGCGAGACTCCATTTCAAAAAAAAAAAAAAAAAAAAAAAATCACTTGTAGTCTTGGTGTGGTATCAAAGAATAGCCACAATTAGCTGAAAAGGCTATTTTAAAAACTTTTCCAACTGCGTATCTGTGTGAAGTCAACTTACTTCAACAAAAAAGTTTGGATGTAGAAGCAGCTGTAAGAATTCAACTGTTTATTATAACAAGATACTAAAGAGACTGTAAAATGCCACCCTTCTCCTTGGATTGTTTTGGAAGTTATTCTTCATAAAAAATGTTAACGTGGGCTGGGCATGGTGGCTCATGCCTGTAATCCCAGCACTCTGGGAGGCTGAGGTGGGCGGATCACTTGAGCTCAGGAATTCAAGGTCAGCCTGGGCAACATGGCTAAACTCTGTCTCTATTAAGAAAAAAAATGTTAACATTATGATTTAAAAGTGCATTAACCTTAATCTAGATAATAAAAGCTTTTTGGGGCAACCTCCAGAACTGTGAAAAATAAATTTGTTATTTAAAAAGAAAAAAAAAAAAACAAAAACCTGAGTTTCTTAGTTTTTAGTAGTGTAAAGAGGTCCTAAGACCAAATCATTTGAAAACTGCTACCCTGAGGAAACTGCCCTTCAGAATCATCTTTCAATTTTGTGTGCATTTAATCTAAAGAACAGAAGGTAAGAATTTGAAGACAGTCGGAAGATCTGGATTAGAAAACCTGTTTATTAAGACTGGGTCACATCCAGCTAGTACATTTCAGTGCCCTTTCTGGTGCTGCCTCCCAGGAGCAGACACTGCAAATTTCAGAACCCCCATCTAGAGAAACCCCTAACCTGTGATCTAGCTTCCGAGGCTCAGTGTTGGTTCTTGTGGTAGTGCTGATGTGTGGGTACCACTGAGGCCAGGCCACAGTCGCATGTACCCTCCTCTGGGCTGACTCACGAGGCTACAGGGGACAGCACACCTAATGAGCAGGTCTGTCCTCCAGACATACTCATTAACAAGCACGTTCCTGGCTAAAAAATAACCAGATCTTTTTGGCCGTGCCCTCAGGTTGGAGAAAGAAAACTTTTAATTTGGAATCACTACAAAGACAAATGGTTTCTACAAATTATTTTATTAGAATGTCAGACTCAAAAGAACTACCAGGAACATGCCTGAAAATGCTATATATGATTTATGCTTGACCCATGACACCTGCTGTCACTGGATCCAGAGTGAGCAAGGGAAAGGAAGTGGAGGTAGGCGGGGACAGCACCAGCCCTGGCTGGCCAGACCTGAGGCCCACAGACCTGGTCCCCACAACCAGGATTCCTACAATGTACACATTCCTAATTCAGGCTCAACTCTCCTTTACCCAAAAGTAAATGCCTCAGGACTCAATCTGAATCACTGTCTGTCTCAGCTTCTTTCACATCCACGCTGAATTTGTACTCCTGGTCACATCCCATGTAAGCGTCACTCATGAAGTACAGAGTGTAGTTGTGGGCACCAGTGGCTGGGGCCACAAAGTCCAACTTCACCTAGAAAGAGCAGGCAGAAATCAAGATGAGCATGGACACAGGAAGCATTCTCACCCTTCCCCCATGCCAGAACAAATGCTAGGGCCAGTGGACACACTCACCTTGGCCTTCTGCTGCAAGGTCAGCCTCTTGATGGAGATGAGGCTATTGGACTTGGCATCTCCAATCACCACCCACCAGCCCTCTTCACGTTTCTGCAGTGATCCAAAACCAAGAATTTCAGCATGTAAAACTTGATGACCATAGGCAACCATGAAAATGGTACAGTTACAAAAGAGAGAACAAAAATCAGATAGCTTTCCAAAGTTTCTTCCCGAAATACAATTAGATTTAACATTTTAATACTATCAAAAGTTGTCTCAAACAGACTTAATTTTTTAAGTAGATGAATTCATTTGTTGGTTCTGGCTCATTTCCTTGTGCCAAGGTACCTTCTCCCACTTAGTACCTGCCACTAAGTCCAAGGTACTACTATTAGAGGTCTAGTCTTTGGGGCCTAGGAGCTTTGAGTTCCTTAGAGATACTTTTAAGTACAAGGCAAATCTGCCAGATGAGAAAAAGCTTAGGCTGGGCGCGGTGGCTCACGCCTGTAATCCCAGCACTTTGGGAGGCCGAGGCGGGTGGATCACGAGGCCAGGAGATCGAGACCATACTGGCTAACATGGTGAAACTCCGTCTCTACCAAAAATACAAAAAAGAAATTAGCCGGGCATGGTGGCGGGTGCCTGTAGTCCCAGCTACTCGGGAGGCTGAGGCAGGAGGATGGCGTGATTCCGGGAGGCGGAGCTTGCAGTGAGCCGAGATCGCGCCACTGCAGTCCAGCCTGGGCGACAGAGCGAGACTCCGTCTCAAAAAAAAAGAAAAAGCTTAACACAGAGCTGAATGTGCACAGAGATATCCACAGCAGGCCTTGCAGCCCTGTCTACGGGCTGCCCCGCTGTCACAAAGACGAAGAGTCCCAGTTAAAAGCAGTCTTTACTCAGAGCCTTGAAACAATTAGTTTACAGAATTAAACATGACAGTATCTGGTTTCTGCTATCAACCTTCAATTATTCTCCCATATAAAGAGAACCAGAATTTCTTTCTGGTGGTAAAAAACCAAGCACCCAGAAGCACAGTAAGTGGCAGTGAGAAAAAAGAAGAAACAACCAGGAAAGCCCAAGTGTCCTGCAGCCATCGGAGTTAAAGACAAATGCATCTTAAAGAGTCAGAGAGATGGACAATACTACACAACTGACGGGTTTAACAATGACCAGTCATCTAAATTTTTTTTTTTTTTTTTTTTTGAGATGAAGTCTCACACTCGCCTGGGCTGGTGTGCAGTGGGGCAATCTCGGCTCGCTGCAGCCTCCGCCTCCTGGGTTCACACCATTCTCCTGACTCAACCTCCTGAGTAGCTGGGACTACAGGTGCCCACCACCACGCACAGCTAATTTTTGTATTTTTAGTAGAGACGGGGTTTCACTATGTTGGCCAGGCTGGTCTCGAACTCCTGACCTCGTGATCCGCCCGCCTTGGCCTCCCAAAGTGCTGGGATTACAGGCGTGAGCCACTGCGCCCGGCCCTAAACTGTTTAAGCAGAAACAAACAGAAAAAAAACCCCATAGCCTCAAGATTAATTCTCACCCTTGTGAGCTGATTATCAGTCTAAAGTTTCCCTCCCTCAGGGACAGTGTGCCCTTGTACCAAGCACCTAGCCAATGGATAGGGTGAGTTGACACCTGACCAAGCCAGCTACCAGGACGCACCTGCGGGAAGAGAGGCGCAATGACAGGGCCTGTGACTTCCTCCTCTCGCTCCAGCTGCACCAGCACCACAACTGGCCCGCCACTGCAGGGGGAGAGGAGGGGCGCACGTCAGTGATGGGGCAGTGGGCTCAGAGCACACTATTATGCTGTGCCCAACAGGCACCACCTCTGGCTCACCTGCGGATGCTGTCCTTATCTACCACCTCATAAGATAGTTCGATATTAGGGTAGCGGTTACAAAAGCGAGCCACATCTGCAATCTGGCTGTCAGTCAGCTGAAGCAACGCGTTCCGTTCTTCATCCTCCATCTCCATGATGTCGAAAACACTCTCCACTCCCTGCAGTGAGTATTCAGACGTCAGGAAAGAGAGAACACGGGCCAACAGCAAATGACACAGGCAGCAAAGAGCTACTAATTTTACCTCCTACACTATCAAGTCATCTAGATAAAACAGCTGCAGAAAGAACACAGCCCACAGTTGGCAGGCTCTCTAGCATCTCAACAGGGAGCACCTTCGGAGGAACCATAACTAAAAGTTTAACTTACTGAGACTCACCTCCCGCAACCCACGCTCGGTCCACAACACTGGGCTCTCAGGCTCACCCACCTGACCCTCTAGGCTGACCCGGCTCACCTTGTCTGTGCAACGTTTGATATGCTCAGAGGTGAAGTGTGGCAGCTGCTTCAGGTATGAGTCCTTGGACCACATGGCTTGGGTGACCATCTGGGCCAGTTCCATAGCTGCCAGAGCAGGGCTGAGCCACCCATTGCTGGAAAGGACATCCACGCAGGCCTGGATGAGCCGGATTGCCTGAACAGGAAAAGGAGTATAAAAGTGGGCGGAGTTGGAGCTGAGATGTTTAGAGCACCACTGACCCCTCTGCCCCACACCCACACTCTACCTTACTAAGGATTTCCTCCGTATCTGACTGCAACTCAGCACTCAGCTGCATGCGAGACAAGTGAGCCTGCAGGAGCAGGTTGGTCTTGACGTGCGGATCATTGAACTTAGGGTTATTCAGCTTGTGGGGGACCTTCTGAGCCAACTACAAAGTGGAAGAAAAATAGCTGGTGATGAACAGGTGACCCTGCCTGAGACCAGCTCAGGCCAAAGCACCACGTGGCCCAGGCTCACACAGCCCTTCAACACCCTGAGGCATGTGGGTGGTAATGGGATGGAGATGGGTTTGAGGGAGGTATGGAGCGGGAGGACATATGGCGGGGGTCGGGGGATGCGTATGGGCGTGTTGGTGGCAGGGATGCCATGTGCTCTGGGCACACAGGCCGAGTTTGTTGTTCCCAGGATGCTCTCCTGAAGTCTGCTGTCCTCACCTGCCTCAGGAGATTGTCTTCATGGTGCCGGATGGGAATGTTCTCATACTCTGCTGCATTGGAGATGATCTCGATAAGCCCTCGCACCTTGGTCTTGGCATTGAGGGACATGCTGAAGAGCTCTGACAGAAAAAGGAAATGTGAGAGAAGCTAAAACCAGGCAGAGAAGGAGCAGAACTGCCCGGGCTCCCCTGCTGTCCCCTGCAGTGTCATCCCGCTGACAAACACGGGCGCACCTCTCATCCCAGTGGGCTCCTGACCCGTGTAAAAAGGCTCCCACAGACAGGACACGGGCCATGCCGGGCCTCACCAATGGTGGTGTAGTTGATGTAATAGTAGGCGGCGATCATGCCTAGGTTCAGAGGCGCCACGTCCATCTCGTCCTCGATGCTGATGCACTTGGACTGCTCCAGGTCACTCAGGGTCTGCTCCACCAGCTCTGACAAGTGGTCCGACAAGTGACGATGGGAGATGCCTATGGAGGCGAGAGGTGAGTGGGGAGCCTCAAGAAGATGCCCAGCAAAGACTGTGAGAACCACCAAAGGATCACGTGTGCTCCCAAGCCCACTGACCCTGCAGGTTGTAGTAATTGGGGTTCTGTGTCATGCGGCGGTACAGAAAGGTCCAGGTGAGGTAGTCCACAGCATCCTGCTTGTTCTCAATGGTCTTGGTGACGATCTCAGCATTGAAGTGGTCATGCATACAGTGGTCCAGGTGAGATTCTACTGGCAATGGCTCATATAAGAACTTCTTGAAGAAATCCTGTGGGTTGGAGAGGGAGAAGGAGTAATAAAGAATTAGTGACAACACGGTCACAGAGGGCCAAGGGCAAATCAACAGGGCATGGTCCCTGTGTGAGACCTAACTAATACCAAAATGGAAGAAGCCACACATTTAGAAAGTGCATCACTGGTGACAATACGCAGTGGGAACAGAGGTACAGCAAGTCACGAGGGCAGAGCAGTGAGCAGCCCAAGGAGGAAGGAGAGAACCAAGTAGAGGGTGAAGACCTCAACACGTGGAGCCAACGGCAGCAGCAAAAGCAAAAGGCAGCAAAATTCCATGTGGGTGGCAGGCTCGTCACAAAAGAATTGTGTAAATAAGAGAGGCAGAAGTTAAGAGACTAAAGTTACTGAAGACATCTATCAAAAGAAAGATTAAAGAATCCATTCTGAGGCTACGGATCCAAGAGGCTCCATGAGTCTAGGACTGACCTTCTTGGAGCCCTGACACATGATGACACAGCGCCCCTCATCGTCCTGCAAAGGGCGGTTGGCGTGGCCCACCATCTGAAGCACGTCATAGATGGGGTAATCCACATAGCTGGTGACAGAAGCAGGGAAAGAAGGAAAAGCCACCTCAACACGGAGACCATGCTCAGGAAGCCCAACTCCCTTCGCCAAGTAAGAGTAAAATGTTAATACGGGGAGACACGGACAAATCACGGGACGACTCTGTTTATGAATCTCTGCACTTACAACTAGCTTCACTGGCTGGCCTGTATAACATTTTAGTATTCAGTGTAAGGGCCATGAATTTGCTGCTCAAGTGCCATGAACCAAGCTACAAAACTATCTAATGCCAAAACCAAAATAACTCCCTATTCGAGGATCAAATATGTAAGTCAAACTTCCCAAACTTTTCTCCTTTAATTAAAAAAAATTATTATTGTTTTTATTTGTTTTTTGATACAGGGTCTTGCTCTGCTGTCCATACTGGAGTGCAGTGGCACAGCCACGGCTCACTGCAGCCTTTACCTCCTAGGCTCAAGTGATCCTCTCACTTTAGCCTCCAGAGCAGGTGGGACTACAGGTGCATACCACCACACTTTCCAAACTTCATAGTTGTGTATTTCGTGAGTCATCAAGTCACCCAACTTTAACCCTACCTAGAAGCAGGTTCAAACATTAAAAATGAACCCGTAAATAAAATTCATTTCAAACTAATCTGCATTTCAGGAAAAAGTTATTAAGCGTTGGGCCAGGCACTATAACTCACACCTGTAATCCCAGCACTTTGGGAGGCTGAGGTGGGTGGATCACTTGAGCTCAGGAATTCAAGACCAGCCTGGGCAACATGGTGAAAACCCATCTATACAAAAAAAAGGAAAAATTAGCTGGGAGTGGTGGCACATGCTGGTAGTCCCAGCTACTTGGGAGACTGAGGCAGGATGATTGCTTGAGCCTGGCAGGCAGAGGCTGTAGTGGGCTGAGATCATACCACCGCATTCCAGCCTAAACGACAGAACAAGATTGTCTTAAAAAAAAAACAACAACAAATTATGCAGGCTTTTTTATGAGAATGACTGACTCTTCTAACTTCTTTTTTTTTGAGATGGAGTCTCGCTCTGTTGCTCAGGCTGGAGTGCAGTGGTGCTATCTCGGCTCACTGCAACCTCCGCCTCCTGGGTTCCAGCGATTCTCCTGCCTCAGCCTCCCAGGTAGCTGGGATTACAGGCGCGTGCCACCACACCAGGCTAATTTTTGTATATTTAGTAGAAACAGGGTTTCACCACATTGGCCAGACTGGTCTCGAACTCCTGACCTTGTGATCCACCCGCCTTGGCCTCCCAAAGTGCTGGGATTACAGGCATGAGCCACCACACCTGGCCCTTTTTTTTTTTTTTTTTTTTTTGAGACGGGGTACCACTCTGTTGCCCAGACTGGAGTGCAATGGCGCGATCTTGGCTCACTGCAACCTCTGCCTCCTGGGTTCAAGTGATTCTCCAACCTCAGCCTCCCAAGTGGCTTGAATTACAGGTGAGTGGCTTGAATAACAGGCACCTGCCATCAAACCTGGCTAATTTTTGTAGAGACGGGGTTTTGTCATGTTGGCCAGGCTGGTCTTGAACTCCTGACATCAGGTGATCTGCCCACCTTGCCCTCCCAAAGTGCTGGGATTACAGGTGTGAGCCACCACACCCAGGCTTTTTTTTTTTTTTTTTTTTTGAGTTGGAGTCTCACTCTGTTGCCCAGGCTAGAGTGCAATGGTGGGATCTCAGCTCACTGTAGCCTCTGCCTCCCAGGTTTAACTGATTCTCCTGCCTCAGCTTCCCAAGTAGCTGGGATTACAGGCGCCTGCCACCACACTCAGCTAATTTTTGTTATTTTTAGTAGAGACGGGGGTTTCACTATGTTAGCCACACTGGTCTTGAACTCCTGACCTCAAGTGATCCGCCCGCCTCAGCCTCCCAAAGTGCTGGGATTACAGGCATGAGCCACTGCGCTCGGCACTCCTCTAGCTTCTTACTTGTCACTATATAGGTGTATGACCTCGACCAAGTCACTTTTCCTAATCTACAAGATGTCTGAGATTAATGACGTAACGTCAAACATTCCTCCTGGCTCTAATTTCCTACCTCTCCCAGCTGCTGAATAAGGAAGCACAATGACTAAAAAGCAAATGTGAGCCTAGGTATTGAGACACAAAACTCTCAAACACTTGGCTCTGGTGGCATCTCAGCTGTTAACTTCCCTAACACCTTTTCTTCATCCTAGCTTACTTTCTGTGTATCTGCAGATTCACATTCATTTTAGGAAGGAGGTCTGTGCTAACACAGAGCACCAGTTGTACTCACGCGTGGATCTTGCCATTGTAGTACTGGGTATCCATGATGATTACCAGGTGGGCAGCCACGTTCATGCCCCAGCAGAGACTCCGAGAAGCCACCACCACCTGGATAGCCCCTGAGCAGTAGAGGGGAGAGGAAGGCTGAGGGCAGGGGTCTCCGGGTGAAGTAGGCTCACTGCCTCATGGGCAGGCCGTGGCTTACCCTGTGCTATGTTTCAGAACTCACAGCAAGGCTGGCTAGGAACAAGGTCTAACATGAATGAGAGCTAACACATTGCTATGAGGTAGCTCCACGCTGCTGGTGCCTTGCTCTGGGACTATCCAGGAGAAAACAAGTCATCATAGAACAGAACCCAAAGCCCAGGAACACCAAGGCAAAACTACAGCTGATGGACTGCTCCTCTGACCAGAAAGTGCTAACACTCATGCAGCCACGGGCTGGCTCAGCCATGCCAGCAAAACAGAGATCACTCTAAGCATGCCCCAAACAGGCAGATTCAAGGGCCAAAGAGTGACAGGAAGTGATTCTGGCAGAAGAATCTCCAATGAGGCTCCAATAAACAGTATTAAAACGTAAATCTTTGCACAAAATGCCACAGGGCAACAAGAGACAGTGGCCAGCAAGAGTGAGCTCAAGGGAGAATCAGAGCTCTCCTCTGTGCTAATCTCTAAAGTCTAACTATCTTGGTGAGACGGTTTGGATCTGTGTCTCCACCAAATCTCGTCGACCTGTAGTCTCCAGTGTTGGAGGAAGGGCCTGGTGGGAGATGACTGGCTAATGGAGGCAGAGTTCTCATGAATGGTTTAGCACCACCCACCCTTGGTACTGTCTAGTGAATGAGTTCTCACGAGATCTGGTTGTTCAAAAGTGTGTAGCACCTCCCCACTCACTCTCTCGGTCCTGACTCCTGCCATATAAGATGCCTGCTTCCCCTTTGCCTTCCCTGAGGCCTTCCCAGAAGCAGATAACACCATGTTTCATGTACAGCCTGCAGAACTGAGTCAATTAAACCTCCTTTCTTTATAAATGACCCAGTATCAGGTATTTCTTTATAGCAATACAAGAACGGACTAATACACTTGGGGAGTCTGGTATCCACGGAGAATCAGCGGTCTGGTGGCCAAAGGTCCTGGACTCTAGAAAACCAGGTTCTGAAATAGCACAACCTGATGTGTCTGCCTGTTTTCTCACCTGGCAAGTAGGGATAGTGTTTGTCTCACCTGCCTCACGAGGTTCTTGGGAGGATCAAATGAGTTAACAGCCAAGAGTCCTAAACAGTATTTTGAAAATCTCTGGTATGCTGTAGAGAAAACACTGCCACCCGCACCCCTCAAGTTTAACACCACCACTTGGTGATACCCTTGCTATGCTCCCCTTCCGTGGCCTGACTTACCTGAGCTGAAGAGCTGCTCCACCAGGCGTCGCTCCATGGGGCTGAGCCCCTCATGCAGGTAGCCCACCCCATTTAGCAGCGTTTCCTTGAGCGTGCTGTCACTTAGCTTCTCCAGGTACGGAATCAGATCCTTCTCGGTGCAGTGCAAGAACCTGTGCGGTACAGGCACTGGCTCAGCTCAGAGTAGTTCAATTCCTGGCAGACACTTTGCCAGCTGTGCAGAACCTGGCCCCAAGCAACATGGGCTAACCCCACCCTCATAAAGAGGACACCCTTGGAGTAGGCCAGCCTCACTTAACCTAACCCCAACCCCCAGACGCCAGGCCCCACCTACCTCTGCCGTTGGATGTCTGCTGCACAGGTGGTGAGGATGTCAATGGCAGTGAGGCGGGTCTGCTTGCGAGACGGCACAAAGACAATGACAGGCTTCTTGGGCGAGTGCTTGGTGATAGCATGGTACACAGGCTTGGCCATGGAGAGCAGGCGGGTTTGTGTATGGCTGATGTTGAAGCCCTGGCGACCGGGGAGAAGAAAAGACACCAAGGTTATCAGACCTGGGTCACTCAGGATCTATGTGACACCCCACAGACGGATGAGGAGAGTGGGTCCTACCTGGATGTGCAGCTCCAAGGGGACGGGACGCACATTGGGATGGAAGTTGAAGGTGGAGGTGGCACTGCAGCCCAGCCAGTGGGCCACATCCTTGGCATTGGAGAGCGAAGAGCTGAGTGCCACAATGCGAATGGGCCGCTCAATCTGGGAGGAGATGTAGCGCATTCGGGAGCAGATCACTTCTAAGACAGGCTGGAAAGAGGGAGGGAGGGAGGGTCACTGCAGGCCAAGGCTCCCATCCTCTGCCTGGAGGTCCCCTTTGTGAACAGCCCAACAGCCTCAAAATGACCTCATTCTTCCTTCTAACTAGGAGCTCTCATGTGTTTGGTTCTACCTCCTCCACGGCAGCCAACCTCCACTAAACAATACTGTTTTCCTAAAGTACTACCAAAAAAGTTAACATTGTCCCTTTGGAATAGGGCAGCAGGTAGAATCCTCTGGGGAGAAGCCCCGAGCCTCCGTCCTCAGACCCAAACATTAGGTCCAATGCCAAGGCCACTTGGTCAGTCCCAGTCCCTCATCTGTGCTGCAAGGTCACGCCATACCCCATTCTCGCCCCCGATAAGGTGGACCTCATCCACCACGAAGAGGTTGATGTTCTGCACGTTCTTGCGCTGCTTCCATCGCCGGGAAAGTATGTCCCACTTCTCAGGGGTGCTGATGATAATGTTCCCTTTGCCCAGCAGCTTCAGGTCTGTGCTGGTCTCGCCTGTCAGGAGTACCACCTTCTTGTTGAGCCTGTCCTGGAACTTCTCGTACCAGTCCATGTATACCTGGCGGGCAGAGGAGGGAGGCAGAACAACACTAGGCCATACCAGGCATCTTTCACTTATGTGAGGAAAACCTGAGATGCCAAACAGACCTGTTGACCTGCAGATCTCAAGCTACGTTCTAATCCCATAGCAGCCTCTATGCGATGCGATGGGGCAGCTTTTTCTTTTTTTTTTTTCTTTTGAGATGAAGTCTCGCTCTTGTTGCCCAGGCTGGAGTGCAGTGGTGCGAACTTGGCTCACTGCAACCTCCGCCTCCCGGGTTCAAGCGATTCTCCTGCCTCAGCCTTCCAAGTAGCTGGGATTACAGGCGCACACCACCACGCCCAGCTAATTTCTGTATTTTTAGTAGAGACAGGGTTTCACCATGTTGGCCAGGCTGGTCTCGAACTCCTGATCTCCGGAGATCTGCCCGCCTCGGCCTCCCAAAGTGCTGGGATTACAGGCGTGAGCCACCACGCTTGGCTGGGGCAGCTTTTCTTTAATACACAAACTGAGGAAATGACCCTGCAAATTTCAGGGCTTAGAAAGCCTTCATACGGAATCACAGATGAAATGCTTCTTGGGAAATTCACATGACACAGCGCCACGTCATACCTGCTCTGCCAGGGCCTCCATGGGGGTGATGTACACACAGCGCCCCTCCGAGCTCTGCAGCAGCATTCGCAGGATGGCAAACTCTGCACAAATAGTCTTCCCGCTGCCCGTGGGGGCCCCCACAAACACGTTGTCGTCACTGTTGTATACAGTGTTAAACACTGGAAACCAACAGAAAGAAGCAGTGTAAGTATCAAGAAGGAAGAAGAGACGGACTGGGACATGGATCAATTGTCAAAACAAAGGACAACATACGAAATGAAGTCAGGCAGTTCTGGAGTGCAGACAGAGGAGCTAAGGCATCCAAGCCTCTAACTCCAGGCCAGCCCTACTGTACCCCCTTACCTGCTCCCACTTAACAGTTAAAGGGGAAGAGGCCAAGATCAAGAGCCCAGGTCCCCTGGAGATGTGTGGGATGACAACAAAAGCAAAGCAAAAGAAGCCACACATTCTTCTTTGCTTCTCAGGGACTAGGATGCGGGACAGAAAGGAACTGGATCCCTTTCTCTGCCCCTTCAACACTCTCCTGCGTTTCCTAGAAATAGCCTAAGGTAGAAAGTAAGAGCCTTATCCCTGGCATCAAGACTGAATTAAAATCCAAGTTCTACTATTTATCAGTTGGTTCAACTGGGGAACCCTCTATGCCTCAGTTCCTCACCTATAAAAGGAACACTAATGGCAGTATCTCCAATAGAGATTCCTTTTAGGCTTGATGGGAGGAATAAGAGAGAAAACACCGGTGATGTACTCAGCCATGGACTGAGGAAACAGTGCCTGCTCTGTGAATGTCCCCGTTATTTATCATGATGTGGTGAGGAGGCTTCAGTGCCACCCCATGGTTCTGGTTCAATACTTGAGCGCCAGGGGCAGGCCTCTAAGCCTCCTGGGCCCGAGAAATGACCATGCCATGTAAGGCCTTGCTCTATTGCCCCTCCACAGTGACACATGCAGAGCAGCAAAGCAACCAAAGGCTTCTGACAAAGGAAAAAGTCCTGGTGGGTCCCAGCGGTCACACTGAGGAGCTCCCAGACCTCCCAAGTGCCTGAGCACCCCCACTCCCCTGCCTGCCACAGAGCACATCTGTCTCCCGGTGACTTCAAAAGCCTCCAGAGGAGGGATGGAAACACTTACCCTGGGTCTGGATGGGATTGAAGAAAGGAAATTTATCTTGGTAAAGACTCTCAAAGGCACTGTTTCTCAGAGCAGACACGGGCAAGGGCTGCAGGTCCAAAAGTTCGGTTGGAGGGGGGTACTTCTCCGGCAAGATCAGGTGCCGGAAGGAGACAGGCAGCTGGGTCTCACAAGCTGCCAGAAAAGAAACAGGAAGGATATAAGCACTGCTCTCTTTCCCTCACTGGCCTCTAGATCCCCTCCATGAACACTGGAAACCTAGGCAGCATATGTATCACTCTGTCCCCAGCAAGGGCAAGCCCGGGACAAAGTGCAAGACATTCTTCTACTGTCCTTGGAGGGACTGTTCCTGGGGACTCTGGAGAGGAGACACTCACAGAGCCAGCGGTCAGACACCACTCGGATGAAGTACTGAGGGGGCAGCGGTTCAAAGACAGGCACGAAGAATGTAATGAGGTGCTCGTCCTGGGCGTACTTGGCCTTGAGGAGAAAATACTCATGGTGCAGAATCACCTCGCTGTCCACATCCTCCACCAGAATCCAAAAAGCCTCGGATGAACCATGCACCTGCCAACAGGAGCAAGGGTAAAAGGAATGTGAGTCAACGTAGACTGAGTGCCTCCAATCCATCTCCTCGGCCCAGCAACGTAGACTGAGCACCTCCAATCCAGCACCTCTGCCCAGCAAAGCCTCACCTTTTCATCCCACTGGAAGTCTGGCGTGATGGTCAGCTCCACCTTCAGGGTGGAGCGTGTGATAGGCTGCAGGTGCACTGACAACTCCAACTTGGGAAACAGATGGACATATTTGTGGATGGTCTTCCCCATCTTTGGCATGCGGATAAGCTCCCCTACAAGGAAATGAGAGTACTGAGGCTGCAGCCCAGCCTGCCTACTATACTGCAAACTGGGCCTGAGGGCCACTGTGGGAAAGGGGTAGGGTCTTCCCTTTATGGTCAGTGGAGCCCAGGATTCCAAGTCCCCAGACCAAGGGCCAGCCTGTACTTCAGTGGGACTTGGGGAGTGAACACAGGATACTAATGCACAGGCCTAGGAACAGGAAGACTACATAGGCAAACTGGGAGAGACACCCAGGCAGTGAGGACAAGGGCGAGAGCATCCCACACACCAATCTCATTATGATTCAGGTCGTACAGACGCTCAAAGGGGAAATTCTTCTTCTCAATCTTCTTCACTACTTCCTCAGGGAGTTTCCGGAACTGGCGCAGAGGACACATGGACTGCCACCTATCCAGGAAGGAGGCAAAGCTGTTGGTCCCTTCTGCAGGGATGTGACAAACCACCCACTTCATGGCTTCCAATAGTTTAGCAGTGACTACACAAAACACAGTCATTAAAGGCAGACACTGACACTGTGCCAGCCCTGGCCTCCACCACAGAGGGCCTTCCCTCTTCTCAATGTGCACCAAGGTTCAGGTCATACTTCCGATGTCAGGTCTGGAGATCAGATGCACCCTGAGGCTTTCCCATCAGACCCTTGGGTTGGGGACCCCCACTCATGGTGACCAGCATCCAGCTCACTGGGTCCTTACATGCGTTTGTCGATCATCTTGCAGAGGTTCAGGGTCTTGTCTGTAAGCTGTGCCCAACCTCGGTTCAGGACAATTTCAAATATCGCTCGCATCAACCGGCCAGCCGACTAAGCAAAGAAGCAGCATTCCCACTGTTAAGTCTCGACTATCCCCAGGCCTCATGAGCCACTCTACACACGGTTTCATTACCTCCAGCTCTGACACAACCACCCACCCTAACTCAAAGGCAAAGTCCCCTCTGTCTTTACGCCTTTCTCCGTTCCATATAGTAGATGCTTGCCGGATGGGGAACAATTAGAAGAGTGCTGCGGCTCAAGGTCACTGCACAACATTTTAACCTAACATTCACTGCATGATTTTAAAGCTTTTGAGTCATTTAGCATTTAGAGTTCTAGGAAGAGTTGAGGGTACCAGTGACCTGTTCTTAGAGGTAAAGATGAAGAGCAGCTAATAAAACCCTGTGCCATTTTTGGATTTATTTATGAGCTGTGCAGCAACAGTGGGAAATCACTTTGCTGCTGGGAAGCAGACACTGCGTGCTGTGGCTCTTCCTGTCTCTCTGAGGGCCCGTGGAGCCTCGAAGCATTCCCTCTTAAGGTCTTACCTTTCCCACGTGCTCAAGATGTATACTACAGAGTGGCTGTACCACACATGCACCAACCAACTACCCGGCAAGAGCAGAACTAAGCACTCCTCCCATCTCACTAGGGTCGGGCCTCCTTTCCCCAGGATGCACACAGCACACAGGGATTGAACTGTTCAGGCCCCTTCTCACAGCTGCCATACAACTCCGCTCTCACCTGTGTGACATACACCATGTCAGCCATCAGTGCAAAGCCCTCCAATTTCAGCTGTGAGATGAAGGCTTGCAGAAGAACGTTGATCTGTAAAGAAGCAAAATCAGCCAGCAGGAGACCAATCACTGAACAGTCCAAGAAAGGGAATTACATTTCTGCTCTGAGCATCCAGGCCAGGTGAGATTTGCTACAGGTCTTGATTTACAAATACTAAATAATTGTTATTTCATATAAAAAGAACATGCGAGAAGGCTGCAAAAACTAGGAGAACTGAGCAGGAAACCACACATGAACCCAAATTCAAGGTTCATCTTTTAGAAGATTATGAAAACCACTTAATCCTCATCCTTATCAAAGCAAAGAGGAGAGGAGCTCACCTTAGCACTGGGTTCCTCAATGCTCTCCTTTACAGGGATAGGCACCCTCTCCAGCAACTTCTGCAGCTCCAGCTTCTCCTCCTGCCACAAGGAGGAAAAGGTCAAGGGAAAGCCTTGTGGCCGAGGAGGGACACCATTCAGTGACTTGGTGAGCACCAACTCCCCGCCCCATCATGCTGCATAGGCTCACCTCTCTCACTGTGATGTTCTTGAACTCAGAGGACAATGAGAAGACCCTGAAAAGCTCAATCTCACTCAGGGTGGGCTTCAGCAGCTGGTTGTAAGTCTGCACTGTATCATTGGTGATGTAGTAGTGGCTGGCTATACGGCCCAGTTCTGTCACCTGGAGAGAAGGTAGACTCAATCCAGTGCTGACTATTAATGAGCTCCAACCTCTAACTGTGGACCATAAGTTACTGTCCTATAGGTTTTTTGTACTTTTTTTTTGGTAAAGTATATGACCCAATGTCATTATTGTCCTAATAGGACAACTGGATGAAGTCACAGCAGTACAAGTGCCAGGCCCAGGCACATGAAGAAAAACAGCAGAATAAGCTGACCCATAGTGAAATGATGTCTGCACGGACAAGACAGCTGAATTATCCACCTCAAGTTATGGGAAAAGCTACCCATTTTTCTGCTGTTCTAAGCAACAGGTGATTAGATAGGCAGTACTCACATCAAGAGAGCAATCTGAAAAATTTTTTCCTGGGCCAACAACTTTTGCTGAGACCTTTGCCTCAAAACCCTCACCCCACGCACCTGGAAGTTGCCCGTCTTCTTGTCGTACTTGACCAGATTGTTCTTGTCCAGCATCAGGGCAGCTGTATGAACCAGATCTAGTCGGCGCTGGTCCAGCAGGGGATCTCCCTTGAGGTCATCATGAGAGATGCCATAGAGGGTTGGGGATCGCAGCATTCGGATATAGAGGTAGGCATAGCCCAGCCAGTTCACCGCATCCTACAAGACACAGCTCATGGTTCTTAGCATGGAGAAACTCTTGATGTCCAAATGACAGGCTCCCATGAATTGCTTAGAAATTAATTCCCAACTACAAGGATGCATATTACATCGTATTCTGAATGTTTTTAGCATTTCATTATTAAAAAGATCTAAGCGTCTTCTAAGATCTTGGTAACAAGGGGAACTATCTGCCAGACCCAAGATGTGGGTGCAGGGATGGAAGGCCTCGGACGCTGCTGGCCCGCAGCACAATAGGGACCGACCCACTCCTGGTGCCTTGGTGTCTGCGGGGAAAGCATGAAGCACAACAAGCAGTCCTCCCCTACCTTGGCATTCTGGACATTTCCTAGCACGATTTCTGCATTGAGCATGTCAGGAAGCTTTGAAACCATCTGGCTTTCAATAGGAAGTTGTTGATTGAGGAGGGACAGGTAGTACTGTAGCTCCCCATGAGATGTGATGAGTATGCCTTCACCCTTGGTGTCATACTGGGGTCTTCCGGCACGTCCCAGCATCTAGATCAGAGACAGCGAACCAAGAATGCTATGTCAAGAGAATGTCTGAATTTTGATGCAGGTATCTACATTACAGAACTAGACCTCTGATCTGCTAGCTTTCCAGCATCCCTGCATTTCAGGCAAGGATACTGATCCCTGCTGAGAATAAACTCAAAAGGCTCTGTACCTGCAGAATGTCCAGTGCTCCCAGTTCTGTCCAACGCCCCTTCTCTGGACTGTACACCTGGGTGCCTTTGATGATGACTGTATGTGCAGGGAGATTCACACCCCAAGCTAGAGTTGCTGTGGAAACTAAAACCTACAGAGGCAAAACAAGGTAATGAGGAGAACAGATGCCATCACCAGGGGTTAATATCCCTGGCTTCTCTAGGCAGTTGGCCTCAGAGCTTCTCTCAGGACTAGCCGGTAGGGCGCGTGGGGTCCCAGTACTTGTCAATGTGACACCAGAATAAAGAGGAAAGGTTTCCTTGGGTTCCTCATCTATTCAGTAATGAACATTTCAAGGTTCCAGAGGCACAAGTGCAGACTTGTATTAAACAACCTTAAAGTTACTAGAAAAGGTAAAACAGAGCCTATCCGGAAAGAGGGAACGACAAGGGCACGCGTGCCCCCATGAGACACTGTTTGGAGCTATCTGAAGTCACCAAAGTGCTTGCTTCACTATGCTTCTCAGACTATCCTAAACTCAAGCAAGGTGGGAAGAGTTGGGAGAGTAGCATAAGGTTCTATTTATTGTGTCCACCACAACCCTCTGACCTGGGCTAGCTGGGCCAGAAGCAATAAAGTACCAGGAGCAAACATGGCACAAACTTGACATTGCCCATCTTCTGAAGTATGTCCCACCTGCTCCTCCAAACGCTTTGCACCCCCTCACCTGAATATGTTTATCAGCAAAAAGATCCTCCACGAGTGTTCGGTCAACCCTGGTCATGCCTGCGTGATGAATAGCAAAGCCATAA
Source organism: Homo sapiens (assembly GCF_000001405.40). Lineage (NCBI taxonomy): Eukaryota > Metazoa > Chordata > Mammalia > Primates > Hominidae > Homo > Homo sapiens. Next base: position 96,291,477 of record NC_000002.12, read on the forward strand.
GGCAGAAGATCCTTCAGCTCTAGGTTCTGTGGAACAAAGAACCGGGGATGAGGCGAGCCTTCCTGTAGGACTCATCCAAGGACTAAGGAAATCTCCTCCCATGAGACCCTGCCCCTTAACTATTATGTGGAATAGTAATAATCACATCCAGACAATCAACCTTAACCCATGGGAAACAACAATACCACAGTACAGTCCTAGAGGAGCTGTCTGGGGCCTGAGATGGACACAGCTGCCAGGTAGGAATGAGAGAACCCAGCTGGCCCCTCCTCACCTTGCACTGCTCAGCTTCTGTTCGCAGGACTTCTGTGGAGGCTGAGCCCTCCCTCAGAAACAGACCCAGAGTGTCCTTTTCTAGGCACATGTCCCGGATGGCCCTGGCTGTCTTTCCAGTCTCCTTCCGGGAGTGGACAAACACCAGCACCTAAGGAGAAGCCACAGTTTGCTACAGTCACGAGATACTCACAGCCCCAGGGCACCTGCAGCAGGAAGCAGAAGTTGCACCATCACCACCAGAAGCCAAGGTCCTGGAGAGGGGCAAGGGCAGGAATGTGTGCAGGCTCAGAGGAAGCCTAAACACGGCTGGAAAGACTTTTAAGGGAATGCACCCACCAAGTTCACAGTCCTGGAGCTGAGAAATTAAACCAACTTCAACATCCTATCTTGAACAGCAACTTTAAATAGACTACAACTACAAATTCGGGCCTCTCAACTCAGAATTTATGTTCAAGCACCTAACAAGAGTCAAAGCTGCATGAAAATGTGTCTGCAAAATAACAACTAAAACATTACACTACTTATAAAAGGATTTAGGAAATAAGTCTGAGACTAGTACACTGTTGTAGGGAATGAAGTCTTCCTAGTATTTAGTGCCAAGAAAAGATCTGTCTCTTCATATAAATTCATATGCTTCTTTTCATCAGACAAAAAGAAATACAAAACCAGTCACTTTTCCTTATTTTTTGTTAGTTAACATTGCTCAACTCGACTTTCAATTTAAAAATTCTATCACACTGTCTAGTAAAATGCCCTCTAGTTTTTCATTTTCCTCTTTTTATTGTCTTGCATTTTTAGTGTAAGTGACCCCAAATCTTTTATGGAGGGACCCTGGATAATGCGAATGCACAAAACAATTATCTGGGACTGGGGATTGCTTGCTGGGGGGATTTTTAATTCTCCAACTCTCTAATAGTTGTAGGGCTCTTCATGTTATCTATTTCATCTGGGCTGAGTTTTGCTAGTTAACTGGTAGTTGTTGGAGAACTGGTCCATTTCTTCTGAATTTTTAAAGTTATGAGCATAAAATTACTCATAGTATTCCCTTATTATCCTTCCAGTGGCTATAGGTTCTGTAGTAATATCCCATTTCATAGCTGATATTGGTGATTTATGTTGTGTCTTCTCTCTTTTAATTTCTGTCAATCTTCCCCAATTATTGGTGAATCAAACATTCGAAAGAATGGGGTTCAAGAGTAACCATAAACCACGGGCAAACCTGATTTTTTCCAGCATGTTCCATGATTTTTTCATAGACGATTTCATTCATGATCTGGAAACGCTTGATAGCTTTTTTCTCTGTGATACCCACATATGTCTGTTCCAGAGGCACTGGACGGAAGCTAGAAGTTCAACAGTTAGACAAATGAGGCTTTGGCAGAAAATACTGTGGGAATAAACAGTCTTTTTCACTGCCCCAAGAGCAATATTCCTCCTTTATGATTCACACCACATCAAAACCCAAAGGCCCTTCTAAAACCCAACCCAGTAGCACTCCTTGGAAAAGAGGAAAGAGAGCAGGATGGTCACCTTGGCAGAACTTTGCCCAGTCTTTCCTGATACCTGTTGTCAAAGTAAAAGAGACCCTTGGCAGGGTCAACACGTAGAAAGGTGGCTACATCTTCATAGTTGGGTAGGGTGGCACTGAGACCAATGAGTCGGACATCCTCTTGGGTCATCTCAATGTTTCGGATGGCCCTGGCCACTAAAGCTTCTAAGACAGGACCTCTGTCATCGTGGAGAAGATGAATCTCATCCTACGGAATTGGAGGACAGAAATTACCTCTAGCACTAGAGATACATAGTCCCTTTTCCTGGAATTGTCCCATATTGTAGGCATATAACCTAATATGCCTAAGAAAAAAGACAAGGGATCCCAAGCCACAGATGCCCAAAGGATGGAGACAATATTTCCCATGAAATACTCCAGAAAGTAACAGACTCTGACCATGAGTTGCTTTGGTACAGTTCAGTAACATACTTTGTATAAAGAAATTCTGAAACTCAGATAAATGAGTTTAAACTTTACTTAAAGGTAAACTTCTTTATGAAAAAGGATATAAATATGATCTGATCAGAAGCTTCACCTCTGGCAGTTATAGTTCCCAAGAACAAAAGCTATCACACATCAAATGATGAGTTTGAATAGTCTAAAGCAGTGCATCTCAAATTTTATTAAGTATCCCAAAGCCAGGGGATGTTGTTAAAAAGGAGATTGTATTCAGCAGGTGTGGGGTGAGGCCACAAATCCTGCATTTCTAACAAGCTCCTATTCCATGCTGCTGCTGCTATGACCCCAACCATGGATCAGGCTTCAAGTAGCAAAGCTCTAAAGCAGGGACCAGAAATGTTTTTTTTAAAAAGTCAGATGCTCCATCTCAAAAAAAAAAAAAAAAAAAAGCCGGGGGCAGTGGCTCACGCCTGTAATCCCAGCACTTTGGGAGGCTGAGGTAGGTGCATCACCCAAGGCCAGGAGTTCGAGACCAGCCTGGCCATCAGATTGGTGAAACCCCATTTCTACTAAAAATACAAAAAATTAGCTGGGCATGGTGGCGGGCAACTGTAATCCCAGCTACTCGGGAGACTGAGGCAGGAGAACTGCTTGAACCCGGGAGGCGGAGGCTGTAGTGAGCTGAGATTGCATCATCGCACTCCAGCCTGGGCAACAAGAGTGAAACTCCGTCTAAAAAAAAAAAGCCAGACAGTCAGTATTTCAGGCTTTGGCCCACGCAGCCCCTATTGCAAATACTCAGCTCTGCCATTGCAGCCAAAAGCAGCTGTAAACAATACATAAACAAATGGGTGTAACTATGTTCCAACAGAACAAAGCCAGTACCCACAGACTGCCAACCCCTGCTCCAGAACACTGAAAACCAACACGTGAAGTCTCCTTTCTTGCTTTTCCCAGACAACTTAAACTATACTCAGACTTAGTCACTAATCTCTGGAAGTTTCTGTGTATATGGAATACAATATCCTGCTTCCTCACTCATTCCCTCAGAGAATGGATTCTTTTACTTATAAAACCCTAAATGATGTTGGATATGATGGTTTTTTGTCTATCTGTTTACATTTGTTTCAAAATATTTCAGACATAGCTTCTTGGCCTTTTGGCTTAAGATCAAGTGTAGTAAAATATTTCAGACATAAAAAAATATATAAAGAATAACATGGCAGGCTAGGCGCAGTGGCTCACGCTTGTAATCCCAGAACTTTGGGAGGCTGAGGTGGGTAGATCACGAGGTCAGGAGTTCGAGACCAGCCTGGCCAACACAGTGAAACCCAGTCTCTACTAAAAATATAAAAATTAGCTGGGCATGGTGGCAGGCGCCTGTAATTCCAGCTACAGGGGAGGCTGAGGCAGGAGAATTGCTTGAACTCGGGAGGCAGAGGCTGCAGTGAGCCAAGATCGTGCCACTGTACTCAGCCTGGGCGACAGAGCTAGACTCCATCTCAAACAAACAAACAAACAAATAAATAAATAAATAAGATGGCAAACACAAGCTGACAATAGCTGTCATTATAATGTTTTGGATGGCCCTGGCCACCAAAGCTTCTAAGACAGGACCTCTGTCATCGTGGAGAAGATGGATCTCATCCTACGGAATTGGAGGACTAGTCATTACAAAGGCTAGTGCCTACAGAAAAGGCAGCAAAGAAACATTTCGCATGAAAACCCAGCAAACCCGCCCTGACACAACTGGACTCTATATTCTACGACTGCTCCCAACTCACCAGAATGATGAGCCGCACCAGCTGGGTGTAGGTGCGCTCACCACCCTTGCGGGTGATGATGTCCCACTTCTCGGGGGTGCAGACGATGATCTGAGTGGCACTGATCTCTTCTTTGCACAGCTGGTGGTCCCCAGTCAGTTCAGCAACAGTGATGCCATAAGTGGCCAGGCGCTGTGGGAGGAAAACTACATCAGGCAGGAATGCTTGAAGGGGCCTGGACACCATGCTTTCTGTTTGGGCAATTGGAGTGTAGGGCATTGGGAGCAGGTATCAACCCATCAGGTGAATACAAGGCGAATCAGATCTTATGAACATATCTTCCTCAAACAAATCCAAATTTAACTCAGGCAAATAAAGCAGACAAAAGATCTCTGGGGGCCAGGCATGGTGGCTCATGCCTGTAATTCTAGCACTTTCAGAGGCCAACGCAGGCAGAATGCTTGAGCCCAGGAGTTCTAGACCATGGTGAAACCCTGTCTCTACAAAAAATATAAAAATTAGCTAATCTAGTAGTACATGTCTATAATCACAGCTACCAGGGAGGCTGAAGTGGGAGGATCACTTGAACCTGGGAAGTTAAGGCTGCAGTGAGCCATGATTGTGCCATTGCACTCCAGCTTGGGCGACAGCGAGACCCTGTCTCAAAAAAAAAGACCTCTGGGAACTCTGTACACAAGAGGAAGAAATGGCAACTTGTAGATAAGAAGACCTACAATACACCACTAGGTCTATTATCATCCACATCCATTTGATGTTTCATAAACACTTCAATAACACAAATGATACGAACTGCAGAAAATTGCCATGGAGAGGATGAAAGAAAGATGCTAACCCTTGTAAAAGATGGCTCAGGACATTCTTACTTCAGAAACTCTGTACCTGGGTTAAGTTCCATCTTGGAAATGGGGAGAGAAAAATAAAAAATAACAACAATCCCAGGAGGCATGCCAGAGATGCCCTAATACAAGAAGCGGTGAGGTCCAGGCCTGTCCACAACACTTTCATAGGTGCACCCAGTATCCTCTGCAGGAAAGTTCTACTCCCTCACCTTTCCAAAGCTGCCCACCATCTCCTGCACCAAGGAGCGCATGGGGGCAATGTAGATAATCTTGAAGTCATCCACATTGATGGTGCCGTCCATGTTTATGTGTTTCCCAATCTCTCGGAGCATGCACATCAGGGCCACGTTGGTCTTCCCAGCACCCTACGGGAGAGGTCAGGGATGAGAACGCCTATTCACCTGGTTATTCTCACTGCCCTAACTTCCATGGGCTTATTTCCCAAATAGAGAATAGAGCTTGTCCTGGGCACTTTATCCTACTATTTAACCTCTCTTCCATCAAAGGACAAAGAATTAGGGGGTGGGGGTGGAAATAAAAAACAATCTTGCAACGGAAACTCCACACCATATTCTACAAGAAAACAGCAGGCAGGGTGGCGCTTACAGTAGGAGCACACAGCAGCAGATTCTCATCCGTCTCAAGGGCAGCACGGTAGAGCTTACTCTGGATCCGATTCAGTGTTTTGAAGCCCTCAAACCCAGCCTGGGCATACTTTGGCAGCTTTTCCACTGGAAGCAGTTGCTAGAAGAAAAGAAGTGCCATCAATATCATGTTGGCAGCATCCTTGAGCAAAACGTTATTGTGGGATTGCCAGGATTTTGTTCCCTGGCAATCTCTTTGCATAACTTTCCATTAAAGGTCAGTCCAGAGATCAATATTGTCCCCTGGGCTCAAAATCAGAATGGGAAAATTCTGTTGCAGCTTTCAGCCCTGAAATAAACTATATATGAAACAAGGCTACATTTTGGTCAATGGTTGAAATCCAAACCAGGAGGTGAACTGAGCAGAGAACTGAAGAAAGCAATTCACTTACTTCTTCTGAGCCAAAGGGCTTGGGCTTCAGAGCAGGCACATGCACCTCTTCATAGCCCTTACGCTGGCGACGGAAGGATCCATCAGGAAGCTGACAGCGTTTATTGGCCATAAAGTGGCTCCCTTGGGTAAAAACCAGGTCCTCCAAGTCCAGAACCTGCCGTGGAGCCAGTGCCTGGGAATGTGAAAGACAAAAACACAAAGGAAGTAAGCAAGCCGAGCAAGTGAGTTTTCCATCCATCAAGGCCTGGGAAATAAATCGCCCTGGATCCTACCTCTCCACCCTGGTCGAGATCCATGGTTTCCAGATCTGTGTCCATTCGAGACTGACGCACTCGCTCTCTCCGGGACCTTTCCTCCTGTAGTGGACAAAGATAAAAATCACAAAAACAATTCATCAGTATCATAGGTTCTTGTCCTTTTCTGCCCCTGCTTAGCTAATACTTGAGTCACAGGTGCTGACTAGTAAGTCGTGAAACAGAAAGACAGTGCTTTACATGGGGACCACCAGAATGATCAAAGCAAACAAACACTTTTAAAGGGGCAATGCGCAGTACAAGGATGCCACAAATACACGTTCTATAATTAAGTACCAAGGGCTACCCCTGAGGGGTCGAAGGGTGGGTTCCATTAAGCAAGTACATGTGTTCTGTTACTCTATTTTAGTAAACACCATGGATTTACTGTGTAAATAAACAATAAAGGTCCCCACAGTGCTGGTGAAAGATAGCAGCAGGTCACTGGTCTCATGACCAAACCAATGTGGATGTGTTGATTCTAACCTGTATGCACTGATAAACCCCAAAGAATTTAGGAAATTACTTTTTCAACTTCCACTTTTAACATGAATTTAGCTTCATGCTGCAATCTTCTAGCCACCGTTAGCTCAGAAATCAGACAGATAAACCAACCCAGTCCTTACTCGGATCAGATCCTCCTTCTCGGTTTCATGAAGCTGGTAGAGGAACTTGGATAGCTCTGGGTCAGCTTCCATCTTTCCCATAATCCTTTCCTTTTCAGCTTCACTTTGTGCACTGGCCAGCAAGGTACAGTATAAAACTACCCACAACAAAAGGAACAAAGGAAGTGAGGAGGAGGAAATAAGGCAAAAAACCATCCTCAGGGTAGAAAGAAGAAAAATAAAAGAAACAAGCACTTAGGCTGTGAAAACAACAGAATCTCTATGTCACACATGCACACATATGTACTCACTCTGCAGGAAGACCCCACCATATACTCACTCATCATCCTGTGCTGCCGCAACACTTTAATGAAATCAAAGGTGTTGAAACCAAGCAGCAGAACCAGCTGATTTTCACATTCCCGATCATCACTGGCCGTCTGCAGAGAGCAGGTAACACCACCATTAAGGCCAAAGCCATCTGCCACTTCATACGCTGTCCCCATGTGCTAAGATACACTAAATATACAACTATTGTCATCTTGGCCATACCTTCAAAATCTCCAATACTTCATCTGCCTTCTTCTGCGACACGATGGCATCATCATAGAAACGACTGAGCTGCCGCTGCAGCCAAAATGCATCAATATCCCGAGGGTGCAAATCCTTCTTCTTGGAACTCATCAGTTCACCTGAGGCTACGAGCTATAAAAGTAACCAGGCATTTAGCTCACCAGGTCTCTGCCAGCCTCGATCACTTTGCCACCACCCTGCAACCAAGTTCTACTTGACAATCCATAGCCCACCTTCTTGTGAGGACTTTCCAGAGGAAAAAACTCTGGAATATTGAGTTCAGAAGCACACCAGACTAAGATTTCATCAACATACATCTTTGGGAAGGAAGAAAACCGACAGAAATTTTAAGAAACTCTAGACACTAAGTGTTTATTATAGTTCACTCCAGCAAAAAGTGGCTCAATAAATGTAACAGGACCTAGGCATGGGGAAGAAGCACTAACACCCAGAAGTAACCTTGTAGCAATGAGGAAGAGCAAACTGAACTTACATTAGCCGAGAGGGTGCAGCGCACGACAGCCTCGTCCCCTTCCATGTCATCATCAGATGCCTCTTCTCGAACCTCCCCGTATACGTCTTCATCACCTTCCTGTGGAAATGACCCCAACTCAACCATGATCTGGAGCTGATCCTGCATCACCACAGAACCTCTCCCTCAAGTCACCCTAAATTAGCTCAATGGGTAGAGAAATGGCTTTGGGGTGAAACCGAGAGCCTATTGGAACCAAGGTCAGCCTTATTCCAGTGGACATAGAATGACTGCTTAGCACGACTTATTAGATATATCTACTTTCTATTTCTCACCTTAGGCTGCTACAATGGCAATCAACTGGATCATAGCCTCTCTCTAATACACACACAATCAACACTCAAAAACAGTGATCAGCTAAGGAGAAAAGAGCTATACAGAGGCATGCCTGGGAAAGCAGGTGGTGACTCCGGAATGAAGAGATCGCACTTAGCCTGCTCACCACTCTATTTACTCATACACTGCACATTAGGCGTACCTGGCATAGTGTCACAGTCAAAACAGGTACTTCAATAATGAGCACTGTTAAATGAATGAACTGCTAAAAGCAAAGCAGTTTGTTGCTACTTAAAATCATCAAATCCTATTAACTATACTGTAGGAAGAGGCTTAGCAATCACCTATTGAAATGGCCTCATTTTATAGAAGGAGAAACTGAAGCAAGATGACCTGCCAAGATACAGGACTCAAACTCAGAAGTCTTGGCTCCTAGTCCTCTGACTCTCCCCGTGCGACCCCTTCTTCCAGCCTTGGTATATATACCGGGGCTCCATTTTCCCTTTCAGGAGCCACTTCTACTCACTGAGAACTCTAAGGCACTGTAATTTTCTCAAAGTACCCCACTTATTCCTATTTAGTTATATTCAAGGAATTCTATTAGACAGTAAACATTAACCCCAGTGACTTAACCATGTACAAACTATGTCTGTGCTCTAGGGCAAATGTGCAATCTTTTAGTCAGATACAGTAATGAAAAATGGGAAAATACTGTAATAAGGTTAAAATGCAGTAAAACATAGCAGATACATTCTCAATGAAAGTATACACTGTACTTTAACTTTTTTCTTTCTTTTTGCTGATCCACTTGGTATATTTTAAATAATTATATTGTGGCCGGGCGCAGTGGCTCACACCCGTAATCCCAGCACTTTGGGAGGCCGACGGGGGGCGGATCACCTGAGGTCAGGAGATCAAGACCACCTTGGCTAACACGGTGAAACCCCGTCTCCACTAAAAATATAAAAAATTAGCCGGGCATGGTGGCGGGCGCCTATAGTCCCAGCTGCTCGGGAGGCTGAGGCAGGAGAATGGCGCGAAACCTGGGAGGCAGAGCTTGCAGTGAGCCGAGATCGCACCACTGCACTCCAGCCTGGGCGACAGAGAAGACTCCGTCTCAAAAAAAAAAAAATTATATTGCTTTACATTTGTTAGTTTAAATTTGCGGTAGCAAAGTTAAAAGATAACTGCACTTTTTTTTAAGCAAAAGAACATATAATGCCCAAGTCTGAAACCCATACAACACCATAAAATTTATCTGGTTTAAACTAGAGAGCTTGTTTACACTAGAAGGGGTCCCTTTACCTTAATCAACGTCAAAAACAAGAATGGACTGGGTATGTTTATCACTCACCTCCTCATCAGACTCAAACTGCACATTCACACCGTATGTCTCATCAATGTTGTCATCTGAAACAATGAAGGATTAGAAAAAGAGGGCAGTGAATGGCTAGTAAAACAAGGCACTCTGGAGCCAATGTCCTCCCCGACTACCTCTCCTCAGGAAAGATCTAAGTGCTAAGGACACATACAGATACTTAGATGATCAACATGAGAGAGCCACCTATGCTGCTCCTGCCAAGACCTTCTCCACCTGCCAGCCTTGGAGTCAGCCCAGCTCTGCTTGCTCAACCACTTGAGCCCCCAAGGCTCTGCCCACATTTTCTCATATTCCACACAATAAAAGGGTCTCAGAGTAAGGAACAGCTGCTGGAATCTAGGGATTCTGGTGTCCATCAATTGTAACTCTTCAAAAAACACAGAACAGATTATGGGAACTCACTGACATTAAGGTTTTTAAATGAATGATGCTAGAAGATGCATGTTTAGGGGTCAACAACAACCAATGAACATGATCAGAACATAAAGCGCGCACTTACCCATATTTTGGATTTCCTTATCTCCACCATAGTCTGTGATCTTTTTGCCCAGGTTCACTAGCACATGGTATCTGGTATCATCTGTTTGACCCAGCAGCAGGTCAATCTCCTTTCGCCTTTCCTTGTCCCGCAGCTTTTCATTCTTTAGAACAGCTAGAACTTCATCAGCTGCCCCACAAAGGATATCACGTGGCTGGTGGCAAGAAACAACCAACCAATATTGAGAACGACGACAGGCAAAACATCTTCAACCAGGTGTATGTGGCGGCAGGATGTGAAGAGCCACACCTCTTCAAAACCTGCCACATACTAGGCTCTGACCTTTCTCATTAATGCTGATGCCACAACTAAAGGAAGACTTGTCTGTTTTTAAAAAGATTAGCTAGGTGGCCTCAAGCAGCAGGACACAGCTTCCACAACAGCTTGCCACACTCCAGGTGGTAGTCACTTGGCAGACCTCCTCTAGCTTGCCACACTTTTGTAATTCTTTGTCCTCACTTCCTCTAGCACCCACCTCAACAGAGCTCCTCAGACTCATAATGGTCCCCAATCTAATCACACATGTGTAATGGTTAGGAACATGGATTCTAGAGATAAACTATCTGGATCATATCTTGGCTCTGCCAAATACTACTTCTGTGACTCGGGAAAATTACTTAACTATTCTTGCCTCACATCTCTCTTCTATAAAATGGAAAATGAATATTAACAGCACCTATTCATGGAGTTATGTAGGGTTGGGGGAAGACACGTGCTGTTCCACACAAATCGAGTGCTCAGTAAATATAAGCCACTTCTGCCAACCAGTACAGCCCACAAGAGGATCCAGAGAAAAGGTTCAGTCTCCCAGCTGTGACCCTCTCCCTTTCTGACACATGGTCTCATCCTCTGGCCACCTCACTCTGAGAATACTGAAATAAAGCAAACTTGTTTTTTTCTATACTCTCACAACAATTAACACAGAAGGCTTCTGTGACAATTCCTCCCCACCAGCAACCAATCCAAAAATTGTGCAGTGGACACAAGCTGGGGGTCCTCAAATTCAATTCCGTTCCAACACTAACTACCTGGAGATAGCGTCAGATCCCACAGACTGAGGACTCAGTCGCACAAGCCTGCCTCCCACTTCATGATGCCAGTCACAAGCACAGGTTGTTTGACCTGTGCTTCTCACTATACAGCTATAAATCGAGGTTTCCACAATCCCCTTTTGGGGTTCAACTAATTTTCTAGAGCAGATCAGGGAAACACTTATTTTTACTATAAGGCATATTACAAAAGATGCCTACCAAAAGACAACAGATGGAAGAGGTACACAGGGCAGGCATGTGGGAATGGGTGTGGCGCTACCAGGCCCTCTCAGGCGCACCACCCTCCAGAAACCTCCATGTGTGCAGCTATCCACAAACTCTCTAAACCTAGTCCTTTTGGGGTTTTTATGGAGGCTTCATTATGTAGGCATGATTGATTAAATGACCAGCCTCCATTCTGAACTACCTAAGTGCTGCCAGCCATCAGTCAACTCATCAGCATACAAAAAGATACTTAGCACTTCGAAGATTCCAAGGATCTTAGAAGCTGTATGCCAGAAAATGAAATAAAGACCTAATATATATTTCACAATATCACACTCACCTGGTCCCCAAGAGCAGCCTGGATGAAGCTGAGTAGCACCTCATAGGTCTCCCGAGTCTCTTTAGTTTTGGGCTTGTAGATGATGCCCACCATCTCATCAATGCCCTCCGACAGCAGAGTATAACCCTTCATCTTGTTGATGTCATGCCGGTCCTCATCACGCTTTCTTCGCCTAATGGACATGCAATGTGATATTGAATGGCAGAACCTTTCGTCCCCAAGGGAAGACTGGATCAAGCCCACCCTCCTCTCCTCAGCTTCATGGCAAGAAGTTAATATCTGAAAACAGGTATCTGAGCCTCAGCAAATGATTCCGTTTGGCCTTAATCACTTGCAGGAGTATTTCTTTATGGGACACAGTGACAAAAAGAAAAATTCCCTATCATCTTCTCACTAGATGCACTAAACATTACAATGAGATGTTTCTCATTTAAAAAATACAACCCTTTGGCCAGGTGCAGTGGTTCACGCCTGTAATCCCAACATTTTGGGAGGCCAAGGCAGGCGGATCACCTGAGGTCAGGAGTTCAAGACCAACCTGGCCAACATGGAGAAACCCTGTATCTACTAAATATACAAAAATTAGCCGGGCACAGTGGCGAGCGCCTGTAATCCCAGCTACTCAGGAGGCTGAGGCAGGAGAATCGCTTGAACCCGGGAGGTGGAGGTTGCCGTGAGAGAGATCACGCCACTGCACTCCAGCCTGGGTGACAGAGTGAGATTCCGTCTCAAAAAAAAAAAAAAAAAAAGTACAACCCTTCATACATTGTATGAGACTATTATATAATAGGATTTTGACTAGTTTTTCACCTCTCCAATGCATTTTCCCTTTCTAGCTAGAGAACCAAGCTCTAACAGAATCTACTGCCGTTGACTATCAACAAAGTATAACAAAACTGGAAAAGAAGATATAGCACAAAGTGGAGATAATGTATTAACTCATTTCAAACATAACTACTTTAATCAAACTAAGCCTAGGAATTTTGGAAACTTCATCATAGGAAAGGGAGCAAGACACCAAGATATTCAGGATCAAAAGATAATGATGAGGTAAAGGTAAGTTTTTGAAACATATCCCCAAGAAATCTTAAAAAAAAAAAATAAAGGAAAAAAATGCAAACTAAGAAAGAAACCTGTCTTTCATACTATGGATGCTTAAATTAGTTTGTTACAACAAAATAGGTAGAACGTGGACAAGAGTAAATGGAAAAAGTAGGGGTAGGAAGTTAGTAATGGGAAAAAAGGAAAACGAATTACTGGGACATAGGAATAGCAAGGGTCTTGAAAATACCCTGAAGAAAATTAAGATCTGTCTATGGACCAGAAACACACATGTAAGAAAAAGGTACCAACAAGTTATTTTCCACTTGAGATGCACTTGTTAAGGCCAAAAAATCTTTAAACTCTCCTGGTCTGTTTTTACCTTCACTGAATTGTTTTAATGCCACTGATCTTACACCAAGCATTCCAGCAAAAATGCTGCTCGAATGTTAAAGGGAAGAGACTTTGGATCTGAAGGAAAAAATAGTATCCCCTTGGCACTCACTTGGCTCTTCTTTCCTCCTGCATCTGCGGTTTGGTCCGTTGAGCCTTGTCTCCCATACGGGTGCCCTCCAGCTTCCCAACAAGGGACAGCACCTCTCCTGTGGGTTCATCCCGGCGGGTCCGGTCAATGAGAGAACGGTCAGCTTGGAGCACAAGATTCGAGTTCTGAAAAGATCAAAACATTATTGAAGCTTTGACATGAGCAGGGCCAATTCCTACTATCATAGTTACCCCAGCTGATGGAAAAAATCGTAGTAACTAGTTGCTTATCATCACTAATCGTAATAAAAATATATTTTCCTTAAGAATTGCATAGTATAACGCTGTGCAGAAGCGTACAGCTGAATAAGTCTTATGCGCTGTCGAATCAGCTAAACAATTCTTGTTCCTAACAGCGCCCATCATAACCCACACCTGTGAAAAGTAGTGAGTGGGTTGGGAGTGACGTGTGGAAGGGGGAGGGCTTAGCGTTGAAGGTACTCGAGAAACTCCTCCTAGAGAGATCTTAGCGCTCCCCAGACCCCAGTAGGTTATTCACGTCATCGTATAACCCCCACCTTCACCCCGATTCCATTTCCCCTTCGTTTTCGTGGCTCTCCTGTAGGCCTTCAGACTGAAACTCCCTTTTTCAGCCTCCCCCTCCCCATTGGACTCCTGAGCCTGGAATCCTTCCCCAAGACCAAACGCACCGCCTTGTACTCGTATTGCAGACTACGGGCGGTTACATCCGCCATGGCCGCGGCTGCTCGGAGGCTTCAGACCACCACGCCTCCCTACCGCAAGCTGCAAACGGCCGCAGATCTCTGCTCCCGCCGCGCCGGAACGACGCAGGAAAGACGCACTGGGGAAGGAAAAGAAACGGGTTCCCTTCCGCTTCCGGGTCGCGCCCCAGAAGTGCGGGGCGGGGCGTGTCTGGGGCGTGTCCCTGCCGTGTGCGCGCGGCTTTCCGCACCCTTCTGAGCGGGATATGTGGGCCTGGTGCGTCTGGGTCCCCGAATCCCTAGACCCCCGCACTCTGGTTCTGGCCGCCCGCTGGCACTAAGGACCCAGGGCCCGTGCTCTCCCCGACCTCAGTCTCCAGCCCCCGGCACCCCTCACATCATAACGAATGCACGGCTGCTTAGCCCCTGTCCTGTCCCAAGACCTTTCCTTCCGGTTCCTTCCTCTTTGGCAACAGTCCCATGAGGTAGGCAGGAAAAGAGGGGCCGAAAACCCCATTTCCGTTTGAGGTAACTAAAGTACCCAGCGAGCAAGGTGACTTGCGCGTGTGTCTGTGTTTGTGTGTTTTAATGATTGGCGCCTTGCTTTGGGTTTCTCTTCTGTGTTCAACAATTGAAAAAGAAAGCTACTATCCCCCACCAATCCCACCTAAACCTGTGCCCCCAAGACCCTCGTTTTCACCCAGCTGAACGAACAGGGCCGGGGCCCCCATTTGCTCCCACTTGTCGGTAACATTCTATGGTAGGGCCCTCCCTGCCGCCCAGGGAAACCGGTGAAGGCAGGGCCAAATCCTTGGTGACTATGACTTAATTTCTTCCCCAGCTACAAAGTCTTCTCTGTCCCACATTCCCCACCACTTCTCGCCAGTAGAATGGCGCCTTATGGCTGAAGGTGACCTCCCTCCTCACTTAGAGCATGTTTGCTTTTGAGAAGATGAATGAACAGGAGGATGGGTGTTAAGCCAAAGGAATTCATCCTCAATAGCAGTCCCCTAGACCAGATTTGTTCTGTAGTGGTATCGTGTTTGGCTCACTGTTGGCTCCTTCTTTAAAAATTGGGATAATTTCATGCAAACTCTGGCTCTCCCCCATCAGTTGAGATACTAGAAAATCAGCCACATGACACCCACACTGCTGCATGGCATGACCTGCTGCTGGTCAGCAGCTGCCAAGGTCAGAGAATAGGCAAGTCCTTCCCACTGCTCCTGTTTTCTCATGCCTGCCCATCTCCTTATTTTTACTTGCCCAGCCCCTGTAGGCATGGAGTTTGCTGCTTTGGTGGGTGTTTGTTTTTTTTTTAATAACTCGTCTTCCCAAGGGACAGTCGAGTCCTCATGGCTCTGCTCCTCAGTGGCTGTGTGACTTTGAAGTAGCTAGCTACCTGGCCTCTCGGTGAGCACCATTTTCCTCATCCTTAAAATTGAGGCAATTGGCTGGACACGCTGGCTCACGCCTGTAATCCCAGCACTCTGGGAGGCCAAGGCAGGCGGATCACTTGAGGTCAGGAGTTTGAGACCAGCCTGGCCCACATGGTGAAACCCTGTCACTACTAAAAATACAAAAATTAGCCAGGCGTGGTAGTGGGTGCCTGTAATCCCAGCTACTCAGGAGGCTGAGGCAGGAGAATCACTTGAACCTGGGAGGTGGAGGTTGCAGTGAGCCGAGATCAAACTCTGCACTCCAGCCTGGATGACAGAGTGAGACTCTTTGTCTTAAAAAAAAAAAAATTGAGGCAATAAAACCTTCCTCCCATTGTGATTAAATGGGATAGTGTGTTTAAAAGCACCTAGCAAAGTGCCTGACTCAAGGTGGGGTTCACTGAAAGTTATTGAAATCTGAATCCTTAAGGCTGACTTTTATTCCATGATCAGGCTGTGGCCCACCCACCTGACACGAAAGGGTCTCAAAGGTATTTCGGAGATTCCACTCTGTTTCTGTAGAAGTAGCATTCATGTTCACAGATGCAGCTGGGCTGTGGGCAAACCTGTGAAGCAAGAAAAAAAGGAAACTTTCCCCATCTTTTCTTTTCCTCTCTAATCAGGCTCTACCAAATGTAAATCCTGCATTTAGTCATTCAGATGGACTTATAAGTTTCCATAGTATGTTAGACCTGGTAGGAGCCTTAGAGATGGAGTAGTCTGGTTCCCTTATTTTCCACAAGAGGAGACTGCAGCCCTGGAACAATCGTCACACTAAAATGTAAATAAGGAAGAAAATAATTATGATTTTGAAAAGAAAACAACAGGCTGGGTGTGGTGGCTCATGCCTATAACCCCAACACTTTAGGAGGCTGAGGAAAGAAGATTGCTTGAGGCCAGGAGTTTGAGACCAGCTTGGGTAACATAGTGAGGCCCTGTTTCTACAAAAAATTAAAAAGTAGCCAGGCCTGGTAGTGTGTGCCTGTAGTCCCAACAACTTGGAAGGCTGAGGCAGGAGGATTGCTTGAGCCCAGGACTTCAAGGCTGCAGTGAGCTAGGATTGTGCCACTGCACTCCAGGCTGACCCACATAGCAAGACTCTTCCCTCAAAAAATAAAAACAATTTTTAAATTAAAGATAGAAAAGAAAAATGACAGCCGTGCTTCCTCACTCTGCGGAAGGGGCTCAGGGAAACTTCCTGGGCCAACTTGTTGAAAATGGGGGAAGGTGTCTAGTGAAGACAAGTCAAAGGAGTCACTGCCCCACATGAGAAAGGAAAGAGGAGCTGGGGTTAGACTGGGATGTAGAAAAGGGAAGAGAAAAGTCTTCAGGAAGCAAGAGAGGCCCAGGAAAATGACAGTCAGCCAGGACCTAAAGGAGCCACAAGCAAAGAGAAATTTATTTTACTTTTTTTTTTTTTTTTTTGAGATGGGGGATCTCACTGTGTTGCTCAGGCTGGAGTGCAGTGGCACGATCATGGCTTACTGCAGCCTCAATCTCTTCAGGCTCAGGTGATCCTTCTACTTCAGCCTCCCAAGTAGCTGGGACTACAGGCACACACCACACCCAGCTAATTTTTTGTATTGTTAGTAGAGATGGGGTTTTGGCATGTTGCCCAGGCTGCTCTCGAACTCCTGGGGTCAAGCGATCCACCCACCTCAGCCTCTCAAAGTGTTGGGATTACAGGCTGAGCCACCTTTCCTGGTCTGGGCAAAGAATTTGAACAGACGTTTCTCCAGAGAAAATATACACTGGCCAATAAGCACATGAAAAAATGCTCAACAGCCATGCGTGGTGGTTCACCCCTGTAACCCTAGCACTTAGGGAGGCCGCGGCGGGTGGATCACGAGGTCAGGAGTTTGAGACCAGCCTGGCCAACATGATGAAACCCTGTCCCTACTAAAAATACAAACATTAGCTGGGCGTGGTGGCGTGAGCCTGTAGTCCTAGCCACTCGGGAGGCTGAGGCAGGAGAATCACTTAAACCCAGGAGGCGGAGGTTGCAGTGAGCTGAGAGCATGCCATTGCACTCCAGCCTGGGCAAAAAGAGTGAACCTCCATCTCAAACTAAATAAATAAATAAAAATAAAAATTAGCTGGGCATGGTGGCACATGCCTGTAATCCCGGCCACTCGGGAGGCTGAAGCAGGAGAATTGCTTGAACCTGGGAGGCAGAGGTTGCGGTGAGCCAAGATCGTGCCATTACACTCCAGCCTGAGTGACAGTGCGAGACTCCTCAAAAAAAAAAGAAAGTTAAACATAGAGTTACCCTATGACCCAGCGATTCTACTCCTAGGAATCTACCCAACAGAACTGAAAACATGTCTACATAAACATTTGTACACAAATGTCCATAGCAGCACTACTCACAATAGCCAAAATATTGCAACAACCCAAATGTTCATCAGCTGATGATGGATAAGCAGAATGTGCTATTTCTATACAATACAATATATTATTCAACCACAAAAAGCAATGAAGTACTGCTGTGTGCCACAACATGAATGAATCTCAAAAACATATTAAGGCCAGGGACAGTGGCTCATGCCTGTAATCCCAACCCTTTGGGAGGCTGAGATGGGCAGATCACTTGAGGTCAGGAGTTCAAGACCAGCCTGGCCAACATGGTGAAATCCTGTCTCTATTTTTTATTTTTTTATTTTTGAGATGGAGTCTTGCTGTTGCCCAGGCTGGAGTGCAGTGGCACAATCTTGCCTCACTGCAACCTCCACCTCCTGGGTTCAAGCGATTCTCCTGCCTCAGTCTCCTCATTAGCTGGGATTGTAGGTGCGCGCCACCACGCCCAGCTAATTTTTGTATTTTTAGTAGAGACGGGGTTTCGCCATGTTGGCCAGGCTGGTCTTGAACTCCTGACCTCAGGTGATCCACCCGCCTCGGCCTTCCAAAGTGCTGGGATCACAGGCGTGAGCCACCAAGCCCAGCCCCCTGTCTCTATTAAAATACAAAAATTAGCCAGGTGTGGTGGTGCACGCCTGTAGTCCCAACTACTTGGGAGGCTGAGGCAGGAGAATTACTTGAACCTGGGAGGTAAAGGTTGCAGTGAGCCGGGATCCTGCCACTGCACTCAAGCCTGGGCGACAGAGTGAGACTCTGTCTCAAAAAATATATATTAAATTAAGGCCTGGTGCAGTTGCTCACATCTGTAATCCCAGCACTTTGGGAGGCTGAGGCTGGAGGATTGCTTGAGGCCAAGAGTTTGAGACCAACCTGGGCAACATAAAGAGATCCCTGTCTCTACAAAAAAAAAACAAAATTAATTAGTTGGGCATAGTAGTGCACACCTGTAGCCCCAGCTACTCAGGAAGCTGAGGTGGAAGGATTGCAAACCCCAGAGCTTGAGGCTGTGGTGAGCTATGATCTCGCCACTGCACTCCAGCCTGGGGCAAAGAGGGAGACCCTGTCTCAAAAAACAAAAACAAGTTTTTAGAAACCATATTAAATGAAAGAAGCCAGTCACAAAAGACCACATATTATGTGATTCCACATATATGAAATGTCCAAGGTAGGCAAGTCTATAGAAACAGAAAGTAGTGCTTGCCTAGGGTAGGAGGTTGAGGAGGAGAGTGAGGGAATAACTACAAATGGGAACAAGTTTTCTTATTGGGGTGATGAAGATGTTCTAAAATTACACGATGGGGATTGGTGGACAACCCTGAATATATGTTAAAAGCCACTGAACAGTTTATTTATTTATTTATTTATTTATTTATTTAGAAACAGGGTCTCACTCTTGCCCAGGCTGGAGTACACTGGCACAAGCCCAACTCACTACATCCTCAAACTCCTAGACTCAAGTGATCCTCCTGCTTCAGCCTCCCAAATAGCTGAGACTACAGGCATACAACACCATGCCTGGCTAATTTTTTTTTTTTTTTTTGTAGAAACAGGGTATTGCTATGTTGCCCTGGCTGGTATCAAACTCCTGGCCTTAAGTGATCCTCCCGCCTTGGCCTCCCAAAGTGCTGAGATTACAGGCATGAGCCACTGTACCCAGCCCAAACAGTACATTTTAAATGAAAGAATTCTTAGGCTGGGCACAGTGGCTCACACCTGTAATCCCAGCACTATGGGAGGCCAAGGCGGGCGGATCACAGGGTCAGGAGATCGAGACTATCCTGGCCAACATGGTGGAACCCTGTCTCTACTGAAAATACAAAAAAATTAGCTGGGTGTGGTGGCACGTGCCTGTAATCCCAGCTACTCAGGAGGCTGAGGCAGGAGAATCGCTTGAACCAGGGAATCAGAGGTTGCAGGGAGCTGAGATCGTGCCACTGCACTCCAGCCTGCTGACAGAGTGAGATTACGTCTCAAAAAAATAAATAAATAAGTGAAAGAATTTTATAGTTTATAGCTTTTATCTCTCTAAAGTTGTTTTTAGACAATTTTTTTTAAACAGGGTCTGCCTGTGTTGCCCAGGCTGGAATGCAGTGACACAGTCTCAGCTCACTGTAGCCTTGACCTCTTCTGGGCTCAAACCATCCTCCCACCTCAGCCTCCTGAGTAGCTGGGACTACAGGCATGCACCACCACACCCAGCTAATTTTTGTATTTTTGGTAGAGATGGGGTTTCGCTGTGTTATGCAGGCTGGTCTTGAACTCCTGGCCTCAAGCAGTCTTCCCGCCTCCGCCTCTCAGAGTGCTGGATTACAGGTGTGAGCCACCATGCCCGGCCTGTTTTTAGACAATTTTTAATAGAGGATTATCCTCAGGAAGCTAAAGGACTGGGGGCACCCTGGCAGTTACAGACCCCAGGGATGGCATTAGTTACCAAGATGGGCTCAGAGCAAGGGGCTTTAGCTTCGTTTTAGTCCATGTGCTGTCTCTCTCCAAAGATGACCTTCTGAATTCACTACTCCCCAGCCCCAGGCCTGCACAGGTTACCCAGACTTCTGCCTGTGTCCTGCATTTCTGTATCTAAAGACCTGTCACTTCATTTAATTACGTCTCAAATATTTGTATGTGCTCTGTGAGCACTTTTAGGGACTCAGAGAAAGACAAGGCATAGAAAAGACCCTTGAGAAGTTAAAGTCTCACAGGAGAAGTAAAACTACAAATATGGTGGTGCACACCTGTGAGGCGGAGGCAGGAGGATTGCTTGAGCCCAGGAGTTCCAGGCTATAGTGCGGTATGATCATGCCTCTGAGTAGCCACTGCGCTCCAGCCTGGGCAACGTTAACAAGAACTACATCTCTGAAAAAGAAAAAAAGAAAAAGAAAAAGAAAAAGCAGAATGCAGTCATCTGCATTCTGTGGGAAATCACTTCTGACTTAGGAGAGCCTGTGAGGCTTTATAGCTGTAATGCAAAGGGTGGCTAAGGATTTCCGTAGAGGCAGGAGGTGGGGGATTTCAAAGGGACAGAGAAAAAGAAGAAGCATGAAGGCGGGAAGACAGAGGTGTATCTTGGGTACTGTTAAGAGCTCCATTAAGCTGACTGCAGGGCAAATGTAAAGAATGAAACAATGTGATGACAGAGAGAGAGAGAATCTGTAATCTCTCTGTTAAAAAAAATGCCATTGTGAAGAGTTTTTCCTTTATTTAGGAGACAACGGGAAGCCATAGCATGTTTCTTGTCTGGGGAGTTTTATTTGTTTTTAACATCTTCATAGCATGTATTTGATTAGACAGAAGAACACTTAGATTAAGCAAAAATTTAGTGTACATGTGACAAGCATTTGTAAAGTTCCACTTTAGCATACATTAACTCATTGAATCCCCATGCAGCCCTGTGAAATATATTGATGTCCCCCATTTTACCAATGAAGAACTCAAGGCCCCAAGAAGGTATTTGACTTGTCTGGCCTCATCTGCTGCAAAGCCAGGCCTTCTGTTTTCACCCCCTATGCACGGGGGTGTCCTCACAGAGCTGAGCTTCAGAAAGGTTATTCTCACAGTGCTGGGTGTGGAGTCCTAATTAAGGAAAAGGAGTCAGGCTGGCGGGACCAAAGGAAAGCAAAAAGAGAAAACAGATAAGCCATGAGTCTGCCACTGCACCCGGCCTATCTGGTGTGTTTCTAAACAGGCTTGTTCCCTTCCAGGTCTTCACTTTAGGAGGCAATGGTCTTTTTTAACCAAGAGGCAGTTTCATGAGGTGGTTAAAAGTATAGACTCTTCTGGTAGACCATCTGGGTTCAAATCCCAGCTTCACCCCTTACTACCTGTGTGATCTTAGGCCTATTTTTAGCTACTCTGGGCCTAACAGGGATAGTTTTACCTACGCCATAGGGTTGTCTGGCACCTAGAACCATGCCAGGAAATAGCAAGTGTAAGGTTTTATCCAACAGCGCTGTTTCCTAAAAACATTTCTAAACACTCTGTGTTTGGAGGCAATTTTATGACTCACAAAGGAAAACTGCCCCATTCTTGGTCATATCTATCCTTTCTTATCCCAAATGATCTTACCCAACCTGATGGCCCTTCCACCCAGTAAACTTGGTTCTGAATGACTGCTGACTGTTTCCCAAACTCCAGGCCTCATGCAGAGATAACAGGTTGCCAGCACTGGGTATATTCAATAACATGACTAGGTTGGGTGGCTGTTCCCAGAATGCTGTCAGCTGGCCTCAAGTGATCCACCTGCCTTGGCTCCCAAAGTGCTGGGATTATAGGTGTGAGCCACCATGCCCAGCCACCACCAACTTTTTAATAAGCCAGTAAGGCTGGGCATAGTGGCTCATTCCTCTAATTTCAGAACTTTGGGAGGCTGAGGCAGGAGGATTGCTTGAGCCCAGAAATTTGAGACCAGCCTGGGCAACATAGTGAGACCCTGCCTCTAAAAAACAGTTTTAAAAAAATAAGCCAACAGACGTGGATACAGTGCCCTCCATGCACTGGTGACTGTGCCTATTGTGAAGAGGGTCACCAAGCATAAGCTCTTCTTGGAGGCAGACAGAGGCAACTGAGGGCAGGTTTAGTGAAAGCCTCAAGTGCGAATTCCTGCCAGAGCCCAACACAGGATGGGCAATCTTTGAGCTGATGGTGTTATCCTCAGTTCTCCATGCATTGTGCCTGGCACCCCACAGTTGCCTCTCATAATAGACATCTGCACTCTTCAGACAGATGACAAGTTGCCCGCCCTTCCAACAGCAGCACAGTCTAGTGGCATTGCTTCTGGCCTTAGCCAGTGCTGCAGCATTGGGGCAATAAATATTTTGTTGCATTTCACCCTGATTATTAAATGGGTGGGATTCTTTTTGAGATGGGATCTGGCTCTGTTGTCCAGGCTGGAGTGCAGCAGTGCAATCATAGCTCACTGTAACTTCAAACTCCTGGGCTCCAGTGATCTTCCCACCTCAGCCTCCACAGCCTGTAGCTGAGACTACAGGCACATGTCACCATGCCAGGTTAATTTGTTGGTTTGTTTTTGTTTGTTTGTTTGTAGAGATAGGGTCTTGCTTTGCTGTCCAGGCTAGTCTTGAACTGCTGGCTTCAAGCGATCCTCCCACCTTGGCCTCCCAAAGCACTGGGATTACAGGCCTGAGCCACCATGCCTGGCCTGAATGGGTACTTTTAAAAACGAAAACTGATGATATTAGTGAAAAAGCAAAGGTTTTATAATTTACTACGGTTGGAAGTCAATAAGCAGGCCAAAAGTAACAAACCTTTGCCACACTAGTTGGGGCTCATTGGACTTAAGCCAATCCCTAATGTATTCGGTTGGAGAGTAAAATGAGAGTATGAACAAATGATTTGGAAATGTCATTGAAGAAAATATCTAAAAGGCAAGATGTAATTAGATATTTTATATATATTTTGTCTCAGGACAAAAGAAACTTAAGGGATCCCTTCTCCTTTATAGTGTTTAAGTTCTTTTTTTTTTTTTTTTTTTGACAGAGTCTGGCTGTGGTACCCAGGCTGGAGTGTAGTGGCACAATCTTGGCTCACTGCAATCTCTGCCTCCTGGGTTCAAGTGATTCTCCTGCCTCAGCCTCCCAAGTAGCTGGGATTACAGGCATGGGCCACCATGACCATGCCCAGCTGATTTTTGTATTTTTAGTAGAGACGAGGTTTCACCATGTTGGCCAGGCTGGTCTCAAACTCCTGACTTTCAAGCGATCTGCCCACCTTGGCCTCCCAAAGTGCTGGGATTACAGGTGTGAGCCACCATGCCCGGCTGTGTTTAAGTTCTTATTCAACTAATACATGTCACTTTTTGTACATGTTCAGGAGTGTGATGTAGTCAGAACTGCCTTAATTTCTTTGACCAACTCGAATGATTATATAATTATTGGCATTGGTTGAGTTTATTATGTGCCAGGCATTTAACCTATTTTATTCTTCAGCACCGTCTGAGGTCAGTGTTGGGAAAGGCAATCTGCATGGTCCAGAGCATGCCTGCATGTTCTTGCTGGGTGTGCCAGGAATGCAAGGCCCTGGCCACACTTTCCTAGGCCCTTTCCCAGAGCTGTATGTGTAGTGGGCAACCTTGAGGGATAAGGTAATGTCTTCCATCAGGACAAAGAGAAGAATGGCCATGAAATAGGTAGTTTCCCTGAAATCAGAATTCCTTGTCTGCAATGCAAACCGTACCATGCATAGCATCCACCTGGGCCTCTCCATGTTGCCCCTGTGGGACTTGAGAGAGCAAGGAGAATTGACACAAACAGGATGCTAGTGCTGATTGTTGTGCCATGAGTCATAAATTATTCTGTCTCTGACCCAGGAGTCTTGTGTCTTCTGCCAGCATCCATGAAACAGCAACAGTAACTATCTTTTAAGTAGGGTAAAATTCCAGACTTTTGACAGTTTGGATGGAAAGGATTTAATGTTGTCATAACTATGGGGCAGCAAGCCTTGCAGCCACAGCCAAAAGGCAACATGATTGTGGGTGCTGAGTCACTGGGTCCCTAAAACTGAGACAAATGGCATCAGCAATGAGGATATAGAGCTTCCAGTGGACCGAAAGCACTGGAGCGTGCAAAATCTTGTTTATTGGAACAGAGCTGCTCTCTCCCTTTGTGCGACTGATTCTTTGGACCCCTCCCCAACCTCAGCTATGTTAAGGAAAAAGCTGAGTATGTTGGGGAACTTCACGGAAGGGGCTTTGTTACAGGAACCCAAGTCACCATCCTCCCCGGTCCTGTGGCAGGAAGCGGTGCTAGGCGCAGCTGGAGTGGTTTTAGAGCAGCCTGAAATAAAAGACACTCAGTCCCTCAGGGCCAGAATCAGAGGAGGCTGTGGCCAGAAAAATCCCAGCTACTGGATGAGCCTGAGGACAAAGCCTAGGCAGGCAAACACAGCCAGAAACTAAAGGGCATCACAAACAGGAAATCTGACGCTGGCAACATAAAGGGGTCACCACCTCAGTAGAAGCAGGGACCAGAGCCCTTCAAGAGTGAATAGATGGACACACAGACCCTCCACCCCCTCCTCATCCACATGGAGGGAACTCCACTCCCTCTACAACTCAGGGCCCCAAATTCTACATGGTTTCTGTGGAAGCAAGTCCTCATGGATCTAGTTTTAGTCCCTGGAGAGCTGGTCTCTTGGCCCCTGGATAAGGTGAAAACCTGGTAGGCACTAGAAAAGACTGCCCTTCCCTTGTTCCCCGCTATTTGTCCTTCCCATTCCCACTTAGTTCCTTTGTCTTTTCTCCATTCTACATGCTCTGTCTCAACGTGGGACTAAAATATATATTGTTATTAGTTACAGGGTTATTGATTAAGTTTTGGTTTCTAAACTTGCTCTTAAAATGCAGTTGCATTGAACATTTGATTTGCCTTTCTTTATTATTATTATTAAGACAAAGTCTCACTCTAACCCCAGCTGGAGTGCAGTGATGCGATCATAGCTCATTGCAACCTCCAACTTCAACTCCCGGGCTCAGGTGAGCCTCCTGCCTCAGCCTCCCAAGTGGCTAGGACCACAGGCACTCGCCACCATGTCCAGTTAATTTTTTAATTTTTATTTTTGTAGAGATGTCAGGGAGGGGGGTCTGGCTATGTTGCCCAGGCTGGTCTCGAACTCCTGGGCTCAAACTATCCTCTGGCCTCAGCTTCCCAAAGTGATGGGATTGCAGGTGCAAGCCACCCTTCTGACTTGTCTTCCTTCAGAAAACACTGAATTGCTTGGTACTATCTGGGTCTCCAGTACTTTATCTATAAATAGGGATAATGTTGAAAAGATCAAATTAGTTAATACACATAAAACACCTACAATGGTGACTGCTGTTGTTGCCCTTCATTGAGGTGTGATCTGTGATGTAGTCTCCCCATCCTAGAACATCCCCAGCCCATGTCATAAACAGATGGGCAACATCCCATGGGAAAGCCAAGGAGATAGGCAGCAATACCAATGCAGCAAAGAGATAGGGAAAGAAAGCAAACAGCAGGGTGCCTACCACCCAAGGACCTCATGAAACTCCTGGGGGCCCTCCCCAGTTGCTTCTCTCTCTCATCTCCCTCTACCAGGGGCAACCACTTTCTTAACTTTTATGTTAGTCATTCTCATGCTTTATGATTTTGCTATGTATGTATGAAATCTGAACAACAGACCAGCCTAGCCAACATGGTGAAACTCCAGCTCTACCAAAAAAACACAAAAATTAGCTGGGCATGGTGGCACGCGCCTGTAATCCCAGCTACTTGGGAGGCTGAGGCACAAGAATCGCTTGAACCCAGAGTCAGAGGTTGCAGTGAGCCGAGATGGCACCACTACACTCCACCCTGGGTGACAGAGTAAGACTCTGTCTCAAAAAAAGAAAAAAAGAAATCTGAACAATATATTGCTCAGTTTTGAAAAAGTTAGTAGCAAGCACAAACTCAGCATTTTTTGTGCTTGCTATGTGGGGCTATATGGCCCCATTAGATGGAGGCCCAGGAGAGGAGATGACACAGAGTTCTGCCCTGGAAGCTGGCCTCAGCATCCCTGAGAGCCTATGGGGGTCACTCCAGCTGTGAGAAGGCAAAGCCACAAAGCAGTTCCCGGAAGCACAAAGGTCAAGGCAGTCTGGCATTGGCAGCATTGCGGTATAGACCAGGACAGTTTTTTGAGAAGAGCACAAGGAAGATACTTGCTTCTGTTTGAGACCGAGTTTGGCTCTTGTCACCCAGACTGGAGTGCAGTGGTGTGATCTTGGCTCACTGAAACCTCCGCCTTCCAGGTTCAAATGATTCTCCTGCCTCAGCCTCCTGAGTAGCTGAAATTACAGGCACCCACCACCACACCCGACTAATTTTCATATTTTTAGTAGAGACAGGGTTTCGCCATGTTGGCCAGGCTGATCTTGAACTCCTGACCTCAGGTGATCCGCCCACCTCGGCCTCCCAAAGTGCTGGGGATTACAGGCATGAGCCACCGTGCCTGGCTAGATATTTGTTTTTAAACCTGGCATGGCCCAAATTGTCTTTATTCTACTCTCACACGTGTTTGATACTTTGGCTGAGTATAAAATTCTGGACTGGATACCATTTTCCTTCAAAATTGTAAAGGCATTTCTCTTTCATCTTTTTTTTTTTTTTTTTTTTTTTTTTTTGAGATGTTGTTTTGCTCTTGTTGCCCAGGCTGGAGTGCATGGTATGATCTCGGCTCATTGCAACCTCTGCCTCCCGGGTTCAAGCAAGTATCCTGCCTCAGCCTCCCAAGTAGCTGGGATTACAAGCATGCATCCCCACACCTAGCTAATTTTGAACTTTTGGTAGAGACAGGATTTCACCATGTTGGCCAGCCTGGTCTCAAACTCCTGGCCTCAGGTGATCCACGAGCCTTGGCCTCCCAAAGTGCTGGGATTACAACCATTTTGCTTTCATCTTATTCTAGTGCTGTATTTAAAAATCTGGGTTGGCAGGGCACTGTGGCTCACACCTGTAATCCCACCACTTTGGGAGGCCAAGGCCGGCGAATCACTTGAGCTCAGGAGTTCAAGACCAGCCTGGCCAAGATGGTGAAACCCTATCTCTACTAAAAATACAAAAATTAGCCCGGCGTGGTGGTGCGCGCCTGTAATCCCAGCAGGTTGTAGTGAGCCAAGATCATGCCACTGCACTCCAGCCTAGGCTGGACCTGTTTGAGACCCTGTCTCAAACAAACAAAAAAAAAAAGAGAGAGAGAGAGAAAGAAATCTGACACCATTTGTCCTGATCCTGTGTATGTGATCTGTGTTTTTTTTGTCTCCAGAAACTTGTGGAATCCTGTTTGACCTGAGTGCTCTAACATTTCATAATGAAGGGACTAAGTATGAGTTTACTCTCATCCATGGGCTGGGCACTTAGTTTCAATCTGGAAATGTCTTCCCTTTATAGGATGCTTGCTTTATTATTTCTTTGACAAGATTTCTTCCTCTCCATTTCCCATGTTCCTTCTGGGGCCACTAATCATCGAATGTTAGACCTACTGGGTTGGTCCTTGGCAATTTTCTTGACTCCAGCTCTTTACATTTTTACTCTAATTTTGGGAGACTTCCTCAATTTTAACTTTCAGTTTCTGTATGGAGTTTTTCATATTTATTATCAAGTTTTTAATTTCCAAGAACTCTTTCCAGACTCTCATTGTATCGGGTCCAAATACATCTTTCACAGTTATAAAACATTCAAATAAATATTTGTTGGGACGGAGCATGGTGGCCCACACCTGTAATCCTAGCACTTTGAGAGACTGAGGCAGGAGGATTGCTTGAGCCTAGGAGTTTGAGACCAGCCTGGGCAATATGGCAAAACCCTGTCACTATCAAAAATACAAAAATTAGCTGCATGGTGGTAAGCATCTTTAATCACAGCTACCTGGGAGGCTGAGGTGGGAGGATGGCTTGAGCCCAGGAAGTGGCAGTTACAGTGAGCTGAGGTCACACCACTGTACTCCAGCATAGGTGACAGACTCAGACCCTTTTTCAAATAAATAAATAAATAAATATTTGTTGAATGGAATGAACAAGTGATTGGGACAGATGGTAGACAGAATCTACTCATATCTTTCAAATCCCTATTTAATCAAGAGCACCTATGTTTTATCCTCCCAACAGTACAAGTGCTACATTGAGAGGAGAAAAACTATAAAGAAATATACAATAAGCAAATAATACACATTGATATGCTATTCAGATTTTTTTTCCATTTTGTGGAGAACGGGGTCTTGCTATGTTGCCCAGGCAGGTCTCAAACTCCTGAGTTCAAGCTATTTTCCTACCTCTGCCTCCTTAAGTGTTGGGATTACAGTGTGAGCCACCGTGCCCAGTGCTATTCTTTTTTTTTTCTTTCTTTTTCTTTTTTTTTTTTTTCTGAGACAAAGTCTTGCTCTTTTGCCCAGACTGGAGTGCAGTGGCACAGTCTCAGCTCACTGCAACCTCCGCCTCCTGGGTTCAAGTGATTCTTCTGCCTCAGCCTCCCCAGTAGCTGGGATTACAGGCACCCACCACTACACCCAGCTAATTTTTGTATTTTTAGTAGAGATGGAGTTTCACCATGTTGGCCAGGCTGGTCTTGAACTCCTGAGCTCAGGCAATCTGCCCGCCTCGGCCTCCCATAGTGCTGGGATTACAGGCATGAGCCACCGCACCCGGTCCAGATTTATTAAGCAATAGTGGTGCATTTCATGCACAGGTATCAGCTAGTCTAGTAATAATTCTCCTCCACAAATCATTGGGAAAAAGGCGGCAATTTTGTACTTTTCCTTTATGTTCAGAAGCATCAGCAATATACAACTCAATGTCTACACAGGTCTTTGTTACACAGCATGAGTCACAAAATGTTTGCCACCAGAGCAGGATAAGTTTTTGAGCTTGTAATAGCAAGAAACTGGTTTGAAGAAAATCTTGCAGTTATAAAATAAAGTGATTTTTTTTGAAATGTGTTGTTGAGAGAAGTGATTTGTCATGTAGTTATTTATTGTATCAGTTATTTTGCCTGGTTACCCTGATATCCCACCTCTAACCTCAAAACTAAACATTTTATTTGAGATCTGTTTATTTGCTTCTCTGATTCTTGGCCATATATCTAATTTCTACATCCTCTTGGTCAGGATTTCGTGTGCATCTTAAGCTTGCTTCCGGTAAGTTATCCCCAACTGCCAAACATCTTATACAAAAAGAAGGTACAGTCTCTATCCCACCGCAAACTCTCTCCTATTTCTCATAGCTGGATCATCCTGTCACTCACTCATTTCATAACACTTAGCACTTGCACACCAGGAATTAAGCTAGGTCTAATTTTGGTCTTTGCCCTTAAGGATCCCAGTGTGATGCTGTAAGGACCCAGTGAACACTGTTGAGCCCAGGAGCGAGGTGACTAATCCGTGAGCCAGGTGCTCTAAATATACAGTAAAGGGCCATTTAATTTTTGCACCAACCTTAAAAGAGAAGGACTTTTGTCGTCATGTTTGCCAGATTAGGAAGCTGAGGCTCAGGGAGGTTCGGAACCTTGCCGGACCGAGTTGGCAGGAGGCGAGACGAGGCTCTAAGCCCTGCTCCCAGAGCTCTTTCTCCCCCATCAAGCTGCGTCCACGCGGTTAGGAAGCATCGCTTGGGCCCTGGGGGATGGGCAGCGGCAAAGGAGAGCTTTTTCCTGTCCGCTCGGGGAAGAGCGCCCAGGGGAAAGGGGTTGTGGGTCCCGGCACGCGGCACTACGCTCCCCGTCCCCCGCCTCGTCTTTCTTCGGCTCGGCCCGTGGGGCTTCCGCCGCCCTGGGCTTGCAGCTGGGACTCATTTCCAGATCGGTCGAAGGCAGGTCTTCCTTCTAGGGACCGGTAGCTCAGAGGAAGGACCGGCGGCAACCGCTGCCCTGTCCGAAAGTGCGTCTCCTTTTTCATTCCGAAATGAAATTCGTAGTTGGTTAAAACGGGGCTTGCCAGCACGATTTACAAACAAGACGAGCGCTCGCTGCAATCACATGAGGAGAAAAGGAAAGGACTAATTCATAATGCGGTCACTAGAGCCTCGATGTGCCCAGGGGAGCGCCCGCCGAGCGCCAGCGGGAACAGCGCATCGCGGACGCTGCAGGGAGTGTGGCCCCTCCGCAGGCGCGTGCACAGGCTCGCATTCTGGAGGGCAGCGCATCTCAGCCGTGCGCCCGGTCCTTGCCACCCCAAACTCCGGCAGCGAACAACGCGTCCTGGGGGCGGCCCCGCGGCTGCTCTTGGAGGCGGCGGAAAAGGCGCGTCCGCGGCTTGGGGGACGGAGGCGGGGTCGGGGGCGAAGGGAGGCGGCTCCTGGGGCCCAGAAAGCTGGCGAGGATGAGGAACCTCCCCCCACCTCCACTCCCAGCTCTCCGAACCGTGAAGACACTGCCCCGGCGCAAAGCGTCTCTAGCGGTCCTAGGCGCACCTGTTTCTGTAGAAAACGTGTTTTGTGCTCACGAGGCACACGAGGGAGGGCTTTGGGCACACAGCCCATTCATACGCTGGACACTGCATGTTTATTTTTGTGAAAAGAATACCTCCTTATTGCTAGACACCTGCAATCAATCCCTCCACCCTCAGAAGATCACTGTAAACATTTAGGGATCCACCCTTTGAAACTTTTCCGAGGCATGTGATGCACAGACACACACACATAATGGGAGTAAGCCATAGCATGTTCTTTTTTTTTTTTTTTTCTTTTTTTGAGAAGGAGTTTTATTCTGTTGCCCAGGCTGGAGTGCAGTGGTGCGATCTCAGCTCACTGCAACCTCCACCTCCCGGATTCAAGCGATTCTCCTGCCTCAGCCTCCTGAGTAGCTGGGATCACCGGCATGCACCACCACGCCCAGCTAATTTTTTTTTTTTTTTTTTGTATTTTTAGTAGAGACGGGGTTTCACCGTGCTGGCCAGGCTGGTAGCTGGGATCACAGGCATGCACCGCCACACCCAGCTAATTTTTTTTTTTTTTTTTTTGTATTTTTAGTAGAGACGGGGTTTCACCATGCTGGCCAGGCTGGTCTCGAACTCCTGACCTCAGGTGATCTGCCTGCCTCGGCCTCCCAGAGTGCTGGGATTACAGGCGTGAGCCATCGCGCCTGTCCAGCAACCACTTTTAAAACAAATCCTTAACCATGAACACACATTTTTAAGCATATGGTTTTACAGATGCTGGTGAAAATGGGGAGAAAAGGGAACTCTGATATGCTGTTGGGTAAACTAGCACAGCTGCTATGGAGAATAACATGGAGGTTCCTCAGAAAACTACAAGTAGAACTACTCACATGATCTAGCAATCCCATTACTTAAAATCTATCCAAAGGAAAGGAAATCATTATATCAAAGAGAAATCTGCACCCTCATGTTTATAGCTGCACTATTCAGAATAGCCAATATGGAATTGACCTATGTGTCCAACAATAGATGAATGAATAAGGAAAACGTGGTATATGTACACAATGGAATGCTATTTGGCCATAAAAAAAAATGAAATCCTGTCATTTGCAGCAACTTGGATGGAATTGGAGGATATTAAGTGAAATAAGCCAGGCACAGAAAGATAAACACCACATGTTCTCAGTCACATGTGGAACCTAGAAAAAGTTGATGTAATAGAAGTAAAAGGTAGAACAGAGGATGCTAGAGGCTGGGAAGGGGAGGGGAAGGTGGTGATAGGGAGGGATTTGTTAAAGGATTCAAGATTATAGCCAGATGGGAGGACTAAGTACTAGGGTTTCACACCACTGTAGGTTGACTACAGTTAACAATAATAGACCAGGCATGGTGGCTCATGCCTGTAATCCCAGCACTTTGGGAGGCCAAGGTGGGCAGATTGCTTGAGCTCAGGAGCTCGAGAACATGGTGAAACCCCCACTCTACTAAAATACAAAAAAATTGCCGGGCTTGGTGGTGTGTGCCTGTAATCCCAGCTATTTGGGAGGCTGAGGCAGGAAAACTGCTTGACCCAGGAGGTGGAGGTTGCAGTGAGCTGAGATGGTGCCACTGCACTCCAGCCTGGGTGACAGAGCAAGACTCCGTCACACACACACACAAAATAATAATAGTAATAATATATAGTTTCAAATAGCTAGAGGGAGGATTGAACCTTCCCAACACAAAGAAATGATAAATGTTTGAGATGATGGATATGCTAATTACCCTAATCTGAAATTATACATTGTATGTATGAAACATGACTGTGCACCCTATGAATATGTACAATTATTATTTGTTAATTAAAATAATACAACTTTAAAACACATGGTCTTAAACATTATCGTTTTTGCACACTCTGAAGCATATATTTTGCATCCTGACATCATGTCATAAGTGAAAAGATAAGAGACTTTCATTATTACTGCTCCAAATGCATGAATGCTCAATAACCTGTGATCTATTTTTCATAATTCACATTTATAAAAAGTAACTTTGGAACTTCAGTCATTGTCAGCTAGCAGACAGTTTTTCCTGCTCCACAATTAAATAAGTCAGTATTCTTGGAAGTATTGTACAAGTTGTTTGGGAGCTCCCTACACATTGCCACTGGATAAGAAGACCTGAAACCCAGCCATGTGTGATGGCTTACACATATAATCCCAGCATTTTGGGAGGCCGAGGCGGGCAGATCACCTGAGGTCAGGAGTTCGAGACCAGCATGGCCAACATGGTGAAACCCCGTCTTTACTAAAAATACAAAAATTAGCTGGACATGGTGGCATACACCTGTGGTCCCAGCTAC
This sequence comes from Homo sapiens, assembly GCF_000001405.40. Lineage (NCBI taxonomy): Eukaryota > Metazoa > Chordata > Mammalia > Primates > Hominidae > Homo > Homo sapiens. The sequence goes on from NC_000002.12 coordinate 96,324,419, forward strand.
TCAGTAGGCTGAGGCAGGAGAATCACTGGAACCTGGGGCGGGTAGGCTGCAGTGAGCCAAGATGGTGCCACTACACTCCAGCCTGGGTGACAGAGCGAAACTCTTTCTCAAAAACAAACAAACAAATAAAAACCCTGAAACTTGTCTTTCAGCAGAGGGATTTTAGTGAGTTAGTATCAAGGGGTCATCACTTCCTTTTCTTCTTGGATAGCTGACACAAGACAGGAAGACTAAGGGCTCTTTCTGATATCTGAAGATCCCTTTCAGGAAACCCATTCTGTTGTGTTTCTTAAGGTGTGATAAAGCTTGTCCAGCCTCCACACCGTATAAAGTTCTCCTTTATACACCCATGTATCAGCAGAGCTGCCCTGTAGGTAGGATTCTTACTCCCACGTGGCCAGTGAGTAGCAAGCAAGGCCCCAAGTAAGGTCTTTGGGTGCTGTCTGTTCTTTCATGAGAGTCACTTTGATATGAGAAAGGGGTTGGGGAAAGATGCCTGAGTCTGGGCGTGGGCTGGGAGGGAAGCACATTTAGGGTGCTGAAACCACATCTTATTTCGTGTGCCATTTTGCTCAGGGCCAGCCCGAAGTGAGAATGGCTTTTCTCGGTCAATTCCTAGTTTTGCCACCATCATCCTTACACCCGAATCCTAGTAAGTCTGTTCTCCACTGAACTGAGCTGAGTGCAGCTGACAGCAGGCACGGCGGTGCCCCATTTGCCACCCCAGGGAGGCCGAGCAGCGGAGAGTGTGTGGCCACGGCCCCTCCACTCTCCCAGCAAACCCACGGGGGCCTCGGTGCGGACAGAGACCCGGTGTGGGGAGGCCGCTGCCCCTGCACGCTGGGCCACGGGGGTTTGGGCGGGGAGGAGCTTGTACTGGGTGGGCGGGGAGGAGCCCGGACGGCGGGAGCGGCTGCGGCGCGCGGGCGCCCTCGGAGCCGCGTGCTGGGGGTCGTAGGGGCCCACCGCGCTCAGCCAGACGTTCAGACGCTCGGACAAGCATGGTCTATAACCCAGGAAAGGGGAGCAGGGCCACTCCCGCGGGCGGCCCCAGCGATGAACCGGACGCCCCCACCCTGCCGGGAAAAAAGCAGTGGCGGTCAGGCCGCGCTGTCTCTTTAAGATCGTGTTCCTACTAACACTGACGGTGAGTAACCTGGCCCTGGGTCCCGGGAGACATCCCGAGGTAGGATGGGCCCTTGGCCTCCTACGGATAGGCGGGTGAGAGTACAAATCTCTGGGCGTGGAATTTGGGGAAGTTATGAATGGGGGGAGGGTCGGGTTCCGATTTGAGCCAAAGCCCCCAGGTACCTTGTACATTTTAACAGGGCTCCTAGAGAGGGCGGGGAGACGAAGCAAGGCCAAGTTCCAAAGGGAGGATAGGCCCAGCTGGCTTCAGCGTCCACACGGCATAGTCCTTCATGAATGTTGGTAAGCGCGGTAGCTTGTGAATTAGGGTGAGTGGCAGAAGCTCGGGCTTCACGGGTGGGTGGGGAGGCAGTGGAACTGACCACTGCCGGCTGTCAGGTAGGCCTTGGGCACCTGGTTCTGCAGACAGTTTTCTGAACTAAGAAGTGAAGCTAGCCTGCCCACACACGGGGTATCCACTAGCCCCTTAGGAGCAGAGAGGGCACCGTAGCAAGCAGCTGGCGGCACTGTGCCTCTCTTGCGCTCCCTGGGCAGAGAGGGAGAGGCTGAGTGATGAGGCTCACTTCATACTGGGTGAGCAGAATGAAGACTGTGAAGTCACAGAGGAAGTGGAATGCTACAACTGGCTGCCGGGGCAGAGGAAAGGTGTCACCCAGGCAGGTTCAGGGCTTTCTGGCTATAAAAGGGAGCCTCTGGGATCAGCAGGTCATATCTGGTGCCCATGGTTGACTGAGGAGTCGGGTGAGGCCACCCTACCACAAGGGTCCCCCTCCCCATCCTACACAGGAATGAAAACAGTCCCATGTACACTTTCTGGAAGCCTAAATACCACCCACACCATGTGGAAGGAAAGCAGGAGAGAGACTGAGTGGCACATCCTTTCGCCCTCTTTTCTCTCGAACCTCCTCCCAGGCCGACCACCCTTGCTGTGTCCAAGCCAAGCTCTGTGGGCTTTCTGTTCCTCCTGAGTAGCTGATTTTCAGAATTTGGGGTACCAGGGCTCTGGGGAATGTGAGCTAGAGAGCAGATAAGTCTGGAAGATGACCACTGACTCCTACTCTCCTACTTCTCCAGATGCAGAGGCCTCCATGGCTGTGATAAGCCTGCTGTTCTTGGCAGTGATGTATGTTGTTCACCACCCTCTGATGGTCAGTGATCGGATGGACCTGGACACATTAGCCAGGAGTCGGCAGCTGGAGAAGCGAATGAGTGAGGAGATGCGCCTGCTAGAGATGGAGTTTGAAGAGAGAAAGCGAGCCGCTGAGCAGAGGCAGAAGGCAGAGAACTTCTGGACAGGAGACACATCCAGTGACCAGTTAGTGCTGGGGAAGAAAGACATGGGGTGGCCGTTCCAGGCCGATGGCCAGGAAGGGCCTCTGGGCTGGATGCTGGGAAACCTGTGGAACACTGGCCTCTTTTGCCTTTTTCTCGTCTTTGAGCTCCTGCGACAGAACATGCAGCATGAACCGGCCTTTGATTCCAGCAGTGAGGAGGAGGAGGAGGAAGTCCGTGTTGTCCCTGTCACCTCTTACAACTGGCTTACTGACTTCCCCTCCCAGGAGGCCCTGGACTCCTTTTACAAACACTATGTCCAAAATGCCATCCGTGACCTGCCCTGCACCTGTGAGTTTGTGGAGAGTTTTGTGGATGATCTCATTGAGGCCTGTCGGGTGCTCAGCCGCCAAGAGGCTCACCCACAATTGGAAGACTGCCTGGGCATCGGGGCTGCCTTTGAGAAATGGGGAACCCTCCATGAGACCCAGAAATTTGATATCCTGGTGCCCATTGTCCCCCCACAGGGCACCATGTTTGTCCTGGAGATGAGGGACCCAGCCCTGGGCCGCCGCTGTGGCTGTGTGCTGGTGGAGTCAGAATGTGTGTGCAAGCGTGAGAAACTCCTAGGGGACGTGCTGTGCCTGGTGCACCACCACAGGGACCCCTCGGCAGTCTTGGGGAAGTGTAGTAGCTCCATCAAGGCAGCTCTCTGCACCGGCTTCCACCTAGACGTGTGCAAGACTGTGCAGTGGTTCCGGAACATGATGGGCAATGCCTGGGCCCTTGTGGCCCACAAGTATGACTTTAAACTCAGTCTCCCACCGTCTACCACCTCCTGCAAGCTCCGGCTGGACTATCGCTCAGGCCGCTTTCTCTCAATCCACTTGGTCCTGGGGGTGCAACGAGAAGACACCTTGGTCTACCTGGTGAGTCAGGCTCCTGACCAGGAGCAGCTCACCAGTGTGGACTGGCCTGAGTCCTTTGTGGCCTGTGAGCACCTGTTCCTGAAGCTGGTGGGGCGCTTTGCCCCCGAGAACACCTGTCACCTCAAGTGCCTCCAGATCATTTTAAGTCTCCGGCAGCATCAGAGCTTACCCCATGGAGCATCCCGCCCCATCCTCACTTCTTACCATTTTAAAACAGCTCTCATGCACCTCTTGCTACGGCTGCCCCTCACGGACTGGGCCCACAACATGCTCTCTCAGCGGCTCCAGGACATTCTCTGGTTCTTGGGCCGTGGCCTCCAGCAAAGGTCCCTCCATCATTTCCTCATTGGTAACAATTTTCTGCCCCTGACCATCCCAATCCCTAAGACATTTAGGAATGCTGAGCCGGTCAATCTCTTCCAACACCTGGTGCTCAACCCCAAGGCACATTCACAGGCAGTGGAAGAGTTCCAAAACCTTCTGACCCAGGTGAAAACTCTGCCTCATGCCCCACTGGCTGCAGCACCTTGATGTAAAGACCATTAAAAAAAAAACAGAGGAAGGTATTTCTAATTCCTTGGGCTACAAAAGTGTTTACTTTTCAGATATATCAGTGGTATATGTGACCTTCACCTTGCCAGTGGGGGCTATGATGAGACACCTTAAGGAGCGTGTGAGGTGGTCATGAGGATGGGCATAATGACCCTGCAGGGCCTAGTCAAGGATGGGTCATCTGAGGTTTTCTTCTGCTAACTTTCATCATGACCCAAAGAAGGTCCAGGGAAACGGATGTTATGGGAGGATCTTGCTGCTAAGGAGGTGAGATCCAGAGGGTCACTGTGAAGTTGTGTTTTTGTATCAACACTCGAAGTGAGAGAACCAGAGAATACCTTCATTCCAGCTTATTCCTTTTTGTGATTGACTTCCAGTATGTTCCTTGTGAATTGGTTTCCTTGTTGAACTGTTAGCTTAATTCTCATCCGAGCTGGTGGCACTCCATTTTATCCCAAATACTGTGATGGGCAACTTCTCATAATTTACGATCTAATTTTTCAAACCTTCACTATTTTGAAAATATAACCAAGGCCGGTTGCGGTGGCTCACGCCTGTTAATCCCAGCACTTTGGGGGGCCGAGGTGGGTGTATCGCCTGAGTTCAGGAGTTCAAGACCACCCCGGGCAACATGGTGAAACCCCATCTCTGCTAAAATACACAAAATTAGCCGGGCATGGTGGCGCGCACCTGTAGTCCCAGCTACTTGGGAGGCTGAGGCACGAGAATCACTTAAGCCCCAGTGGTGGAGGTTGCAGTGAGCCGAGATCGCACCACTACACTTCAGCTTGGACTACAGAGTGAGAATCTGTCTCAAAAAAAAAAAAATTATATATATATATATATATATATATATATATATATATATATATATCTCCAAGATGTTTACATTCCATTTTCTTAACTTAGCCCTATTTTCATATGACAATAGAGTTGTTTTTATGCATCTGAAAAAACTACCTAATTTATTCGCATTGATTCACAAATATTAAGTCAATAGTAACCTGTCTCATAATTGAGATAATGTATTTACCATAATAATGAAATGGTTAACATCTGATGACCTTTTTAAGGTGCCTGGAGGCAACATTATAAAGGCCTTCACAAGGACAATCTTTTTGGGGGCTCTGAGATGAATAATTACTTTGTTGCTTGTGGGGAGCCACTTGTTGAGTGTAAAGAAGGTTTAGCTGCCATGTTTAGCTGTGCTTTTTCTGTCTGGCCATGCCTCCTTTGTATTTTTTTTTTTTTTTTTCAAAAATGACAAAGGGATTACTTGAACTGTGTTTGTGGTTTTGAAAGAGAGGTCATCACAATCCAGGCTCACTGCCAGGTTTGTATAGGAAAGGATTGGGAAACAGTCCAACTCTAAAATTGTGATTCTAGAGATATAATTGGTGTATTTTTCCCTTTTTTCAAAACCATGGGATGCTGAGGAGGAGTGTTAAGAAATGCAACTATAGTTATGGGTGTGATTGTTTTGGAAACGCCAATGCTGTTCTATCTGCACTGCCAAGAAGATCTGCTGGGGAGGGTAACCTGTCCCCACTGAACTTGACCTCAGCAGGGATCAGATGCTGGCCCTTATAGGCTTCAGTCATAGAATACACACCCTCTCCTCCAGCAAAAATAAATTAAAAATGTCCCAAAGCCAGGTGCAGTGGCTCACACCTGTAATCCCAGCACTCTGGGAGGCTGAGGTGGGAAGATCACTTGAGCCCAGGAGTTCAAGACCAGCCTGGGCAACATGTCGCAATCCCGTCTCTACAAAAAATTAGCTGGGCATGGTGGCATATACCTGTGATCCCTGCTACTCTGGAGGTTGAGGCGGAAAGACTGCTTGAGCCCAGGAGGTCAGGGCTGTAGTGAGCTATGATAGTGTCACTGTGCTCCAGCGACCCTGGGCAAAAAAGTGAGACCGCGTCTCAAAAAAAAAAAAAAAAAAAAAAAAAAAAAAGGTTCCCAGAAGCTGATGCCAGTCAATCATTGGGGCTCCCAGTGCACAATAGCTACTGTGTTCCTGTGTTGCCTGCATCTGTCAGGTACCGCTTTCAATGCAAGATGCAATCATGGTTGCTTCCCTGCTGATGGGATTTTGGTGTTTTAGCAACATTCACATACTTTTTGTTTAGAAAATTATTTGCTGATGTTTTAAGTTAAAGTCAATAAAGGAGGCTATTTTCTGTATACATTGGAATCTATGCAGTAACACACTCAGCAGATCAGCATTCTCACATGCCTGTTCCCAAGAAGTTCATGTTACCCTGATAGCTCCATTCGGTATATCCTGGTATTTCTCAATGTACTTGGAACTAGTCTGCCTTGTGGTTTCCAAGTGGCATGGCCAGTAGCCAGAAAAGAATAAGCAACATCTAGGTGATTAATTTTCATGGTGCCCAAACCAAAATATCAGCCAAATTAGAAGATCTTAGTGGTTGCAAACAATGTGCATAAACTCTAAAAGTCTTCTCAGGTAGAAAGAAGGTGGTATGATTTCTAGGAGTGCATGGTTGTTTCTAGTCTAATAGATAAAAAAGAAAATAAAGGCCAGGCGTGTTGGCTCATGCCTGTAATCCCAGCACTTTGGGAGGCCGAGGTGGGCGGATCACTTGAGGTCAAGAGTTTGAAATCACCTGGCCAACATGGCGGAACTGCGTCTCTACTAAAAATTTAAAGAAATTTGCCGGGTGTGGTGGCACACGCCTGTCATCCCAGCTACTCAGGAGGCTGAGGCAGGAGAATCACTTGAACCCGGGAGGCAGAGGTTGCAGTGAGCTGAGATCGCGCCACTGCACTCCAGCCTGGGTGACAGAGCGAGACTCTGTCGCAAAAAAAAAAAAAGAAAAAGAAAGAAAAAGAAAACAGAAAGTTATGAGAGTGGGCAGATGATTACAAAGGGAGCAGTCAGCAAAACTTGGGTGGAGCAGAGGGTGCAAGAAAGAGTATTAAAAAAAAGAAAAAACACACAAACAAGTAGTAATGGAAAGAACAGACCTGTAGTGCTCTGGGAATACTTTTACAATTAAAGAGGAAACCTCTCCAGATAGGAAACTAAGCTTTATTCTAAAACAAAACCTGGCTAGCCCCCAGGATACAACAGCAGTTATAGTAATGGGAATGCTTAATGTTCACTGAGTTTGCCAGTGTTCAGGACACTGTTCTGATGGCTTTACATCTGGTAACTCATTTAATCTTCATACTATAACCCCATGAAGTGAGCCCTTCATCCCCTCCATTTTACATGTGAGGAAACTGAGGCGCAGAAAGGGTATGCAACTTCCCCAAGGTCATGTAGCTAGTGGCAGAGCCTGGAAGAAACTATCTGCCATTGCAAACTTTCAGCTTGGTCTTGGAAATAAAACAAGATGTAAGGGTTAAAGGGCTTTGAGAAGCAAAAAGCACTATATTTTAAAAGATGGTATGTTACTGTTTAGAAATTCTAGAAGACAGAAATTGTTGGTTCTTAGCCCAGTCTTAAGGAGGTCAGGAATTTCATATCACATGCAAACATTAAAGGCATTTGCGCCAGGTGCAGTGGCTCACGCCTGTAATCTCAACGCTTTGGGAGGCTGAGGTGGGCAGATCACCTGAGGTTGGAAGTTCGAGACTAGCCTGACCAACATGGAGAAGCCTTGTCTCTACTAAAAATACAAAATTAGCTGGGCATGATGGTGCATGCCTGTAATCCCAGCTACTTGGGGGGGCTGAGGCAGGAGAATCACTTGAACCCAGGAGGCAGAGGCTGTGGTGAGCCGAGATGGCGCCATTACACTCCAACCTGGGCAACAAGAGTAAAATTCCGTCTCAAAAAAAAAAAAAAAAAGAAAAAAAAGGCATTTGCTTGGAGGCCAAAACGAACGCAAAGCCATTTCAACTATATGCCTACTAAGTCCCAGTGACTTGATGGTTTCTATCACAGACTACATCATTATATAAGCCAGCTGCAGGCTGGAAAGTCAGGGCAAATTTGAAGCCAAAAGATTGCTTGTTCAGGTAGCCAATGGATAACACTATTGTTTCTCACCTAAACTAAGGCAGTTTCCCATTTATTTGGGGGAAGTAGAATCTCCATGAAGAGTAAAATGGGGTGGGGAAGGAAGACGACACCAGCTCTGCTTTTCTGGCAGCCTAGGATTAGTGGAGGAACCTTAACTACTTTACTTTTGCACAAACAGAGGTATTGAGCTTTGTACACCACTGAGATCAGTGATAAATCATTCACTCTTCTTTATTTATTTATTATTATTATTTTTTTGAGATGGAGTCTTGCTCTGTTGCCCAGGCTGGAGTGCAGTAGCACAATCTCGGCTCACTGCAAGCTCCGCCTCCCAGGTTCATGCCATTCTCCTGCCTCAGCCTCCCGAGTAGCTGGGACTACAAGCACCCGCCACCATGCCAGGCAAATTTTTTTTTTTTTTTTGTATTTTTAGTAGAGACAGGGTTTCACTGTGTTAGCCAGGATGGTCTCGATCTCCTGACCTTGTGATCTGCCCACCTCGGCCTCCCGAAGTGCTGGGATTACAGGCTTGAGCCACCGCGCCCGGCCAAATCATTCACTCTTTTGGCACCCTTCATAGTCCTAAAAACAAAACAAAGATGGCATTCAGAGCAGGAGGTGAAAGACCTGCCCGCATAAGGCAGCCCTGGCCCAGAGAGACACTGGGCATGGAGCTGGCTTTGCCTTCCTGCACGTGAAGCTGGAAGCAGCTCAGGTGGCTCCATTATTCCCACAGAACAGCCTCAAGGCTCACCTAGTGGGTCACTTAGTAGCTTTCCTCCCCCAGGGCTTCCAAGCTGTTCTTCAGAGGCTCCTGATTCAGTGTATCACCTAACCCTTGCTACTCTTATGTACACATGGAATCCAGAGGATCACACTTGTCCCAGTGTCCTCCCTCAGATGCATTCAGCAGAGAGAACAAGTGAGGGAGATGACAGGGACCCCAGCATATACTGACCAAGTCCAGTGCGGGGATAGTGCCTTCCCCATTTTATAGACGGGGAAGAAAATGGGGCCCAGAGAGGTTAACATGCCCAACCCAGGATTTAAAATTGTCTTCCAGATGTACTCATTGAATACATATTTAAGTACTTGCTATGTCCAGGGCCAGCACCAGGCCATGGGAAAACCATAGTGAACAGATATGGCTTCATCCTCATGGAGCTGACGGTCTATGTAGGAGACAGACATGAAATAGTCACCCTAGTGCATGGAAAATTGCAGCTGTGACAAGTTCTCCTGAAGCCTCCAGTATGGAGAGTTGTGTGTATCAGGGAAGGTCTCCTTGAGGAACCTGAGGGGAGTAGAAACCTAACTGGAGCTACGGGGGTGAAGATGGGGATGAAGAGGATCCTAGCTAGAGGAGTGTGTGTGTGCAGAGGCCTGGGGGTAGGAGCAGGTGTGATGAGAGGAATCTGAAAAAAGGCCAGGGCAGCTGGAGGGCAGGGAGCAAGGGGAGCAAGGTCCCTGAGGAGGCTGGAGAGGCTGCAGGGGTGGGGAGGCTGGCAGGAAGACCCTTCCAGGACCTTGTAGGACGCTTAGAGGTTCCCAGGGTGGTGGAACCCCTGAAGTGTTATACTTCCGGGAGGAAGTGGTGGGGGACAAGTGGGAGTGACAGCTCAGATTTGGACTCCGCATACACTACTCAGGGCCTGAGGGGGGGCCAGAGCAGGCCAGTGAGAAGGTAATGTGGATGGAAGGAGAAAGGCAGGATTGGCAATTTTTAGGAGGTGAAAATAGCTTGCTTGATGATGGATTGTGTGGGGAGAGAAAGGGAGGGAATCCCCCAGGATGACTCCTGGGTGCTGATTTGGGTTCTTGGGTGGCTGATGGTATCATTTGCTGAGATAAACAGTGTCAACCTGTTTTCTCTAACCCACACAGCCTTACGCTGAAGATTTGAAGGTGGTCACTAGAAGAACAAGTTTATACGAACAACAGATAGGCTTAAAAAGTGGTTTTCAGCCAGGCGCAGTGGCTCATGCCTATAATCCTAACACTTTGAGAGGCCAAGGCGGGTGGATCACCTGAGGTCAGGAGTTCGAGACCAGCCTGACCAACATGGTGAAACCCCATCTCTACTAAAAATACAAAAATTAGCTGGGTGTGGTGGTGGGCGCCTGTAATCCCAGCTATTCAGGAGGCTGAGGCAGGAGAATCGCTTGAACTTGGGAGGTGGAGGTTGCAGTGAGCTGAGATCGTGCCATTGCACTCCAGCCTGGGCAACAAAGCAAGACTCTGTCTCAAAAAAAAAAAAAAAAAAAGTGGTTTTCAACAAAGGGTGGCACTTTTTGATTGCCAAAATGAGCGACAGCACTGATGGCATTTAGTGGGCAAATGATGTTACGGGGGCTTAAGAGCCCACAAAGAGGGCAAACATCCTATCATGCCAAGGATTGTTTCACCCTGAATGCCAACAGTGCCCTTGAAGAGAAACACTGTAAAAGATGCCAGATATGAGAGTTACAAGAAATTCTAGGATGTGCTGGGGATATTCCAGGGAATCACCCTGGCCTTTACTCCCATAATTCAATCCTTAGGGTTAGATGAAACTGAGGGGACAGATGGCATTTTATGCTTATTTCGCTTTTTCGACCTTTATTTATTTTTTGAAGGGTGGGGGGTGTTCACAGGAAGCTATTCACAAGAATCTGAATAAAACGATGGCCTTCATCTTACACTATATTAAATGTACATTTTGTACTATATTTAATGTATACATAGCATTTCTGCATCAGTTCTTCCCCACCTGGACCGCTCCTCATTCCCACGTAGGCTCCCGCTCCCCTCCGTCCCTCTTCCCGGAGGTTTTCAGCGTTTTGCTGCCCACACAGCACAGATCTCTAAGGGAAATAAACCTCGTTTTCTCGATCATCTGCCTCCCCATTATAAAGTAAATTCCACGGGCTGAGCGCGGTGGCTCACGCCTGTAATCCCAGCACTTCGGGAGGCCGAGGTGGGCGGATCACCTGAGGTCAGGAGTTCGAGACCAGCCTGGCCAACATGGTGAAACCCCGTCTCTACTAAAAACACAAAAATTGGCCAGGCGTGGTGGCAGGCGCCTGTAATCCCAGCTACTCGGGAGGCTGAGGCAGGAGAATCGCTTTAACCCAGGAGGCGGAGGTTGCAGTGAGCCAAGATCGCGCCACTGCACTCCAGTCTGGGGGACAAGAGCTAGACTTCGTCCCAAAAAAAAAAAAAAAAGAAAGTAAATTCCACGAAAGACGGGCCTTGCTCACCCTGCTCGACGCTGGGTTCCCAAGCCCAGTCCTGCACCTAGTCCTCGAAGGAGGGGGTTTTCATACTATTTCAGGGGGTCCACCGACCCCAAGAAGCCCAATCAGACGGGGTCCTCAACCCAAAACTCACTCTGACGCCGCCCGCGGAGGCCCGAGGTGGTCTGCGCAGGCGCGCTGCTGGCCCGGCCCGCCGGCGACGTCACGCGGCCGTTACGGCGCTCAGGCGTCTCGACGCGCGCGATTTAAAACCAGCTCAGGAGACGCCAAGGAAAGATGGGACCTCCCGGCCCAGGTGAGCCGGGCGGTCGGGAGGCGCGGCGGGAAGGGCCCCTAGCGAAGCAGTACTTCGGGCGGGCAGGGCTGGCGGGCTGGCCTGGGCGGGGAGAGAGGATATGCTCAGCTCGGGTCTTGGCCCTGCGGCTGACAGCAGAGGCCGGTGCGGGGGGAGGGGAGGGCCGGCGCGGGGCGGGCGGACCTTGTGCGCTCAGCCAATCAGAAAGCGGCTTCGGCCGGAGTCGGAGAGCGCGCGGGCCCTGCCTCACACTCCTCAGTTCCCGGGCGGGCGGTGGGGCGGCCTCCTCCTTGGGCTCCTAAAGCGTGCTCGGTGTCTCTCCATTAAAATGGTGGTTTTCCTGGAATAGACGTTATTTTCAGGGCTTTGGAAGCGATGTGGTTACCGTTGTATGCTTAGCATGCATGCATTTATTTTTGCATCTATTCAAAAGTACTGAGCTCTCCCGTTGGGCGAACAAAATTGATAATATCTCTATACTGTTGGAGTTGGGGAGACAGACAGTAAACAAAAGAAATAATTACACATGAGGCTGAGTGCTGTGATTGAGTATAGCAGAGTAGGGGTGGCTCCGCCAGGGGTTCAGGGAAGATCTTTAGGCAGATACTAGGGAACGTGTTTCAGGCAGAAGGAGCAAGTACAAAAATGAGGCAGGGAAGAGCCTGGCCTGGCCTAGGACCTGACCAGAACATTGTGACCAAGCTTAGTGAGGCCTGACACGTAGGCAGGGTCTGGAGGCCTTGGGTAAGAGATTTGGAAATTGAGTTACATTTTGGACATGGTATGTGTGACTTACGGGAGAGACTCAGGTGAAGGGATCTATAATCACTTAGGTGAGAATTTGGCTCTCAGGGGAGTTATATGGACCACTCAGGGAAGTGACCCATGGATTGAGAAATAAATTTGGATACCATTATCATATAGACCATTAGACCATAAAACCATGGGAACAGGTGAGAACACTAGGAAGGCCCTGCACATCTAGGACCAACGTTTAGAAGCTGGATAGAGAAGGATGAGCTGGAAAAACTCAAAAGACAGTGGTATAGGAAGAAGCCAAGAGTGTTTCAACAAGGAAGGGACTGTCAGCTGTTTCAAATGCTGCTGGATTCCAAGAGAAAGGCCAGAAAATGACCATAGGGTTTAGGCAACATGGAAGTTATAGATGATCACGAAAAGATAGTTCTCATGAAGTTGGAATAGGAACCAGACCAGAGTGGGTTGAAAAATGAGTGGGAAATGAGGAAGTAGACATAGGAAGTGTCTTTGAGCTCAGTAACCATCGGTTGAATGAATGGATGCATAATATCAAAGGCAAGGAGAGAAACCACGGAAAGAAGATTTGGAGAATTAAAGCATGCCTCTAATTCCAAGTTTAGTTTCTCTCTTAGACAAGGTTCTCCTTAAGTGCTTCCTATTTCTGTTAAGGTATCCTCTCCAAAGGTCCAGGTTCCTTCCTTAGCCTGTAGCCTACTGTGCTCACATCCAAATACTGTCCTCATAAGTCCTCTTGATTCAGTTTCTAAAAATGTCTCTTGCCTCCTCCCTTCCTATTTTTACTTTGTTGTTTTTTGTTTTTTGTTTTTTTTGAGACGGAGTCTCGCTCTATCGCCCAGGCTGGAGTGCAGTGGTGCAATCTCGGCCCACTGCAAGCTCCGCCTCCTGGGTTCACGCTATTCTCCTGCCTCAGCCTCCCGAGTAGCTGGGACTACAGGCTCCTGCCACCACGCCCAGCTAATTTTTTGTATTTTAGTAGGAACGGGGTTTCACCGTGTTAGTCAGGGTGGTCTCGATCTCCTGACCTTGTGATCTGCCCGCCTCAGCCTCCCAAAGTGCTGGGATTACAGGCATGAGCCACCGCGCCCGGCCTATTATTTTTTAGAGACAGGGTCTTGCTGTGTTGCCCAGGCTGGAGTGCGTGGCTATTGACAGGTGCTGTCCTAGCTCACGGCAGCCTTGCTGAGCGCAAGCAGGCTCAGCTTCCTGAGTAGCTGGAACCACAGATGCCTGGCAAAGTACCCCACTTCTCAATACCACCTATATCTTTCTAATTCACTCTCTGGTTCCCTGACTCCAACAACCCTTTTTTTTTTTCTGAGACAGAGTCTTGCTCTGTCCCCCAGGCTGGAGTGCAGTGGCTTGATCTTGGCTCACTGCAACCTCTGCCTCCCAGGCTCAAGCAATTCTCCTGCCTCAGCCTACCGAGTAGCTGGGATTACAGACATGCGCCACTACACCTTGCTAATTTTTGTATTTTTAGTAGAGACGGGATTTTGCCTTGTTGGCCAGGCTGGTCTCGAACTCCTGACCTCAAGTGATCCTCCCACCTTGGCCTCCAAAGTGCTAGGATTACAGGCATGAGCCCAGCCTTGTTTTTACTTCCTATTTTATTGAAAAAAAAAAAAAAAAAAAAAAGCAAACAAAAAGGAACATCCCCAAGTCTGCCATTGCACCTGCTCCCTGCCTGCATCTGTGCCAGTGCCTCTGTCTTTTCTCCTGTTACTGAGGATGGGCTTTCTGTGCTCTCTACAAAGGCAACCTCTTTGCCTGCTTGAGTACATTGTTCAGCAAATTTTACCTTTTATTTTGGATGGTCACTGTGATAGGCTGAATAACACTTGCCCTAAAGGTGTCCAGAACCTGTGAATATGTTATCTTACGTGGTGAAAGAGACTTTGCTCATGTGATTAAGTTAAGGCTGTTGAGAAGACTATCATGGATCATCTGGGTGGGCCCAGTTTAATCACAGTGGTCCTTGTAAGAGGAAGGTCGTCGGGGTAGAGTGAGAGCAGATGTGATGACAGAACAAGAGGTTAGAGTGATGGGGGGACAGTGAGCCAAGGAATGTAGGCAGCTCTGAAGCTGCAAAAGGCGAGGAACAGATCCTCCTCTCAAAGCCTCCAGAATGAATGTAACCCTCCACAGCTGCAAGAGAACACATAAACGTGTGGGGGTTTTTTTGTTTTTGTTTTTGTTTTTTGAGACGGAGTCTCACTTTGTCACCCAGGCTGTAGTGCAGTGGCGCGATCTCGACTCACAGCAAGCTCCACCTCTTGGGTTCATGCCATTCTTCTGTCTCAGCCTCCCAAGTAGCTGGGACTACAGGCACCCGCCACTGCGCCCGGCTCATTTTTTTGTATTTTTAGTAGAGGTGGGGTTTCACCGTGTTGGCCAGGATGGTCTGGATCTCCTGACCTCATGATCTGCTCGCCTCGGCCTCCCAAAGTGCTGGGATTACAGGTGTGAACCACCGCGCCCAGCCACATGTGTGTTTAAACCGCTAGGTTTGTGGTCATTTGTGACAGCAGCCATAGAAAACTAATACAGTCTCTTTGCTTCATTCTTTCTACCATGCTGAGGTTTTTGTTTGTTTGTTTTGTTTTTTTGTCTTAAAAATTCCTCACTTCCCTTTCAACTCTCACCCTCTCATTTCTCTCCACCCTTTTACAGTAGAAGTCTTTGGGCAGGGCGTGGTGGCTCACGCCTGTAATTCCAGCACTCTGGGAATCCAAGACAGGCAGATCACGAGGTCAGGAGTTCGAGACCAGCCTGGCTAACACTGTGAAACCCCGTCTCTACTAAAAATACAAAAAAGTAGCTGGGCGTGGTGGCGGGCGCCTGTAGTCCCAGCTACTCAGGAGGCTGAGGCAGGAGAATTGCTTGAACCTGGGAGGCGGAGTTGCAATGAGCTGAGATCCCGTCACTGCACTCCAGCCTGGGGGACAAAGCAAGACTCTGTCTCAAAAAAAAAAAAAAAAAAAGAGAAGTCCTTGAACACCTTGTCATCGTTTGCTGTCTCCAGTTTCTCTTCTCCCATCTTCACTTGAACCACTCCAGTTCAGCTTTCTCCCTTACTACTCTAGGAAAACTGTTTTTGTCAAGATCACTAGTAACCCTAGGTTCTAAATCCAATGATCAGTTCTCAGTCCTCATCTACATAGTTTATCACATCCTCCTCCCCTAAAAATACTTTCTTCACCTGGCTTTTAGAATGCCACATTCTCCTGATTTTCTCCCACCTCACTAGTTGCACATTTCCCAGCTCTTTTGCTGGTTTCTCCTTCTTTATTTTTACTTATTTATTTATTTTTTGTGACAGAGTCTCACTCTGTTGCCCCGGCTAGAGTGTAGTGGCGCCATCTCGGCTCACTACAGCCTCCGTCTCCCGGGTTCAAGCGATTTTCCTGCCTCAGCCTCCCAAGTAGCTGAGATTACAGGCGCCCACCACCACGTTCAGCTAATTTTTGTATTTTTAGTAGAGACAGGGTTTCACCATGTTGACCGGGCTGGTCTCGAACTCCTGACCTCATGTGATCTGCCTGCCTCAGCCTCCCAAAGTGCTTTCCTGCTCTTTAAACCTTTAAAGTGTTCCTCTACTCAGTTATTTGGTGATCTCATCCAGTATTATGGCTCTGAATACCCTCTACATGCTGATGACTTCCCAGTGTGTGTATCTCATCTGGAACTTTCCCTAAATTCTGGGATTAGATACCCACCTATCTAACCCAGTAGGATGACTAATACTAATAAGCATCTTTTTTTTTTTTTTTTTTTTTTTTGAGACGGAGTTTCACTCTTGTTGCCTGGGTTGGAGTGCAATGGCACAGTCTTGGCTCAGTGCAACCTCTGTCTCCCGGGTTCAAGCGATTATCTTGCCTCAGCCTCCTGAGTAGCTGGGATTACAGGCGCCCGCCCCCACGTCCAGCTAACTTTTGTATTTTTAGTGGAGACGGGGTTTCACCATATTGGCCAGCTGGTCTCTAACTCCTGACCTCAGGTGATCCACCCACCTCGGCCTCCCAAAGTGTTGGGATTACAGGCATGAGCCACCGTGCCCGGTAGCCCAGGCTGTTTCTTAACTCCTGGCCTCAAGGGATCCTCCCACCTCAGCCACCCAAAGGGTAGGATTACAGGGATGAGCTACCATGTCCGGCCTTTTTTTTTTTTTTTTTTGGTTGTTATCTTTTAAGTTAAGAGACTAAGCTAGTTTTCTTGAAAACTGTCCTGCATTCTAGAGTGTTTCCTTGTGATATCATTTAACTTGTTCCTTGACCCCTTGTATTTCTTATAAACCAGAAGTTAAAGATCTAAAGTTCTTTGGTTAAATTTAGGTTAAACATGTTTGGTGGAAATATTTCCTGGGTGATGCTATGAATTTCACATTGTGTCACATGAAGAGATGAGTAACTTTCAGATTGATTTTTAGTGAGGCTACATTTGACTGGTTAATGTGGTGACTGGTAGAGTTTTTATTGTAAAAGACATTTTTCCTTTTGTAGTTAGCAAATAATCTGGATGATTCTTTGGAACATTCTATTTGTTTTACATGTTTATGTTGTTTTTCCTCTGTCTGTTTGCCAAGATATGGAGGAGCTGGAATTAGAGCCCAGCCTGTCTAACTCTATAGCCCATACCTCACCCTTGTCTCAGCATCTGTCTCTTCCTTGTCTTACCTGGCATGATGGGTTATATATGTCTGTTGTCCAGTTTGTGAGCTTATCAGAGGCAGCAATATTATATCATCCATTTTTATATCCATGCAGTACTTAAATTCACATAGCTGCAGAGTGGATATTTGTCCCAGATTAACAAAGAAGCATCAGAAACCTATGGCCTCCCCCCTGCACCTCCAAGAAACCCAAACTCTAGAGGTTCTAGCCATTAAGTATTAGAGTTGGAGAAGATCTCAGTGGACAGTGTGTGGTGAACCTCCACCCCTGTGACAGGCTCAAGACTTCTTTGGATATAGGAAATGTTCTCTTGAAGGTTTCTTGAGCAAGAATTTTGTTCCAGCACTGCCAGCCACAATGAATAACTCTTCTTCAGAGACGCGAGGACACCCCCACAGTGCCTCCTCTCCTTCAGAGCGTGTGTTCCCGATGCCCCTGCCCAGGAAGGCGCCTCTCAATATTCCTGGCACCCCAGTCCTCGAAGACTTTCCTCAGAATGACGATGAGAAGGAGCGGCTGCAGCGGAGGCGCTCGAGGGTCTTTGATCTGCAGTTCAGCACTGACTCACCTCGCTTATTGGCCTCCCCCTCCAGCAGGTGAGGTGCTCCTGGGCTGTTTCTCCTTGAGGCAGCCGCCTTGATATGGGCTGCGTAGGTCCAGGCATCTCCACAAAACTTCATGGGTCTAGGTTTTGAAAATTTAAACTATCATGGATTCTTGCCAGAGTTGTTTGTTTTTGTTTTCCATTTAGGAGTATTGACATTTCAGCTACTATCCCCAAGTTTACAAACACGCAGATTACGGAACATTACTCCACCTGTATCAAACTGTCCACTGAAAATGTGAGTATTTGCTGGTTTATTATTGAAGACGTAATCCCTTGATCACAGGGGAAATCCAGCTATCTTGTTTCTGTAGATAATGCACAATCAATGATGATAATTCTCTGGTGAGTCATCTTAGTGCTGGTGGTTTTACTGTTTACTCTGGACCCGTGGTGCACCTCCTGAGAGGCTGCCAGCTATCTGCTGTGTATCTAGAAAGGCAGCATGGCGCATGAGTTAATAGTAGAGTTCTGGAGCTAGCCTGAGTTGGAGGCTACATGCTTCTAAGCTGTGTGTGAGCCACCCAACCATTTTGCTTCCGTGTCCTCTGGAGAATGGGGGTAGTGCCTGCCTCATGAAGTTGTTTGGAGGGTGAGTCCCTTTGTGTGCAGTGCTTAGAGCAGGGCCTGCACACACTGAGCATTCAGGAATTTTGTGCCGTCATTCCCTAGCCTTGAACATGAGGACATGCCTGTGAGGATTTGGCTCTTGACAAGTGTTTTTGGGAAGAGAGATCAGTGACAATATGTGGGTATTCCTATGTAAAGACTTAGCTTCCTCTGTTAAAAGCAGCATTATTTACATGAGCCTAGGCTATAAATAACAATCCTTTCTGCAATTTTCTGTTTTCAGAAAATCACTACCAAGAATGCTTTTGGTTTGCACTTGATTGATTTTATGTCAGAGATTCTTAAACAGAAAGACACCGAACCAACCAACTTTAAAGTAAGAAGGATGTCCACTTTCTCTTGCATCTGAATTAAATGATGATGATTTCTACTACTTGGCATAACACAGTTGAATGCTGCAAATACATGAGAGACTTCTCATTTAGATGTTATGTTAGTTAATTTACTTTCTTTTCCTAAACTGATGAAATACAGAGAGAATATATATTCTGTTTATTCCCTATCAGTCATAGAGGGATCTTTGTCATTGCTTCCTTGGGGCAAGTAAATATTTTGTGAAGCTTGCTGTGTTTTACCTGTTCAGAAGTTGTTTTTTGTGTATCTTTGTGAGTGCAGCTCTGATTGTTTGACTAGGTGGCTGCGGGTACTCTGGATGCCAGCACCAAGATCTATGCTGTGCGCGTGGATGCCGTCCATGCCGATGTATACAGAGTCCTTGGGGGGCTGGGCAAAGATGCACCGTCTTTGGAAGAAGTAGAAGGCCATGTTGCTGGTAGGTGGGTAGGGATCTGGATTTAAGTGGCTCTTTTTAGGGCATACCAGGTAGTTACTTGAGTAATATACTAGAAGAAGGTCACAAGAAATAAGTGATCTCATTTTATTGAAGACAGGGCATTTTTAGAACCATATATGGTCTTACGTGAGAAGATACTCAAACACTAAAATTATATTTCCTTGAAAAAGAGAAGGGCCTTATAAAAGCGTTTATATTTTATTTAGGCCAGGTTGTGTAAACATCACCAACTAAGGAACTTCTGATCTGGGAGTCTTTGGAAATGGACTTGCGTGAGAAGCCAAATCTAATAGTTTGGTTTCTCCATAAGTTGCAGATTAAATATGCCTGATGTTTTGAGAGAACTGCGTGTTTTTTGTTTGGTTGGGGTTGGAGTTTTGTTTTTTTTTTTTTTGAAACGAGGCTCACTTTGTCACCCAGGCTGGTATGCAGTGGTGTGATCTGGGCTCACGGCAGCCTCTGGCTCCCAAGTTCAAGTGATCCTCCTGCCTCACCACCCCAAGTAGCTGGGACTACAGGTGTGCATCTCCATGTCTGGCTAATTTTTGTACTGTTTTGTAGAGACGGGGTTTTGTCATGTTGGCCAGGCTGGTCTTGAACTCCTGAGCTCAAGTGATCCGTCTGCCTCAGCCTCCCAAAGCGCTAGGATTACAGGCATGAGCCACCACACCTGGCCTCACATGTTTAAATTACGACAGGTTTTGAAGAACTTGAGTTAGTAAGTTCATCACATGCTTCAAAGCAGCCCTTGCAGTACGCAATTGTATTTCTCCTTTTAGATGGAAGTGCTACTGAAATGGGAACAACCAAAAAGGCTGTAAAGCCAAAGAAGAAGCACTTACACAGAACTATTGAGCAGAACATAAACAACCTCAATGTCTCCGAAGCAGATCGGAAGTGTGAGGTGAGGAACTGTATGCGCAGTGTGGTTTCTGACTAATTCAGAACCTTAGGGGCTGAGACTTGGCAGGGCTAAGGCTGCCTTGCTGGTATGTGCCTGTTTAAGCCTCAAGGGAGTAAAATATTCAACTGATATCTCTGCATTATCATCTTTTAGCTTGACAGTAAAGACTAAAAGTAAGTCCCTCAGTGTTTCAGAATGATTCAAAAGGAAGAGACTGCAAATTGCTGAGAAATCTAATTGATAAAAAATTAATTTTATTTCCTAGTAAATGTAGCAGTGGTTATGTTAGCTAACATTTAATGTACACATAGTGAGCACCATGTGCTTCCTTAAGCCTGTAACCTGTATTAACTCATTTAATCCTCACAACATTCTTGTATCATTTTAGGAAGAGGTAACTGAGGCACAATGACTTGCCTGAAACGACACATCTAGTAAGTGAGCTAGAAGTTGAAGCTAAGTGGTCTAACTCCAGAATCCTAGCTTTAAATCATCTATCTAGCAAATCCTAAGGAATCGGCTTAAACAAATGGTACTGGAGGCCTCATCTATAATTAGCACAGTTAATTTAAAGCAAACAGGTGTTACTACAATTTTATTTTTTAATTCTGCCATTAAAAACATTGTTTCAGTGAACATTCTAATACATATTATCTTTGCACTCGTATGGGAGAATATCTGTAAGAAAATTCTGAGACATGGATTTTAAGTTGCCCTCAAAAAAAGGTACTAATTTACTCTCCCACTAGCAGTAGACTAGATTACTTTTCTCTCTTACCTCCACAACATTCATAAATGGTAATTAAGGTCACAAAACTAGAATTGGTCACCAAGGAAATGAATGTATATGGGAAAAAGACTGGGAGTTCCTTTTCCCCAATCTTAGGAGTTCAGAGAGCTGAAAAAACATCCAGTAGGTAGGAGGAAAACCAGAAGAGCGTGGTATCCAAATGAGAAAATATTTCAGGGAGTGGGGAATGATCAACCATGCCAAATGTGGCAACCTGAGGCCACTAATGAGCTTGGAGTGGGGGCCCCTCTGAAACTCAAGCTCAGACCTCCAGGGAAGGGCTTGGCTGGTGCTAGTGTCCCTGAGTTTGAGGGAGGGGATTGTGTGCCCAGGACCCAGACCCTGGAACGGGGGCATGCTGGCTGGTGCTGGTGTCTCAATAAGGCTGGTTCTGTGAGTGTGAAAATCTGCCAGTGGGGTTCAGCTGCTGCTACAGGTGGGCTCTGCTGCAGCCGGGGTGGAACACTGCTGGGTGACGCTCTCCTAACATGCAACCTGCAGAAAGGAGCAGTGCCTTCTCTCCCTTGGAGCCTGTAGTCTCCCTCTAGTGCCCCTACTTGGTAAACCCTAACAGGGAGCTGCCGGCAAAGCTGAATGTCCCAGACCCTGCATCACAGCCAAGGAGAGAGGGTAGGCTTAGAGCTGAGAGGCAGTAGCTTAGTAACTGGGACATGGTGAAGTGTCATGAGGATTACTGACAAAAGACTCTGGGGTGGGGAGAGAGATATATATAGAGAGAGTAAATGAAAACAAATATGCAAAATGCTACCCATTGGGTAATCTGAGTAGAAGCTTTACAGAGATTCGTATTACTGTTTCAACATTCTTGTGGATCTGAAATTTTTTTTATGATAAATGGGAGGAAAGGACTGAAAACACTTGAATATAGGTAGTTGTTTTGAAGAGTTTTGCTATAATTTGGAGCAGAGTACTGGGATAGCAAATGGAGGGAAAAGTAAGGCCAAGAGTTTTGATTTTGTTTTTGAATGGGAGAAATGACAGCATATTTTGTTGATGACAGCAGTCTAGTTTGGAGAAGGGATTATTGATGATGCAGCAGAAAGGAGAATTGCCAGGCTGATGTCCTTGCGCAGGTGAGAGGTAGGGAATGGACAGCACAGGTTGGGCTCGGCTGACGGGTGTTGTTTGGGTGCACTCATGGGGGAGCCTTCTGGATACTGTCTTAAAACAGGAAGCCAGGTCATCAGCTTACAGTGAGGATAGGGAAGGAAGGCACTGGGGGCGTGAGGAGGGGAAAGGGTAGGAAAGAGTCCTCTAGGAGGTGGGCGAGTACATGAACTAGGGAGATATGGTGTGACTGTTAGACAACTTAGGGTCTACTTGAGGGTGGTGGCAGATGGATATAAAGTGAGGTCAGTCAGCATTATTTTGTGTCTCTGTCCAGCCGTGAATAGCTGTGTGGGTACAATCATGGAGTAGGCAGAAAGTTGGGTTTAATATGGGATCCTGTTGAGCTGAGTGAATGGACACAGCTGGAAAGGGACACTGGAGGAGGTGAGTGCATGTGTAAAGGTGTGGTTGCATTCACTGCTTAGGGAATTTTACCTCGGAAGACAGGGGAATGAGGGCAGTGGAAAGTAATATAATCAGTAGATTGTAGGCCTGGTGGGGTCAAAGACTTCGTGGTGTTGGGGACAAGAAGGGGTGAGCTGGAAATGTAGGAGGTGGTTGCCAGAGAGGGGCCCTAGAATTGAGGATATAGAGAGGTTGCAGTCATGGTTAATGAGTCAACTCAGAGCAGGCAAGGGAGCAAATGGCGGAGGCGGGGTAGGGGTCTTACTAGGCTGTCTTGGTGTCTTACTTGGCTGTCTTGGAGTCCTGGGTTTCTTAGGATGGAGACCATTGAAGGAGAGGATATCAACCAAGAGACAGTGTACTGGATGGATCAACATATGGATATTGAAATCAATAAGAGCTACACCAGGAATAAATTTGGAGACTAGTAATGAGCCATAAACTAATACTAAGATCTTCTGAGAAGAAGGACAGGTTGTGACCTGGGGATTGGAAGATGACTGCAACACAGATGGGCAGACAGTGGCAAAAGCTGATGTTGTACTCAGAGCTGGGGCATTAGAAATTGGGAGGGGGGATAGTTGGATGCTGCAATCACCTGGCCCACCTGTAGGCCACTGGTTTGACGGCTGTGAAGAGAAAGCAGCCACTGCAGAGGCCCGCAGGGGAAGCCTATCCTCAGGCTGGCACCATGTCTCAATTGGAGCAGTGCCCCTCAGCCTGTTTTTTTTTTTTTTTTATCACTTTTGCCCCTTCAGACCCATTTAGACATTTTGTGCCTACTCCTTCCCCTTAAAATGAAATACTAAGGAATAAGATTTTGTCAGATAGGGTAGAGATTTGGATAGGCAAACATTATTGTAATATCTAAGATTTTTCCCACCTAGCCTCTAGGAAACAGTTTTCACCCCTTGAGAGTGAAATGAGAACACCATTGAGAATACATAAATTAGAACAAGTAGGTGGAGATAATCCTCAGGAACTAAGTGGGCGATAGAGAGAATTTTGCTGATGACTGAGTCTAGAGGGCCCTGAGGAAATACCAGTTTTTGAGGAGGAGTGGGAGATGGGGGCTGTGGTGGGGTGGGAGGTGGCATCAGAGTTCTATAGATCTTAGAGTCCAAGAAATGTAGAATTGTGGGTGTCTTGGGTCTTTTTGTGTAATTAATAAATAAGCCAGATAAAGGGCAACAGTGAGATGAATGCCAGTGTTCTTACAGCAGATGGTAGTGGTAAGACTGAGTGTGCAAGGGGCTAGGGAGGTGGGGCCTTGCCATGCCCACTCTGAGTGGTGAGGTGAGCAGGGCATTGCTGTGCACGGGCAGGGAGGGGCCAGAGGAAGGAGAGTCACTGAGAATGAGGCCTAAGAGGGAGGGGAGAGGCGAGAGCAGCTGGCTCTTGTGGGGAGAGGGAGTTGTATTTTTTCCTTATGTGTGTGTCAGCATTAACCGTGGGTGATGTGTGTAGCATATCACCATGTTTAAAGACCTTGACGTAGGCCGGGTGCGGTGCTTAGCTGTTGACCTGGGAAGAGTTGTGAATCTCACTGTCATATACTATAAAAAATGGGGAACGCTGGCCCCAACCACATCTCGGTTTTATATTAGTGAATCCATTTATGCCAAGGTCTCTCTCTTTTTTTTTTTTTTTTTGAGATGGAGTCTTGCTCCGTCGCCCAGGCTGGAGTGCAGTGGCGCTATCTCAGCTCACTGCAAGCTCCACCTCCCGGGTTCACGCCATTCTCCTGCCTCAGCCTCCAGAGTAGCTGGGACTACAGGCACCCGCCACCATGCCCGGCTAATTTTTTGTATTTTTAGGAGAGACGGGGTTTCACCGTGTTAGCCAGGATGGTCTTGATCTTCTGACCTTGTGATCCGCCGCCCGCCTCGGCCTCCCAAAGTGCTGGGATTACAGGTGTGAGTCACCGCACCTGGCCTATGTCAAGGTCTTTAAACATGGTGATATGCTACACACATCTGAAGTGGTATTATTTATTAGTCATAGGGATCCAGAAAGCCCTTTCTACGTTCCCTTCCCTCCCCCAATTCTCCTTGTTTTTTCCCCTTCCCAGATAATCTGGAATTTATCTTACTGTCATTATTATTATTATTTTTTTTTGAGACAGGGTCTCGCTCTGTGGCCCAGGCTGGAGTGCAGTGGCACGATGTTGGCTCACCGCAACCTCTGTCTCCCCGGTTCAAACGATTCTCGTGCCTCAGCCTCCCATGTAGCTGGGACGCACCACCACGCCCAGCTAAATTTTTTTGTATTTTTAGTAGAGATGGGGTTTCACCATGGTGACCAGGCTAGTCTCGAACTCCTGATCTCAAGTGATCTACCCACTGGGGCTCCCAAAGTGCTGGGATTACAGACGCGAGCCACCGCTCCTGGCCCTTACTGTCATTCTTGCTTTTGATTCTATAGTGAAATGTTCAAATCAATCGGATTATTAAGTACAGGATGTTTGGAAATTCTGTTTTGTAGTCATCTTCTTTCTTACCAGGTAATCTCAATTCTGGGAGCCTGAGGAAAACGGACTATTTCCCAGGCCTGCATTAGCTTTTCCCATGATTATAAAGAGAAAAGGAGAGAGCAGCAAGTAGGGCTGATTTCGCTAAGCCTGATATTGACAGGCTGTGGTATGTTTATGCTAAGTGAAATGAATACTGTCATGAAGAAATGCCAAATACTCCAATCCTGGAAAGCTTTTTTTGCTCTGTAAGTTGCTGTAAACTTGTAATCATCAAGAGTATGGAAGATAAAAAAGAGGGATGGATTGTCACAAACAGAATTTAAAGCTTCAACTGTTTATTAAACTCTCATTTTCTTTTCTTTTTTTTTTTTAAGATGGAGTCTCACTCTGTTGCCCAGGCTGGATTGCAATGGTTCAGTCTTGGCTCACTGCAACCTCCACCTCCTGGGTTCAAGCAATTCTCCTGCTTCAGCCACCCAAGTAGCTGGGATTACAGACGTGCACCACCATGCCTGGCTAATTTTTTTATTTTTAGTAGAGATGGGATTTTGCCATGTTGGCCATGCTGGTCTCAAACTCCTGACCTCAAGTGATCTGCCTGCCTCGGCCTCCCAGTACACTTGGGATTACAGGTGTAAACTCTCATTTTCTTGGAGATCAGAAAGCAAATGTGTGGGTGTGTCTAGACCAGTTGAGAGCACTTCTTTATATATGAGCCGATCTCTTTTGGACACAGCTCTTTGGTATTTGCAGAACATTTGCTGTCATAGAGGATTCAAACATGATTATGCTTCAGTTCTTTATACCAGGAGAATACAGGTAGATGAATGCAAGGAAGGTCAAGGCACATGCTATAGGAAACCAGAGTTGGTAGGGCTCAGAGTTTATGGAAGAAGCAAGACTTGAACTGGGCCATGAAGGAAGGCTAGGTGTCTTGTCAGGTAGGCATTGCCAGGGAGGTGATTCTAAGCAGAGGTGTAAAAGCAAAAGCCATAGCACAGGAAGGTTCTGATTAGGAAGCTGGAGAGTATACGAGTTTGGCTAGCGCCAAGGATTTGCTTTTAGAAATCACCTAAAGAGATCTTGAACTTTATCATTCAGTCTATTGTAAGGCCTTTTATTGTGGTCCTTCCTTACTGTGGACCCTTGTTTCAGAAGGTTTCATCTACTCAAACTACACAGTCAGCCATAATTCATTGTCCCATTGAATTGCTTGGGGATATAAATCCCTCTGTTGTCACACATGATATAATTCTAGACACAAGTGAGGAACATTATCATAGTGCTTTCAGCTTTAATGTGGGTCAGTGTACAATTTCCATGTTGGCTCTGAAGTGCTGAGTATAGTTCCGTTAACTACCTACACAAGACTTTTAGGGGTGCAGGGCTCCAGGTGGGAAACCATTACTCTGGATAGCATTTGAGAATGGAATAGGAGTAACCTATTTTTAGGTATTTTTAGGATGGGGAAAAAAAATAGGTATTTTTAGGATGGGAATTGGGAGAGGCCAGAGATAAGGGTCATATTGCTGGCTCTGGGGATGGAAAGATGCACTGGGAGGAAACCGACTTGGACGTGTGGCTGCCTGAGGGCTAAAGGGATGGGAGAATGTGGAGATGACGAATGTGCTGCTCTGGGACAAAGAATGGTGAGATGGGTTTATGGTACGGCAGGAGCTGAACCTCAGTTCTGATGAGCTTGGACTCCGAGCTAAGGGGACCAGGGAAGAGCCAGGGAGGCACATCTGTGTTGTCCTATCCAAGCCCCTCTCTCTCCATAGTAGCCACGTTCTGAGGCATCAGGAAGACCTGTGAACCCCATACCCAACCGTATCTCCTGTCTCAAGGTCACCTGCAGAGTCCCAGGGGGCTTCTAGCCTCTTGCTGCACATGTGTGTGATTCACCCTGTCCCTGTTCTTATGCCCAGTGCCTGTTTTTGCCTTTGGGCTTGGTGTCATATGGCCATGCCATTCCTGCTCCTGACCCAGCCTTAGGGACCTTCTTAAAACCTCTCTCAGGTTTCACCCAGCCAGCTAGCCCTACTGACTCTGTCCTTTGCCTGGATATCTTGGGTATGTTCTTCCAAACTTTAGAAGATATTTCTGTTCAGAGGAACAATAGAGCCCTGTGACTAGCCCTATCATACAGGCTTTTTAAGCCAATGGCATTTGTTAGTGACTTATAGAAGGAGACCAGCAGCAAGGATACACGTCCAGATGTATTATAAAAAAGCCATTTGACACAGTGTACACTTGCCACCACATACTGTCTTCTGGAGCAGTATATGTTTATCTCCTGACTATAACCAGCCTTTCTTTTGAACCGGGATTTTATCTGCTCAATTAGAAAGCCACTTTTGTTGGGTGCGGTGGTTCACAACTGTAGTCCCAGTACTTTGGGAGGCCAAGGTGGGTGGATCACTTAAGGTCAGGAGTTCAAGACCAGCCTGGCTAATATGATGAAACCCCGTCTCTACTAAAAATACAAAAATTAGCCAGATGTAGTGGTGCGTACCTGTAGTCCCACTACTCTGGAGGCTGAGGCCCAAGAATCGCTTGAGCCTGGGAGGCAGAGGTTGCAGTGAGCCAATATCATGCCACTGCACTCCAGCCTGGGCGGCAGAGCAAGACTCCATCTCAAAAAAAAAAAAAAAAAACAAAAACAAACCACTTTTGACCATGAGTGGAGATATTTCAGTCCAGTGTATATACCTGCTAATGAGTGGGGCCAAATGCATGAGAATTTATCTTTCCCTTGGCTACATGCCGTAAATCTTCAGTTTCTTCTCTCTCTGTGTTCAGATTGATCCCATGTTTCAGAAGACAGCAGCCTCATTTGATGAGTGCAGCACAGCAGGGGTGTTTCTGTCCACTCTCCACTGCCAGGACTACAGAAGTGAACTGCTGTTTCCCTCTGATGTCCAGACTCTCTCCACGGGAGAACCTCTCGAGTTGCCAGAGTTAGGTTGTGTAGAAATGACAGATTTAAAAGGTAAGTACAAGTGATGCCTTTCACCAGAGCATTTCAGTCATTGGGGAATTTTTTTACATAACCATGGGGTACAATAAGCCCATCATGCTCTTATGTTGCTTAAATTACCCAGAAGTTTCCTCTGGAATGCCAAATTGTGTATCCTTTTGGGAGTGCCTTGCAACCCACTAACTTTTGTCTTCTCTGCGGCGTGGAGTCTAAAACGGTAAACCATCGCCTCTTGGTCTTGATGTGCCCGGTACCTTAGGTGCCCACTGTTTGCAGTCAGCTCTCCAAGTCACATTTGGGAGACCTGGGTTCCTCCTGGAGTGTCAGTTTGTTCTTGGGAAGGGGACTTAGAGAGACCTTTGCCTAGCCAGAGAGGCTTTGTTTTTATTTGCTCCCCATCCAGGGGGCCCTGAGGAGAAGAGAGCGTTGTGAATTGTTTTGAGACTCCTCTGCAGCAGTCTAAGAACTGATCTCTCCTATTATCAGTCCCCTATACTGGCTTGACAGAGATTTTAGCATCCCTCCCATATACGCCTCCACGCCTGAGTTGGGGGTTCTCCTTGGGATGTTGTAATGAGGTGCCAGCAGGTAGGGAGGCCAGGTGCGTGCAGTGCAGTAGCTACACTTGGGGTCCCAGAAGAGCTGCCCCCTCCTGCACATTTCCAATGCAGTGTTCGTACTCTCGCTGATCTTCATCTCAAGTGCGGTCATTTTTATGTGTTGAATGAAATTAATACTTCCCCTCCAGGCTGGGCAGTTGTTAGCTCCCATTCTTGTCATTTCTATTCTTGCCTCAATTTTGTTTAGTATAGTTTTTGTGCTAACGATCTATTTTCCAAGTTTGTGCTCTCATTTGGGGCTCTAATCCCCTGAAGTAAGTCTTCTCTAGTTTGGGACTAAAAATAAGTTAAAGTACCATTACATGATTGCCTATGTACTTGGTGTATTTTTAAGACGAAGCGTTTGATTTCCCAGCTATAGCATAGGTCACAGAATTCATTTCAGAATCGAATGTCTGTGCTTTAGGTTTCTCCTCTAGTATTTTACTAATTTGTGCGATGACAGTGCATAGCCTCACTCCAGCGTGGGTGTGGCCGACGCATCTGCTCGCTCCCAGAAGAGGCAGGGACACAGACTGGCAGCTAGCCAGCCACTGATGATACTTGAGCCTTTGCTGGAGGACAGTGAGGTAACTGTGCCTCTCATCTCTCGTCCCACTCAGTATCATTCTGAAGGGAGTAAGGAATGCACTTGACCCCCTTCTAATCTCTCTTTGTGATCTTGCTATCCTCTCCAGCGCCCTTGCAGCAGTGTGCAGAAGATCGCCAGATCTGCCCTTCCCTGGCCGGGTTCCAGTTTACACAGTGGGACAGTGAAACACATAATGAGGTGTGGTCAAGTTTTAGTGGCTCATGGTTTCAGTTAGTTGGCTCAAGAGTGGTCCTGCCCAATGGGAACCAAAACTGTGGCATCATCTTTATTTAGCCAGGAGTACAGAAAATATTTCCTTTGGCACTTCTGTAGGGACAAAAACCCTGAGGGAGGAGGGTAGGGTTGTGAACCCCAGCAGGACTATTCTAGAGGTAAGTGAGTTCCAGGATCAGCTTTATGTCCTCTCTTCTGCTATCCTAGGGTAAGGCGGCCCTGGCATTAATCAGTGAACATTTATAATTAGATTTACTCTTGAATGTGGTTATCCCAGTGGCCTCGAATCTCTTAGGCTGCCGTCAAGCTTGAGGAATTTCCTGCTCTTTGGGGTTGAATCCCTTGGCACAGAGTTTCCTGAGAAATTGTCATGTGTAGAGCTTTCCTCTGTGTATTTTTAGCATGGCCCCCTTTAGCCTACTTACTACAATTTCCAAAATAAATGATCTCCATGGAAAACTGTTTTCTGCAAACATGTAGTTAATGGGTACAGAATCCTGTTTCATGTTTTACAAAATGTGCCTGACAACAATGCAGCTTCCTCCTGTGCTGCACAATATAAACTTCCCCCTCACTGTACTATCGTGAGAGTCTTGGCCCAGGCAGGCAGGGGATGGGAAAGGGAAGGGTGGCTCAGGGGAAGGAGGAGGCTGGAAACTGAAATTTAAGGGTGAGAAGGCTGTCCCTCCAGTGGTGATTTGGGGTGGTTATAGGAATGAGAATTACAGAACCCTCTTTTGTCCCTCCAGTCTGTGTCGGCCCTGGTAGACAAGTTTAAGAAGAATGACCAGGTATTTGACATCAATGCTGAAGTTGACGAGAGTGACTGTGGAGACTTCCCCGATGGGTCCCTGGGGGATGACTTTGATGCCAACGATGAACCTGACCACACCGCAGTTGGGGATCATGAAGAGTTCAGGAGCTGGAAGGAGCCCTGCCAGGTTCAGAGCTGCCAGTAAGGCTCTCAGAGTCCGAAAGTGTTTCTATAGGAGTTTTCCATTGGTTCTTTTTTCTTTTTCTTTTTTTTCTAATTAAAAAATTTTTCTTTCTTTTTTTTTCCCCCCCCAAAAATAGAGACGGGCATCTCACTGCATTGCCCAGGCTGGTCTTGAACTCTTGGGGCTCAAGCAATCCTCCTGCTTTGGCCTCCCAAGGTGCCAGGATTTCAGGTGTGAGCCACCATGCCTGGGCACTATCAGTTCTTAACAGATTTCCTGCTGGGGTGATTGAATTTGATGTCTGATTGGCTGGGCTGGTGTGCTGTGTCATACACATCAGCTGAGCTTTTCAGCTGAGCCTTTCTGACTCAGAGGAATCACACCTGGCTTTGAATGTCGGCTTAGCCACTTTGGTTATAAAACTGACATTGCAAGAGTTTGTAAGGATTAGAACAATGTAAAGCGTTTGGAACAAAGCACCTGGGATCTAGTAATTACGTCAATGTGGCTGTTGTTACCACGTGCATTTTGGTAGCAGAGAGCATGCTCCCTTTGTACACATTGCTTATAGTGTGGCTGTTGGTGACTCTAAGCCACCAATTTACCACCTGAAAGGTAAGCAAGTGGGGGTTAGGCAGTGTTGGGTTACCAGATGGGCAGACTGGGGACGAGCAAGGCAGGGAAAACAAAACCAACCAATAAATTGAGAATATTTGGAGGAGAAGAAGAAGAATTGGTTTAGTAATTAAATTTTTGATTACCCTAGTAAACATCATAAAAATAATCAGAACTTGGTTGGCCTTTATGTACTTAATAGGTTAGTATTGTTTTAATTCTAAATATGATTTGGAAGCAGGGTCTCACAACACTTTAATGTCATGGTCCTGTAAAGGTCTTCAATGGGCCTGGGGGTAGGAGATTTCATGAGATTAGAGTGAACAGTCCCTCTGTTAACTCCTATGTCTGTAACAGAGCTTTGCAGAACTGGGATTGGGGACAGCCAAGCTGGTTTTGAGTAAAACCTTAGAAGTTGCTTAGTATAATTTCCCGCTATGACAAAAATCTCTTCAAGACCCTGCTCGGATGTCTTTCCTAAGCTCATTTTGTCTGCCCTTGTGGGAAACGATTAGGCTGATAATGTCTTTTAAAGACATTATCAAGGCGCCACTGCCCATCCAGGCTCAGTAGCACCCTGCTCTCCGGAATTGTACTGTTCACATGGCTGCAATTTTGCCCCATTCTCATCGTGTCTTTTTTGTTTTTATGTTTTTTTGTTTTTTTTTTTTTTGAGACAGAGTCTCGGTCTGTCGCCCAGGCTGGAGTGCAGCAGCGCGATCTCTGCTCACTGCAAGCTCTGCCTCCCGGGTTCACACCATTCTCCTGCCTTAGCCTCCCGAGTAGCTGGGACTACAGGCGCCCGCCACCATGCCTGACTAATTTTTTTATTAGAGACGGGGTTTCACCATGTTAGCCAGGATGGTCTCGATCTCCTGACCTCATGATCCTCCCACCTCGGCCTCCCAAAGTGCTGGGATTACAGGCGTGAGCCACTGCGCCTGGCCATCCTGTCTTCTAAGAAGGGAGAAATGATAGGTTGATGGGATGAACTCTTAAAAACATCATTTTCAAATGTCAGAGAAAAGCTATCACTTTCCTTAAACAGTGAGGTGACATCTGAGGGACTGACAATAACAAAGGGCTTCCATGACTTTTATTTGGTTTCTGGAAGATGTTTTCTGCTGGTTATTTTGAACAAATGTCTCCACTTCTCTCCCCTATTCCAAACAGCACAAAATCTTAGACTCTATCCTACCTAGTACATTAGGCGTGGGAGGCTGCAGTTCTAGTCTCAGATTTTACCCATCCTTAAATCCCCTCCCCTTGCCACATCGCTGGCCTTTCCTGGGAATTCAGTGAGTGTTTGATCTGGAGTAGATCTGATCTTGCCGTTACTAGCCCTGAGATGTGGGGCAATGTTATCACCTTTTGCGGTCTTTGTT
This sequence comes from Homo sapiens, assembly GCF_000001405.40. Classification (NCBI taxonomy): domain Eukaryota; kingdom Metazoa; phylum Chordata; class Mammalia; order Primates; family Hominidae; genus Homo; species Homo sapiens. Next base: position 96,356,372 of record NC_000002.12, read on the forward strand.
TTCTCATCCATAAAATGCAAGGTTGGGACCAGTTGATAATAACAATATCTGATATTTATTGAGCTCCTTATTCTTTGTGCAAGATGCTGCGCCAGGTGCCTTATGTGTGTTATTTCACATAATTTACATAATATCTAAAATTAATTATTTTATTGCAGCAACCCTATAATTAGGTCCTATTATCCTCATTTTACAGATGAGGAAACAGGCTCAGAGAGTTTAATGGGGTGGAGCTGGTTGCCACCCAGCACCTTTGACCAGTCCTGGCCACATATAGTGAGCTTTGGATGGCAGGCTCCAGTCCACACCACCTGAGCATCTCAGTGGGTAGAGGGGGCCAGACATCACGTTACCATCCCCGGGTGATTGTGTTCTGCACCCAGGGCTGAAAACCACTGTACTCTACTGAGAGGTCTTCGGAGGCCTCTGGATGAAGGTGGGGTGGGGCAATGCTGAGTGATAAATACCAGTGTTGTGTAGATGCCTCACGTTATTGGTCTCTGCATGGCAGCACATTGACAACTGCAAGCGTAAAAGGTGGAGCTCTTTGTGCACATGCATTGGTAAGGACTGGTCTGCAAAAGTGCTTGATGTCTAAGAGTGAGCTCCCTCTCTGTGCAGCAGCAACAGCAGCCCAAGAACACTTGGAGCCAAGTGTTCTCTGGCCGACCCTTCTGTAGTACCAGCATGCTTACATAAGGCAGTTACTGTGGTTAATGACCTAGTCGGAGGTCAAAGCCCAGAACACAGCCTACTTCACGCATGCGAGAATGAAACATTCGGCTGCATGCTGCCTGATGTGCTGAGCCAGCTGGGAGGAGACCTTATCTTGCCAGTGTTAGGACAGTGGATTGAACCATGGCTAAATTGAAGGAGGGACCCTGTGATATTATGGGGAGGGGATAGAAGAAATACAGAGTTTTCCTGGAGGGACTGGAGATGTTTGAAGTGGGCAGCCTTGAAAAATGGATAGACTATTTTGGACTATAGGTGGATTCATTTAGTTGTTGAGTGGTGAAATTGGGACTGGTAGGATGCCTGCGACATAGCATTGTATGTTGAAAGAATTATTGAATTACTACAGTTCAAAAATCCTGCAGAGCCTCTGTCCAGCTCCATCACCAGAATTGGGAATGGGAGCCACTCTTCCTAATGGAAGAATATCCATCAGAATGGAGTGGGGATGCTGTTGAAACTTCTTCCTTCTACCTCTGGAGTTCACAGCACAGTGCATTTGTTACTTAATAACATGCTAGGTATCAGATTCTGTTACAGCACTAGGCCATACAGACTAGAAATGTGATTTTTTTATTGTGTATTTTATTTTTTTAAATTAGGTTTTAATTACACAATAAATGCACAAATGTAGTCTCCTGTTTTTGTTTTTTAAAATTCTGTATGTAAAGACAAAATCCCCTTTTAAAAGCCTTTTTAGCTTATTCCATATGGCTTATATAAACGGGAACTATATGTAGGCTCAATACAAATACAAGGCCACTCTTCTGAAACTTCTTGGTTACCTTACCTTCAGAGGGCAGTACAGCAGCACCAGCGTCCTTTCTGACATGTTGGAGCCCTTTAGGAGAAAGCTTGTACCTTGTGGAAAGAGTGAAAAATGGCTGGGCACGGTATAATCCTGACACGCCTGTAATCCTAGCACTTTGGGAGGCTGAGGCAGGAGGATTGCTTGAGGCTAGGAGTTCAAGACCAACCTGACCAACATAGTGAGACCCCATCTCTATTTTTTAAAAATGTAGAAAGAGTGAAAAACCAAACTGAAACTGCCATGCTGCACTGACCACTTAGACACTTTACACACGGCAAAGAATAAAGCTGGATGACCTAACAGATTATAAGGGGAGCCCCCAAAGCGTTAGAGGAACTAAATAATTAGACAAACATGTTTTTTCACTTTTAGTAGGAACTATAGCGGTATCTTTTGGAGCCCTCATTTACAGAAGGATGGTGACGAATGAGGGATTTGTCATCTTGTGTGGCAAGAAGCATGTGTGTGGAAAGACCCCGAGGCTGGGATTAAGGGACTTGTGTCCAGCTCCCAGCTCCGGCATTTTACTAGCTGTAGATTCTTACCCAAAGGAATTCTCTTTTTTTTTTGAGACGGAGTCTCACTCTGTCACCCAGGCTGGAGTGCAGTGGCGCGATCTCGGCTCACTGCAAGCTCCACCTCCTGGGTTCACGCCATTCTCCTGCCTCAGCCTCCGGAGTAGCTGGGACTACAGGCGCCCGCCACCACGCCCGGCTAATTTTTTGTATTTTTAGTAGAGACGGCGTTTCACTGTGTTAGCCAGGGTGGTCTCGATCTCCTGACCTTGTGATCCGCCCGCCTTGGCCTCCCAAAGTGCTGGGATTACAAGCGTGAGCCACCGCGCCCAGCCAAAAGAATTCTCTTTACTTTTGTCATCTTGTCTCTCAAATTAGGTAGACTAGCATTTTATGGTGCACTTTGAAACTTCCAGAGTACTTGTATAGATATGATTATATTGTTATAAAATTAAGGGAAGGAAAAGTACTTGAGAAGTAAAAGGAATTATTAATAATGAAGTTATTTGTATTGGACTCACAGAAATGCAGCTCATTTGCGGACATATGCTTCATATGTAAATACAGCATTATAATATATGTATTGTACATGTACAAATATGTGTGTTACAGGGAAGAAATGATTTCCCTTGGGGATGGAGACATCAGGACCATGTGCCCCCTTCTGTCTATGAAACCTGGAGAATATTCTTATTTCAGTCCTCGGACCATGTCGATGTGGGCTGGCCCGGATCACTGGCGCTTTAGGCCTCGACGCAAACGTATGTAATTCTAGGTGGAATTTTAAGAAAAGAAGTAGTGTAGATGACCAGCCAGTCAGCAGTTAGCCAAGGAAAAGAAATGCCAGTCACAGCCCTGTTGTGTCTCTTAATAAGCCGAGGAAGCATACAGATGAGCCAGCCTCCTGGTTGGTCAGTTTGCCTGGCCTGGGATGAAGGGACAGTGAAAATGGAAGCCTCTGAGTGAGGAGAGTGAGTACTGGAGTCAGGAGAACTGGACTCCCAGCCTCACACTGCTCCCTAGTATCCACATGACTTCACTCAGTGGTCACGGGTGGGCATGACCCCCGGGCACTAGAGGGCACACAGGAGCTACTGCACATGTTGGCATTCTGTAGAACTCCAAAGGGCTGTGCTGACCTTATGTGTTTTGCATTGTCTCTTTGAAAGAAAGGGATAAGCATCTGTTGTTTTATGTTTTGTTTTGCTTTTGAGACAGGGTCTCACACTGTCACCCAGGCTGAAGTGCAGTGGTGAATCATGGCTTACTGCAGCCTTGACCTCCTGGGCTTAAGCGTCCTCCCACCTCAGCCTTCTGAATAGCTGGGACTGCAAGGGCATGCCAGCATGCTCAGTTAATTTTTAAATTTTCCATAGTGATGGGATCCCGCTTTGTTGCCTAGGCTGGTCTCGACTCCTGGCCTCAAGTGATCCTCCTGCCTTAGCCTCCCAAAGTGTTGGGATTACAGGCATGAGCCACTGCACCTGGCCAAGCATATGTTTCTGATGTGTTTTCTTAGCCAAAACACAAATTATAAGTTTAGGATGAAAAGAGGGTGTGTGATTGAGCACTCCTACTGTTGTGATGCTCAGACACAATGCTGCCTTGTGGTTTTGATAAGCCTTGATAAGGCTGTCAGCAGATCTTGTGAAATGAGTAAATAGTTTAGGCCACAGAAGTGAAGTGCTGACGTCTGTGTTCACTCTGCAGAAGATGCTCCTTCCCAATCAGAAAACAAAAAGAAGAGTACAAAAAAAGATTTTGAAATTGACTTTGAAGATGATATTGACTTTGATGTATATTTTAGAAAAACAAAGGTTTGTACTGAATTTATTAGGATTGTGCTTACTCGTTTTTCCCTTTCAGATGTGATTTTTTAAAATTCCGTATAAATTTAACTGTTAGAGCAAACAGATGGTTTCATTCTTCCTTGTTCCTTAAACGCACTATTAAGAAATAGTCCTAAACTCAGTGGCAGAAAGAATCAAATTTAGAATAAAAAGAATAATGCTAGCAAAATCACTTTTTTACATAGAACTGTGAGACTGATGGTAGACTCATGCTGCCCAAACCCTTCCCAGACTGCTTTAAAAAAAGTAAGATGTTTTGCCCACTGTTAAAATGCCTAAAACACTTTTTTTAAAAAAATTAATAGGCTGCTACTATTCTGACCAAGTCCACTTTGGAGAACCAGAATTGGAGAGCTACCACCCTTCCTACAGATTTCAACTACAATGTTGACACTCTGGTCCAGCTTCACCTCAAACCAGGCACCAGGGTAAGCCTATTTCTTGGTTCCTTTAAGCACACAAGGTATCAAGTGGCTGATAGTATGACAGTTAGGCAGTGCCTTTGAGGAAAAGGGAGAATGTGAGGAGTGGTATGTGTTAGCCAAAGCGTGTTGCCAGGAAATCAAATAGATAAGGCAAAGAAAGCTAAAAGGAAAGGCTTATATGATGGACACACAGTAAACACTTGGAAATACCTTACCTGGCAAGAATGCTGGATACTGAAGCCTCCATGCTGAAATTCAGGGGGGCAGTGAGTGTAGTTTTTTGGTGAAGTTTCAACAGTTTTTAAGTTATTTCTTGATTCCTTTGCTTTCTCCTTTTTTTTTTTTTTTTTTTTTTTTTTGACAGAGTTTCGCTCTTGTTGCCCTAGGCTGGAGTGCAATGGTGCAGTCTTGGCTCACTGCAACCTCTCCCTCCTGGGTTCAAGCAATTCTCCTGCCTCAGCCTCCCAAGTAACTGGGATTACAGGTGCCTGCCACCATACCCAGTGAATTTTTTGTAGTTTTAACAGGGACAGGGTTTCACTATGTTGGCCAGGCTAGTCTCGAACTCCTGACCTCAGGCGATCCACCCACCTCAGCCTCCCAAAGTGCCAGGATTATAGGTGTGAGCCACTGTGCCCACCTGATTCCTTGGCTTTCTCATTGAAGTTGTGGATTTACTCACCAATTGCTTTATACAGTGAGGTTGCCTTACTCATGATCCAAGTCGAAGCGAGCCCAAGGTGACACACGGGCTCACATCCTCAGGAAGTCTCCTAGGGCTCTACAGGCTGCTGGGGCTCCTTCTGAGATTGTCACATGGAGCCTTCTGAATTACCTGGTGTTGCACCCTGATTACTGCCTCCTTCATTTGCCTGGGGCTCTTCTCACATGTCCCTGCTGACAGGGTAAGCAGTGGTTCGTGTAAACCATTCCATTCACATCCTCTGCTTACTTGCATTACTGGTTCTCCTACTCTCATGGAGTGTATTAAGACTTTATACTTTCCTCTTTATTTTGCCTGTTTTTCCACAAGATTTTAATGATATATATATATATATATACATATATATATATACACATATATATGTATATATATGTGTATATATATATATATATATATATTTTTTTTTTTTTTTCCCTGAATTGACTGATATTACACATTCTATTTGTTTTTTTGTATTTTTTTTTAGAGACAGGGTCTTGCTCTGTTGCCCAGGCCATAGTCCAGTGGTGTAATTGGAGCTCATTGTAACTTTGAACTCCTGGATTCAAGCAGTCATCCTGCCTCAGCCTCCCAAAGTACAGGGATTACAGGCGTGAGCCGTTACACCTGGCCTCACATTCTGTTTTTATAAACTAACCAAGATATGTTTTTCTTTCTGATCAATATTGTTTACTTCAATAGAAATACTCTTTTTTTTTCAGTCCTAGCTACTTGGGGGCCTGAGGCTATAGTAAGCTATGATCATGCCAGTGCACTCCAGCCTGGGGGACAAAGTGAGGCCTCATCTCAGAAAAGCAAAACAAAAAAAAAATTGTGATTCATGAGAGGGGGTCAAAATATCAACATTAACAGGAGTTTGGAAGAAGTTGATTCTGACTCTTATGGATGATTTTGAGGGGTTCAAGACTTCAGTGGAGGCCAGTCACGATGGCTCACGCCTGTAATCCTAGCACTTTGGGAGGCCGAGGTGGGTGGATCGCTTGAGGCTAGGAGTTTGAGACCAGCCTGAGCAACATGGCGAAACCCCGTCTCTACTAAAAATACAAAAATTAGCCAGACATGGTAGTGCAGGCCTATAGTCCTGGCTACTCAGGAGGGTGAGGCACGAGAATCACTGGAACCCAAGAGGTGGAGGTTGCAGTGAACTGAGATTACAGTACACTGCACTCCAGCCTGGGTGACAGAGCAAGACTCTGTCTCAAAAAGACTTCAGTGGAGGAAGTCATTGCAGATGTGGTATGCAGATGTGGTAGAAATAGCAAGAGAACCAGAATGAGAAATGGAGCCTGATGATGTGACTACATTGGTACAATATCCTGATAAAACTTGAATGGATGAGAAGTTGTTTCCTATGGATGAGCAAAGAACATTTTCTTGAGATGGAATTTACTCCTGGTGAAGATGCTGTGAACATTGTTGAAATGATAAAAAAAAAAGATTTAGAATGTTACATAGTCTTAGTTGATATAGCAGTGGCAGTGTTTGAAAAGATTGACTTTGAATTTGAAAGAAGCTCCGCTATGGATAAAATGCTATCAAACAGCATTGTATGCTTCAGAGAAATCTTTAGTGACAGGAAGAGTTGATTGATGTAGCAAACTTCATTGTTGTCTTATTTTAAGAAATTGTCGCAGCCACCCCATCCTTCAGCAACCACCACCCACCCTGACAGTCAGTAGCCATCAACATTGAGGCAAGACCCTTTAACAGCAAAAATATTACAACTCACTGAAGGCTGATATGATCATTATAATTTTTTAGCAATGAAATATTTTTAATTAAGGTATGTAAATTGTTTTTTAGACATATACTGTTGCACACTTAATAGACTCCAGCATAGTATAAGCATAACTTTTAAATTTGTGTGACTGGAAGTGCCTGTATTAAACACTGGACATTTGGCTAGGGACACCTGAGAGTGTGCCCAGAGGAGAGTATTCTAAATGAAGATGCAGTTAGAAGTTGTGTCATATGAAGAACAGTGGAAGAAAATGGGGCGTTTCTTAATTCAAGTATTTATTGTTTAGTAGTAGTTTTGGATTTGTTACAAGCACATTGTGGGTTTATTTGAGTTGTTTTTGAGGCACAGAATTATATTAAAATATTCAGTGTGCTCTTGTAAACTGTGCACATCTCCAGTCACATTTCTCCTACTTCAGAGATTTATATATCAAGTAGAAATCACTGGTCTAAGGAAGGACCTGCAAATATTTGAAAGACTGTGATCCATAGGCACTCGTAAAAGAGGAGCCTCATTCCACGAGGCTCTGGAATACAGAATGAGGATGATGGATGTAATTAGAGGGAAGAGCTGGATGTCTCTCCTTGTTGCCATGTAGGGAACAGTGGTTTCCATTCAGGAATGAGACAGGCTGTTAATTAAGGTAATGGGTTTTCCTTTTTTTTTTTAAAGACAGGGTCTCAGGCTGGAGTGCAGTGGTATGAGTATGGCTCAGTGCAGCCTCAACCCCTGGGCTCAAATGATCCTCCTGCCTCAGCCTCCTGAGTAGCTGAGACCACAGGCACACAGCACCATGCCATCTTTTTTTGTAGAGATGGGGTCTCACTGTGTTGCCCAACGCTAGTCTCAAAATTCCTAGGCTCAAGCAGTTCTCCCACCTCAGCCTCTCAAAATGCTGGGATTACAGGTGTGAGTCACCGTGCCTGGCTGGTAATGGGTTTTCTGTCAAAATTGTTCAAGTGCAACAAGGTGACTTTCAGAAAGCTGGAGGGTAGATTTTCCAACTTTTGTTTTTAGTGAAGGAACCCTTTTTCAGGTAAAACTGTGCAGAAGGCCTAATTGCCAGTCACACAGAAATAGAGCTGCTCTGGTTTATTTGGGATTGGTAGAGATGCTGAGCCCTGCTACTCCAGGTTTGCACTGTATAGTGGAAAAGTCTGTTAGACTTAGATGACTTGTGAGGGCCCTTCTGACTCTAAAATTGTATAATTCTAGGAGGAGATTGGGCATAGGAATTAAGATTTACTTCTCTAACCTAGTTCAGTAGCTTTTAACAAAATAGCTTTCTGCATTTATTCTTTCCTTTAGTTACTTAAGATGGCCCAGGGCCATAGGGTAGAGACTGAGCATTATGAAGAAATTGAAGACTATGATTACAACAACCCTAACGACACCTCCAACTTTTGCCCTGGATTACAGGTAAAGGGGGGAAAGGGGCTCTGTCCTCTCTTCTAAGCCAGGGAGTCGTTTTTCTCTGCTTCTCATGTCCCCATTTTATATGGTGGGAGACTGTTGGCAATTTTGAATCCAGTGGAGGTTTTCTGGGTAAAGGGTCTGCCTTCCACCCAGTGCAGGGAGCTGAGCAGAGTCAAGGAAACAGCCTCACCTTGGCCTGCCTTACCTCACATCCTACATGCAGGAAGCAAATGGCCACACTCAAGTGAATGCGTCGACATGTGGATGGGTGTTTAGCCTCTGCTACAAAGTACTAATCTTGGCTGTTGTGGGATTTCAAAGGAATATAAACACTTTGTCCTCTTATGAGCTAATATTTTGGCCAGGTAGACAACCAGATCACACCATATGTGATCTGGTGTGGCAAAAAATAAGTCTTCGGGGTGTATCTCAGATGACCAGATTTCTAGCTGTGAATGCAGTTCTCATATTGCAAGCTTGCTGTGAACTTGTACAAGCCACCCCCCATCTTTAGATCACGGTTTAGACTAAATAATTTCCATATCCCTTCTCTGAGTCTACTGATGAGATGGCTAATACAGGTAACAGAAACTGGAAAAATAGGCTTCATCTGTGTCCCTGTATGTGGAAAGGGGGGAACGAACTGGAAAAAAATGTATTCACCTTATTTTCTTACTTAGGAAGAGAGTTAGGCTGTTATATTTTAGTGAAAATCCAGACTGACCTCTTGACTAGTGCTTCTCAAACTTTAACTTACATACAAATCACCCAGGGAGCCTATTTAAGGACTGATTCCTGACCTGTGTCCCCCCACCCCACCCCCTGCCCGAAGATACTGATACATTCACTCTGGATGTGATCGCAAAAATGACTTTCTCACCTGCTTCTGGGTGGTATGCCTGCTACTGACCAGATGGCCCCAGGAATCTCCTGTGCTTTCCTTGGGTGATATGTTCAGGTCATATCTCCGGTATTTGAGGAATGTTTCTGTAAAATGAAATCCTAAATTTGTTAGAAGCTGAAGGGGGGACATAGTGGCAATTATGGTTATCGAATTCCTTTTAACTCCCGCTCAAAAGGTCTTAGGTTGATAACAGACACCTCTCTAATAGGGTTTACGTGAAACAGGATGATAACTAGAGGCACCTAGAAGTTCATCGTAGTGTAACTCACTGAGTGAACCATCAGATGGTCTCTTCTTGCTTTGTAAACATGGAGTCTATTTCAAGGGTGTTTCTGAGCTCCTCTGCAGCGTCCACCAAACTCGAAGAGCTGTTTCTTGCCCAGGCTGCTGACAGTGATGATGAAGATTTGGATGACTTATTTGTGGGACCTGTTGGGAACTCTGACCTCTCACCTTATCCTTGCCATCCACCTAAGACAGCACAACAGAATGGTGACACTCCAGAAGCCCAAGGATTAGACATCACAACATATGGGGAGTCAAACTTGGTAGCTGAGCCTCAGAAGGTACGGATGAAACAGCTGAGAATTACATTGTTTGCCTGAAATCTATTTAATTGTCTCTTATATGAGAGTCACGCAATCTGAGCTTGATTTCTTTTCTTCTCAGTTTTAACCTGTTGCTCTCCAAGTTTTAAATAGGGTTGTGGGAGTGAGCTGATGCTAATTAGGTTTGTGTGGAACTGACCATCTCTCCAAAGACCTTGATAAGACATGTAACTAGGGAGGAACTGGTCACCCAAATAAGGCATATGAATGAAGGCTGCAGGCAGAGAATATAAATTTATATGCTAATTCAGCAAGGCTAGCTAGCTAGCTGTGTGGCTCTGAAAAATCTTGGCCAAATTCAGTTTGTATTAAATTATCATGTATTAAACATTTATCTCTTCCATACCAGGTGGCAGGCTTTATGCTTGCCTTTATATTTGATTCATTTATCTCTTTTACACTGGAATTCCAGTTAGCCTTAATGTAGATTGCACTGGATTGAAAAGAAATTAGATTTGATATGAGGGACTCTATATAGTGTCCAAAGAGAGCTCTGGGCTGGGCGTGGTGGCTCACGCCTGTAATCCCAGCACTTTGGGAGGCCAAGGCGGGCAGATCACGATGTCAGGAGTTCGAGACCAGCCCGGCCAACATGGTGAAACCCCGTCTTTAATAAAAATACAAAAATTAGCTGGGCATGGTGGCAGGTGCCTGTAATCCCAGCTATTCTAGAGGCTGAGGCAGGAGAGTCATTTGAACCCAGGAGGCAGAGGTTGCAGTAAGCTGAGATCATGCTATTGCACTTCAGCCTGGGCAACAGGTCGAGACTCCGTCTCAAAAAAAAAAAAAAAAAAAAAAAAGAGTTTGAGACCGCGTGGCCAAAATGGTGAAATACCATCTCTACTAAAAATACAAAAATTAGCCAGGTGCCTGTAATCCCAGCTCCATGGGAGGCTGAGGCTGGAGAATCGCTTGAACCCAGGAGGCGGAGGTTGCAGTGAGCTGAGATTGCACCATTGCCATCCAGCCTGGGTGACAAGAGTGAAACTCTGTCTCAAAACAAACAAACAAACAAACAAAACAAGAGAGCTCTGTAGCTCCTTGGTTGAAACTGGATTCCTTCTTTAGTTGAACTCCAGACCTTTGTTTTTACAGTGAATTATGGTAAAAGTTTCTTTATTCTGCTTAGTTTTACTTTGTCATATACCTATTTCAGGTAAATAAAATTGAAATTCACTATGCCAAGACTGCCAAAAAGATGGACATGAAGAAACTGAAGCAGAGCATGTGGAGTCTGCTGACAGCGCTCTCCGGAAAGGAGGCAGATGCAGAGGTCAGATGCTCTTGCCTGTTCTCTAGGTGCCCAGCATGCGGGAGGGGAGTGGTTGATGTCTACAGCTGAAGACACCTCGATTTGGGCAATGCCTCCAATACAGAAATGTTCGTTCAAAAATACAAGGAGCTGGGCATGGTGGCTCACACGTGTAATCCCAGCATTTTGGGAGGCTGAAGTGGAAGGATCACTTGAGCCCAGGAGTTTGAGGTTACAGTGAGCTATGATATGATCGTACCACTACACTCCAGTCTGGGCAACAGAGAGAGATCCTGTATCTTGAAAAAGAAAACAAAAATAAAAGGAAGACTTCATGCTTCTAAGAGAGAAGTGAACCAAGTATACAAGTAGGCAGGTCACACAGACTGTGATACAAATAGCAAACTAGTGTGTAAGACGTGATTCAGCCTTGCTGGTAATCAAAAAAGACAAATGAAACAATCTTGATGCTACTTTAAAACAGCAGCAGTTTTAGTAATTAAACTGTTTTCCATTACTGAGGAGGAAAATTTGGAGTACTTATTCACTGCTGGTAGCAATTTAAGTTGCTCTATGCTATGAAATGTTTAAACCTTTTGATCTAATAATTCTGATTTCAGGAATGTATTCTCAGTAGGAAGATAGTGGAAAAGTAATTATTATACTGTCAGATTCTACTTCTTCAGAACAAGCTGAAACCTTGATTAACTTGGTCCACCTCAATGAAAGGAAGTCTCAGTTAATTAGAATCCTTCTCTCTTTCTGACTTCTGCTCAGATAATATTCTGAGTTTAGACCTTCTGTAGCTGAGAAATGAAAACTCATAAGTTGATTGAGGGCCCTGAGCTGGGTATCAGAGAAAGCTCTTCAGTCATATTTATAAAGTTTTATCAACTAGAACAGAATGGGATGCAAGTGTGTGTCTTTGTCTTAAGTGGAAAGTTTGAGTTTACTTTTAAATATGAATTTTGTGCTGCCCTTAGCAGTGTAGTCCAGTTGGAGCTATAAATAATCATGGCTTTGGCTGGGCACAGTGGCTCATGTCTGTAATCCCAGCACTTTGGGAGGCCGAGGTGGGTGGATCATGAGGTCAGGTGTTCAAGACAAGCCTGGCCAACATGGTGAAACCCCATCTCTACTAAAAAATACAAAAAATTAGCTGGGCGTGGTGGCGGGCACCTGTAATCCCAGCTACTCGGGAGGCTGAGGCAGGAGAATTGCCTGAACCCGGGAGGTGGAGCTTGCAGTGAGCCAAGATTGTGCCACTGCACTCCAGCCTGGCGACAGAGCGAGACTCCGTCTCAAAAAAAAAACAAACAAACATGGCTTTTTATTACTGCTTTTTTTTCTTGTTTGTTTTCAGGGCACCCTAGGACACTCTTTGCAGTGTGTCCTTTACCAGGGTGATGCTGGCTGTTGACATCCATGTTTACCACAATGTCATTAGAGCAGAGCTGAGGCACTGGTTCTCTTTGTAGATCCTTTTTCTTCAAAATAACTAAGAAATTTGTTTTCATTTTGTTTAGGTATAGACTTTTTGGTGACACAACTTTATTTTTGTTGCCCTTTCAAAAGTGCACTAGCCCTAACTGTCCGATGTATAAATGTGCTTCTGTTAGGCAAACCACAGGGAAGCTGGAAAAGAAGCGGCCCTGGCAGAAGTGGCTGACGAGAAGATGCTTAGCGGGCTCACGAAGGACCTGCAGAGGAGGTGCGGGCTGGCAGGCATGGGGGCTTTGTTGGGGCTCACCTCTCTGAGCTGTCCGCGTGGCAGGCCTTCCACACACAACCTGTTTCCTATGACATTTATAGTGGCTGTTCTGTTTTCTCTCTGTGTTGACAGATAATACAGACCAACTTTTAAAAAGGCGTTTTTCTGTGTCAGTGATCAGAGTGTAACAGGAGATATTTTATCTCAAATAAGAAACTAGAAAAATCTGCTTATAAAATGCATCTGAAAGATTTGTTTCTCATTAGTTTAGTCATTGCATGTGTGTATTATTCATACTTGATGAACGAGCTTTTGTTCTAACAGTTGGCAGTGACCTAAATACTTGCCCCTTTCTTTCCAGCCTGCCCCCTGTCATGGCTCAGAACCTCTCCATACCTCTGGCTTTTGCCTGTCTCCTACATTTAGCCAATGAAAAGGTAGGTAATTAAGGTAAGCATGGGAGTATTAGAGTATTCCCTGTTTATGTCAACTCATTTAGCTTTGTATTTGATCTTTCATGGGCTAACATAGGATTTCTTAAATACAGTGACTTATGTAGCACCTTCAACCCAAATGATTAGCCAGGCATCTAGAAGTAACTTAGGAAAAAGCCATCAGGTTTGATTAGCAATGAAAATAGCACAGAGGACCCAAATAGTAAGATTTTAGATGATGGAATTGTGATCGGTAAGTTCCCCAGCCTAAGAACACGAGGTGCTTTTACTTCACGGGGTGTCAAAGACTTTAAAGGCCAAAGCCTAGTAGTACCAAAGTCAAGACATATGGGAGACATGGCAGAGAGAAGAGGAGAGAAATGAGGATGAAAAGAAAACAGTTGCAGAAAGAGAAGAGTACTAAAATATGGAGGTAACAGTCAGAAAAGTCAAGCTGTGTGTCACAAGGAAGGAGAATCCTGAAGTGCCAGCTGGGTCAGCGTGGCAGACTCCTGTGCTAGGCCAGCCAACAGCTGCATAGCCATGGGACAGCTGTGGAAAGAGCAGAGGAGGGCACTCATTTTCTCAGGAGCCGAGTGGTACTACCCAGGGATACCACAGAGAGGGCAGCCAGCAGCAAGCCCACACATTTGAGCATCACTGAACACTTGGTATCCATTAGGGTCCCCAGCCAGCTGATGCACAGCCCAGCCTTTGGCACGTGCAGTAGAGGGCTATGGGCTGGGCCATGGCGTGTGCGGCAAGCACCACCCTGGGGCTGGGGCACCATGGCCATGGTGTGCACCAACACTGTCAACTCCCCAGGAGGAGGGGGTGGGCACTGGAGTGCAGTTACTATGTGAACGCCGAAATGTGGTTTTGGAGGGTGATTATGGGAATGGAATGGTAGCAAAAATGGGGTGCTGGTGGAAGCATCCAGGATTTCCTACATGCCAACATGTGACCTCTGGCCTCCTAATGAAATCAGGAGCAGTGAGGATTGGCTCCATTTTCCAGGTCTGACTCTGCTTTGGAGAGAAGTTGCCCTGGCCTGTGTGGCACAGCCATCAGCCAATCCCAGTGACCTACCACTGGAAGTCAGAGACCAATTTTTCTCTTGTCAATACCTTGCTTAGCTGACAACCTCATGAAGAAGAAGAAACTGTCCAGTTAGCAGAAGCTAGTTTTGATTCTGGGTGGGGAGCAGGTGTAGAAGAGCCACTGGGCCAGGACCAAGTGCTGTATGTCTCCAACTACTGTGCTGACCATTGGGCTTGTAACCACCAGTCTGGGTGTTCAAACCTGAGGCCTAAGTTGAAGAGCCCAGTGTAGTTCCCAAGAAGGAATGATTGTGCATCAGAGCCCTTGGGAATGGTTTTAACCCAGGAATGCTGAACTTGCATGGCTGCTGTTGGGGGGCAGTAAGGCGGTGACCGGTGACTGCGGAGAGAGGACATGCCCTGTTCACAAGCCTGTGAAGGCAGACATGCCCGTGGTTATGGGAGGTGGTAGTTCCTATACCTGACACATCCTAAAGCATCTGATATCACATGCAAACTATATGAAGAATGACTAAGAAAATAAAAAATAAATTATTATCATTGTTCTGACAAGAAATCTACAAGTGGCTCTGCTGAGGATATACCATCTGAGGTGGGTGGTGTGCAGGCCATCCATCTCTCTGACTTGAGAAGTGTCGGGGGAGGCCTGGAATCTCATTCGCACACCATCCTGGTGGAAATAGGTGCTGGTGACTCTCCAACATGGGTGCTGGTCTCCTAGCACATCAGGCTCCTAGGCTGGCCTCCAAAGCTCAGAAACCCTTCTGAGTCCAATTTAAGAGTGTTACTGCTTTCGCTCATCAGCCCCAGCCTGAAGGTCAGAGTGCTTCTCTGGGTGGTGTGTCTCCACAGAAACCTGACTTGAGAGAGCGGCTTCATGGCCCTCACTTGTTTCTTAAGGAGTCAGGCCAGGCCAACACTGCTAAGAAATATTAGTGACTCTGCGGCTTCACTGAGGTCGTGCTGCTCCGACTCCAGCTCTGCACCCCTGCTCTCAGTGGCAGTGCAGGCATGTTCATTTTGCTGTGATCAAGTCTCTTTTTAAGGGTCCCAGAGCTCTTGGTGTTTGAAGAATGGTGGGTGGCTACAGCCCATGACTTGTTGGGCTGAGCACCGAGGCCATTACTGGGGCCTGGCTTTGGGCTGTTTGAGAAAACTGGGCTTGTAACATTAGCCACAACAGTTACTGTTATAATCTACAGGGATCTGTGATAACTCAACACTTAGAGCCACCAAGAGAAATATTCTCAACGCTTCACAGCAGAACTTGACCTCCTCTTGGACTTCTTTCTCTCCATCTTTCACTCCCGTCTGGAGTCTGTTCCTCCACCACTGTGATAACAGTCTCCCCTCACATAGCCAGGCAGTGTGTGGGGCTTAGGAGCCAGTGATGGACGTGAGGCCCTCTGCCTTCATGTCTCTGCATGTTAGCAGTGTGCAACTACCAGAACCTGAGCTGCAGAAAACCCGCGAGGTGTGACTTGAGCGTTCTGTCTTTAGTGGCAAGGAAAGGTGCGAGTGACTGTTGAGCCCTGGCACATCCCATCTGCCTCCAGTGCAGAGCCAGGGCAGGCTGGTTGTGGTGAAGTTCGTCAGGAAAGGTCTCATAGCTGCTTAGTCCTGAGGGAAACACTGCCTGGGGTTGGGGAAGAGCTGGGAGGTAGGTAGGGAAAGGCCTGTGCAGAGACTGGCAGGAGGTCACTGCTGTCAGGAACTAATGGAGAGATGGGGCAGTGGGGTAGTTGAGGGGTGCCTGGAGGAGGTGCGCGTGGATGGGGTTAATACAGTAGTCCCCTAGTTTCCATGGATGGGGCATTGGGGCAGTTGGGGGTGCCTGGAGGAGGCATGCATGGTTGGGGTTAATATAGTAGCCCCCTGTTTCCACAATTTCACTTTCCATGGTTTCAGTTACCCACAGTCACCCATGGTCTGAAAATACTAAGTGGAAATCCAGAAATAAACAGTTCATAAGTTTTAAGTTGCAACTCTTCTGAGTAGTGTGATGAAATGTCACCATGTCCCGCTCCATCCTGCCCCGGATCTGAACCGTCCCTGTGTCCAACAGATCCACACTGCAGACGTGGCTCTCCCATTAGTCACTTGGTAGCCATCTCAGTTCCCAGGTCAACTGTTGGTGGTACTGCAGTGCTTGTGTTCCATTCCCTCTTATTTGACTTAATTTTTCTATTTTATTATTAGTTATTGTTAATCTCTTACTGTGCCTAATTTGTAAATTAAACTTGATCATAAGTATGTATGTATAGGAAAAAACAAGGTATATTTGTGTATACATATATATAAAAATCATATATGTGTATTTGATTTGGTACTATATGAGTTCAGGCATCCACCGGGGGCCTTGGAACACCCCTCGAGGATAAGGGGGGACGACTGACTATATGTATGTGTTGTGGCTCCTCATGACCTCCCATCTGCCTCCATTAGCATCTTCAGGGCAGACGGCTCAGCTCTTAGGCCCTTTATAGGGGGTGGGTTGCAGGAATCAGAGCCAGAGAAGGCTTGCTTTTTGCTTTTTCACCTAAGTCATTTTGTTATAACAAGGATTGGGAATCAGGTTTTTCATGCAAATTATACTTGCTATGAAACAGTTTTTCTTATAATCATGGGACAAACTTTCTTCTTTGTAGTCACTACCTTGTGACTGTGATTGGAATTTATGATTCTTTTATTCTCCGTATACCAAAGTCCATGCATGTTTTGGTCTTCCCTCAGAATCTAAAACTGGAAGGAACAGAGGACCTCTCTGATGTTCTTGTGAGGCAAGGAGATTGAGTTCACTATGGAGAAGTCAGCAGCAGGAGGCCCATCCCTTACTCAGTTGCCGGGACATCCCCAGTCTCGGGGGAAGAAGATGCCATGGGCTTATACCCAGGCTGTAGCCAACTACCAACGTGCCTGTTTGTTTGTTGCTCTTTCCTTCTCTCCATCATAGTCTGGGTGCCAGCGCCCTGAAGCTCCGTGCTCAACTGATTAAACTTTACTGCCCTATGGTGACCATCTAGGAGAGGGGAGGGCAGAGGGGGTGAGGGTACTATTCTGGATTGAGAAAACCTATATCCATTCTTTATATCAATGTATAGTTTTAGTCTCCTAAATTGATCTGTTATTTTCCAAACTATTCTCTTGTAGAAAATTTTCCAGTGGGCACTTAATGGTGCCCTTGAAGAACTTCCTAATCCATGTACATAAAATACATCATATGTACACTTATAAATGTATATAGAATGCTCAAAAATAAAATTCTTAATAATAGAACTGGCAAAATATTTGAGTGTCCACTAGATGAGTATCAGACCTAGTCCTTACCCTTAGGGGGATGCAGTCCTGGTTGTTATCCAGGATACACACCTGTCAGTATAAGGCAGAAGATGCCTAAGGGCCAAGATGGTTTGCCTCGGAGGAGAATGGAAGAGAGAGATTGCTGACTGGACATTCAGATGCAAGACTGGGTCCTGCTTAAATCCCAGGATTCTGCTGGAGGGAGCTGATAGTGATACTTGTCCCTTCTGTACATTGCTTCATGTAGCCTTCTCAGCATCCCTAGGAGAAACTTACTATTGTGACTCTCATGTTGGAGGAGGAAACGGACACCCAAGGTAGAGGAACTTGCAAAAGGGCAGCCGGCAAACTGTCAGGGGTGGCCTGAGCCTGGCAATCTGCCTCCAGAGTCTGCTCTCGGCCATTGTGCTATGTGCTACCTGGATAGGTCATACAGGCTCAGCAGTGGGTGGAGAGCAGTGCTCAGATTTGTCCATCTCCACAGAATGCAGCACACACACAAATGTACAAGTTCTTCCCCTAACCTCAGAGGAATAGGGGAATTAACTTTGCTTGCAATTTGGAACAATATTATAGATGTTGATCCAAGTAGTTCTGTTACTGGCTGGTCCTGGATCTCTGCCAGAACACCCGTCATCATTGACTGGCTAAATAGAGATCTTGGATATAGGCCAGAAGCAGTGAAGTATATAATTGGAAATTGCTCCTGATAATAACTTCCTTCTTAGCCAAAAACCACACAAAACAAAAATAATCCCCTCCCCACAGGAATATGCTTTCCAAATTGTGTCCAAAACATTACCTGCTCTGTTATATTGAGAAGGTTAGAGACTTCAGAGCATGCTTAGAAAAAGCAGTGGTGCCACAGGTGAGACTCCACACTCTGTCTTGCTGGGGCTGAAGCCTCCATCACTTTCCCAGGCCAGGTTAGTGCTGGGCTTCTTGCTTTCCTTCTATTCCTGAGAGTAGAACTGGCTAAGCCCATTCCTTCCCTCAGTCAGCCCCACTTCTCTATAGTGGGTTCTGGGGGTGGGGGGCTGAATTACCAGTAAAACTAGAAAGATTGGGACCAAGTGCAGTGGCCCACACCTGTAAATCCTAGCGCTTTGAAAGGAAGAGGCAGGAGGATTGCTTGAAGTCAGGAGTTCAAGACCAGCCTGGGCAAAATAGAACCCCATCTTTAAAAAAAAAGTTTAAAAATTAGCCAGGTACGGAGGTGTGTGCCTGTAATCCCAGCTACTCAGAAGGCTGAGGTGGGATAATCACTTGAGCCCAGGAGTTTGAGGCTGCAGTGAGCTGTGATCACACTACTGCATTCCAGCCAGGACAACAGAGTGAGATCCTATCTCTTAAACAAAAAAAAAAACTGGCGAGTTCAATACCAACTTCTACAATGAAATCCCCTTCCCCCCACAACCCTGCTTCTCCTAAGTTTCCCTCATTACATGGTTGCTGTGGGCTATGTGTGCTGTGGTCTGAATGTTTGTGTCTAAAATTCACATGTTGGTATTAAGAGATAGGGCCTTTGGGAGGTGATTAGGTTATGAGGGCAGATCCCTCGTGAATGGGATTAGTGCTCTTATAAAAGAGGCCTGAGGAAGCTTGTTCGTTCCTCTTGCCCTTCTGCCATGTAAGGATGCAATGAGAAGGCACCATCTGTGAGCAAGGAGCCCCTCACCAGACAGCAAATCTGCCGGCGTCTTGATCTTGGACTTCTCAGCCTCTAGAACTGTGAACAATAAATCTATTGTTTATAAATTAAGCAGTCTAAGTCATTTTGTTATAGCAGACAAATTGACTAAGACAGTGGGTATGCAAGATAAGTTTATTTTATATAAAATACTTTGGGAAGTAGGTGTTCTAGGACTGGTGTGACAGTTCCATGAAATTATGAGAGACCGGGGATCCTTCCAGCTCATCCTTCTGTTTCAGTGTGGCTGCTGGAATCCAGCCATCACATCCATAGTCTAAGCAGCAGGACGAAGGACTGGGGGAAAAGAGAACTGCTGCTCCCTGTTAAATCAGTTTCCTGGGGGTCGATATGAATATTTGCCACCTCAGGGTGCCACAAAGGTCCCCACCAGCAAGAAGGCTCCCACCAGATATGGACTCAACCTGGGACTTTTCAGCCTCCATAACTGTAATAAATTCCTTTGTCAGTTACCCAGTTTCAGGTATTCTGTTATAGGTAACAGAAAACAAACTAATACAAGTGGTAATGTGTCCAGCTAAAAATTTGGGTTCTGTTAAGGTTAAAAGAAAATTTGAGGTAGCCAGCAGTATCTGCCTCAGATGCTGAGAAGCCTCCTGAGATAAGAGCGTATACCATGTCCATAACTGAAGTTTTAACATTCTCTGCCAAACAGAACCAGAATTTAAGGGCAGGAGAATTTGCAAGATAGAATTTGCAATTTGCAAGAGGGAATTGCAATTTGCAAGAGAGGGGCAATTTGCAATTTGCAAGAGAGGGCAATTTGCAAGAGAGAATTGTGGGGCCCTGAGAGAGAATACATCCAAAGGAAGAGGGAACCAGGCATTACAAATTGAATTGAACAAGGACAGATATCTGAAGGGGGTTTGTAGTTCCCAGTAAAGTATGGTACAGCTAGGTGCACTTCCCTGGCCAGACCACCCTACAGTGTATGATCCCCCTGGGGAGCAAAAGGCTGCAGGTAACACTTTGGTGCCCTAGAAATTCTGCTGTGGTGCAACTATAGTGGATCACAGGCAGAGTGGGGCATTGTTCCCCTTCTTAGCACAGGATACTGGGTCATTTCAACACCACAAGGATTTGCAGCATCTGCGGCAACGAGTTTGGTGTCCTGGAGCAAGGAAAGGAACCGTTCATGGTGGCTGAAGCCAAGCTGCTCAGCACTGAGGCAGCAAGCCATGATCTAGGTCTTCGAGTAGAATTCTCAGTTTTGGTTCATTTAAAAATGTTTTTTGGGGGAATTGGGGATCATTTATGGGTACCAAAAGAAAAAAAAATGAATAAGATCTACTATTTGATAGCACAATAGGGTGACTATAGTCAATAATAACAATTGTATATTTTAAAATAAAGAATGTAATTGAAAAGAGTAAATGCCTGAGGGGATGGATACCCCATTCTCTGTGATGTGCTTATTTCACATTGCATGCCTGTATCAAAATATCTCATGTACCCCATAAATATATGCACCTACTATGTACCCACAACTATTTAAAAAATAATAAAATTTTAAAAAATTGTCTTTATGTTGCCTTTTTTTTTTTTTTTTTTTTGAGACGGAGTCTCGCTGTGTCGCCCAGGCTGGAGTGCAGTGGTGCAGTCTTGGCTCACTGCAAGCTCTGCCTCCCGGGTTCACGCCATTTTCCTGCATCAGCCTCCCGAGTAGCTGGGACTACAGGCGCCTGCCACCATGCCCGGCTAATTTTTTTGTATTTTTAGTAGAGACAGGGTTTCACTGTGTTAGCCAGGATGGTCTCGATCTCCTGACCTCATGATCTGCCCGCCTTGGCCTCCCAAAGTGCTGGGATTACAGGCTGCCTTCATTTTTGAAGGACAGCTTTACTGGATGTAGAATGCTTGGTTGATAGGTTTTTCCTTTGGCATTTGACTGTCTTCCAATGTCTTCTGGCTTCCATAGTTTCTGAAGAAAGGTAGGCATATACTCGTCACTATTCCTTTGTATGTAATTGCTGTTTTTTTTTTTCCCAGACTGCTTTCAAGATCTTTTCTATATCTTTGGCTTTCATCAGTTTAACTATCACATATCTAGGGGTAATTCTCTTTGTGTTTATTTACTTAGGATTTCTTGGGCTTCTTAGATCAGAAAATTAATACAGTGAGTTCCCATGGTAGCCATGTTCTATAAAGTCTCCGCAAGCACAGAATTAGCAAATGCTGAACCATTGCTCCTAGGTGAGATACAGGGTTAGCTTCCTGTGAGCCTCTGGTCAAAACATTTTCATCAACTGGTTAACACATAACCTTGTTTTATGTCTGCTCCTATTTAAAGACATTTAATATATCTTACAAATTAGAGGCAGTATTTATTAAAATAAAACACTAGCCAAGAAGGATTTAACATTTTCCTGGCCATGGGTAACACGACTGTAAATTTATTTGGCTTCTATCCTCACAAGAGTACTGTCCACTTAAAAAAAAAAATCATCTCATGAATCCACAAATTTAGCTGCTTTTTCATTCCATTCCATAGCTACCTCATACACTGTAGATGTCATAATACTTTAGCATTTTCTGGAATGGCTTCATGTAGTATAGATTGGCAAATTTCCTCCTTTGTACTGTACTGTTGGTTCATTAACATTGAACTCATAGCTAACAGCACTTTGAATCATGCCTGAATGAAGCCTATGTAACACACCTTTCATCACAACCTTCTTGCACTTAGCAGTACTTAAATGGGTGATCTACCCACCTCAGCCTCCCAAAGTGCTGGGATTACAGGCGTGAGCCACTGCTCCCAGCCTGGACTACTTCATATTACCCCACAGATCTTGGAGTTTCTATTTTTGCATATATGTGACAACTTTATTGAGATATTATTCATATATCATACAGTTCACCCATTTAAAGCCAGCACTTCAGCAGTACACTTAGGAGCCATTTTAATCAGCAAAATCACCAACAAAAAGAACCAAAATGGCTGGGCGTGGTGACTCACGCCTGTAATCCCAACACTTTCGGAGGCTGAGGTGGGCGGATCGCTTGAGCCCAGGAGTTCAAGACCAGCCTGGGCAACATGGCAAAACCCTGTCTCTACAAAAAAATACAAAAATTTGCTGAGTGTGGTGGTGTTGTGCCTGTGGTCCCAGCTACTCACAGGGCTGAGGTGGGAGAATCATTTGAGCCCAGGAGGTCAAGGCTGCAGTGAGCCATGGCTGCACCACTACACTCCAGCCTGGGTGACATAGCGACGGACCTCATCTCAAAAAACAAACACCAAAATGTGAAAAATATGGCACTAAAGAGACCCCAAAAGGCCACTTGTTTGCAGTATGAAAGCTGAAACAAGAAGGCAGAGTGTCACCTTGTTCAGCCTCAGATGGGAATATGTGCGTTGGGCAACTCAAAGTTCTTGCCACTCTACGTACATTCACAAATATCTGGGATTGCCAGCCAAGATGGCCGAATAGGAACAGCTCTGGTTTACAGCTCCCAGCATGAGCGACGCAGAAGACGGGTGATTTCTGCATTTCCATCTGAGGTACCAGGTTCATCTCACTAGGGAGTACCAGACAGTGGGTGCAGGACAGTGGGTGCAGCGCACCGTGCGCAAGACGAAGCAGGGCGAGGCATTGCCTCACTCGGGAAGCGCAAGGGGTCGGGGAGTTCCCTTTCCTAGTCAAAGAAAGGGGTGACAGACAGCACCTGGAAAATCGGGTCACTCCCACCCTAATACTGCACTTTTCCGACGGGCTTAAAAAACGGCGCACCAGGAGATTATATCCCGCACCTGGCTTGGAGGGTCCTATGCCCACGGAGTCCCCCTGATTGCTAGCACAGCAGTCTGAGATCAAACTGCAAGGTGGCAGCAAGGCTGAGGGAGGGGCGCCCACCATTGCCCAGGCTTGCTTAGGTAAACAAAGCAGCCGGGAAGCTCGAAATGGGTGGAGCCCACCACAGCTCAAGGAGGCCTGCCTGCCTCTGTAGGCTCCACCTCTGGGGGCAGGGCACAGACAAAGAGACAGCAGTAACCTCTGCAGACTTAAATGTCCCTGTCTGACAGCTTTGAAGAGAGCAGTGGTTCTCCCAGCATGCAGCTGGAGATCTGAGAACGGGCAGACTGCCTCCTCAAGTGGGTCCCTGACCCCTGACCCCCGAGCAGCCTAACCGGGAAGCACCCCCCAGTAGGGGCAGACTGACACCTCACACGGCTGGGTACTCCTCTGAGACAAAAATTCCAGAAGAACGATCACACAGCAGCATTCGAGGTTCATGAAAATCCGCTGTTCTGCAGCCACCGCTGCTGATACCCAGGCAAACAGGGTCTGGAGGGGACCTCTAGCAAACTCCAACAGACCTGCAGCTGAGGGTCCTGTCTGTTAGAAGGAAAACTAACAAGCAGAAAGGACATCCACACCAAAAACCCATCTGTACATCACCATCATCAAAGACCAAAAGTAGATAAAAACACAAAGATGGGGAAGAAACAGAGCAGAAAAACTGGAAACTCTAAAAAGCAGAATGCCTCTCCTCCTCCAAAGGAATGCAGTTCCTCACCAGCAACGGAACAAAGCTGGATGGAGAATGACTTTGATGAGTTGAGAGAAGAAGGCTTCAGACGATCAAACTACTCCGAGCTACAGGAGGAAATTCAAACCAAAGGCGAAGAAGTTAAAAACTTTGAAAAAAATTTAGACGAATGTATAACTAGAATAACCACTACAGAGAAGTGCTTAAAGGCGCTGATGGAGCTGAAAGCCAAGGCTCGAGAACTACGTGAAGAATGCAGAAGCCTCAGGAGCCAATGCGATCAACTGGAAGAAAGGGTATCAGTGATGGAAGATCAAATGAATGAAATGAAGCGAGAAGGGAAGTTGAGAGAAAAAAGAATAAAAAGAAACAAACAAAGCCTCCAAGAAATATGGGACTATGTGAAAAGACCAAATCTAAGTCTGACTGGTGTACCTGAAAGTGACGGGGAGAATGGAACCAAGTTGGAAAACACTGTGCAGTATATTATCCAGGAGAACTTCCCCAATCTAGCAAGGCAGGCCAACATTCAGATTCAGGAAATACGGAGAACACCACAAAGATACTCCTCGAGAAGAGCAACTCCAAGAAACATAATTGTCAGATTCACCAAAGTTGAAATGAAGGAAAAAATGTTAAGGGCAGCCAGAGAGAAAGGTCGGGTTACCCACAAAGGGAGGCCCATCAGACTAATAGCAGATCTCTCAGCAGAAAATCTACAAGCCAGAAGAGAGTGGGGGCCAATATTCAACATTCTTAAAGAAAAGAATTTTCAGCCCAGAATTTCATATCCTGCCAAACTAAGCTTCATAAGTGAAGGAGAAATAAAATACTTTACAGACAAGCAAATGCTGAGAGATTTTGTCACCACCAGGCCTGCCCTAAAAGAGCTCCTGAAGGAAGCGCTAAACATGGAAAGGAACAACCGGTACCAGCCACTGCAAAATCATGCCAAAATGTAAAGACCATCAAAGCTAGGAAGAAACTGCATCAACTAACGAGCAAAATAACCAGCTAACATCATAATGCCAGGATCAAATTCACACATAACAATATTAACTTTAAATGTAAATGGACTAAATGCTCCAATCAAAAGACACAGACTGGCAAATTGGATAAAGAGTCAAGACCCATCAGTGTGCTGTATTCAGGAAACCCATCTCAGGTGCAGAGACACACATAGGCTCAAAATAAAAGGATGGAGGAAGATCCACCAAGCAAATGGAAAACAAAAAAAGGCAGGGGTTGCAATCTTAGTCTCTGATAAAACAGACTTTAAACCAACAAAGATCAAAAGAGACAAAGAAGGCCATTACATAATGGTAAAGGGATCAATTCAACAAGAAGAGCTAACTATCCGAAATATATATGCACCCAATACAGGAGCATCCAGATTCATAAAGCAAGTCCTGAGTGACCTACAAAGAGACTTAGATTCCCACACAATAATAATGGGAGACTTTAACACCCCACTGTCAACATTAGACAGATCAACGAGACAGAAAGTTAACAAGGATACCCAGGAATTGAACTCAGCTCTGCACCAAGTGGACCTAATAGACATCTACAGAACTCTCCACCCCAAATCAACAGAATATACATTTTTTTCAGCACCACACCACACCTATTCCAAAATTGACCACATACTTGGAAGTGAAGCTCTCCTCAGCAAATATAAGAGAACAGAAATTATAACAAACTGTCTGTCAGACCACAGTGCAATCAAACTGGAACTCAGGATTAAGAAACTCACTCAAAACCGCTCAACTACATGGAAACTGAACAACCTGCTCCTGAATGACTACTGGGTACATAACGAAATGAAGGCAGAAATAAAGATATTCTTTGAAACCAACAAGAACAAAGACACAACATACCAGAATCTCTGGGACACATTCAAAGCAGTGTGTAGAGGGAAATTTATAGCACTAAATGCCCACAAGAGAAAGCAGGAAAGATCCAAAATTGACACCCTAACATCACAGTTGAAAGAACTAGAAAAGCAAGAGCAAACACATTCAAAAGCTAGCAGAAGGCAAGAAATAACTAAAATCAGAGCAGAACTGAAGGAAATAGAGACACAAAAAACCCTTCAAAAAATTAATGCATCCAGGAGCTGGTTTTTTGAAAGGATCAACAAAATTGATAGACCACTAGCAAGACTAATAAAGAAGAAAAGAGAGAAGAATCAAATAGACACAATAAAAAATGATAACGGGGATGTCACCACCAATCCCACAGAAATACAAACTACCATCAGAGAATACTACAAACACCTCTACGCAAATAAACTGGAAAATCTAGAAGAAATGGATAAATTCCTGGACACATACACCCTCCCAAGACTAAACCAGGAAGAAGTTGAATCTCTGAATAGACCAATAACAGGCTCTGAAATTGTGGCAATAATCAATAGCTTACCAACCAAAAAGAGTCCAGGACCAGATGGATTCACAGCCGAATTCTACCAGAGGTACAAGGAGGAACTGGTATGCTTCCTTCTGAAACTATTCCAATCAATAGAAAAAGAGGGAATCCTCCCTAACTCATTTTATGAGGCCAGCATCATCCTGATACCAAAGCCGGGCAGAGACACAACCAAAGAAGAGAATTTTAGACCAATATCCTTGATGAACATTGATGCAAAAATCCTCAATAAAATACTGGCAAACCAAATCCAGCAGCACATCAAAAAGCTTATCCACCATGATCAAGAGAGCTTCATCCCTGGGATGCAAGGCTGGTTCGATATATGCAAATCAATAAATGTAATCCAGCATATAAACAGAACCAAAGACAAAAACCACATGATTATCTCAATAGATGCAGAAAAGGCCTTTGACAAAATTCAACAACCCTTCATGCTAAAAACTCTCAATAAATTAGGTATTGATGGGACGTATCTCAAAATAATAAGAGCCATCTATGACAAACCCATAGCCAATATCATACTGAAAGGGCAAAAACTGGAAGCATTCCCTTTGAAAACTGGCACAAGACAGGGATGCCCTCTCTCACCACTCCTATTCAACATAGTGTTGGAAGTTCTGGCCAGGGCAATTAGGCAGGAGAAGGAAATAAAGGGTATTCAATTAGGAAAAGAGGAAGTCAAATTGTCCCTGTTTGCAGATGACATGATTGTATATCTAGAAAACCCCATTGTCTCAGCCCAAAATCTCCTTAAGCTGATAAGCAACTTCAGCAAAGTCTCAGGATACAAAATCAATGTACAAAAATCACAAGCATTCTTATACACCAATAACAAACAAACAGAGAGCCAAATCATGAGTGAACTCCCATTCACAATTGCTTCAAAGAGAATAAAATACCTAGGAATCCAACCTACAAGGGACATGAAGGACCTCTTCAAGGAGAACTACAAACCACTGCTCAAGGAAATAAAAGAGGATACAAAGAAATGGAAGAACATTCCATGCTCATGGGTAGGAAGAATCAATATCGTGAAAATGGCCATACTGCCCAAGGTATTTTACACATTCGATGCCATCCCCATCAAGCTACCAATGACTTTCTTCACAGAATTGGAAAAAACGACTTTAAAGTTCATATGGAACCAAAAAAGAGCCCACATCGCCAAGTCAATCCTAAGCCAAAAGAACAAAGCTGGAGGCATCATGCTACCTGACTTCAAACTATACTACAAGGCTACAGTAACCAAAACAGCATGGTACTGGTACCAAAACAGAGACATAGATCAATGGAACAGAACAGAGCCCTCAGAAATAACGCCGCATATCTACAACTATCTGATCTTTGACAAACCTGAGAAAAACAAGCAATGGGGAAAGGATTCCCTATTTAATAAATGGTGCTGGGAAAACTGGCTAGCCATATGTAGAAAGCTGAAACTGGATCCCTTCCTTACACCTTATACAAAAATTAATTCCAGATGGATTAAAGACTTAAATGTTAGACCTAAAACCATAAAAACCCTAGAAGAAAACCTAGGCATTACCATTCAGGACATAGGCATGGGCAAGGACTTCATGTCTAAAACACCAAAAGCAATGGCAACAAAAGCCAAAATTGACAAATGGGATCTAATTAAATGAAAGAGCTTCTGCACAGCAAAAGAAACTATCATCAGAATGAATCGGCAACCTACAAAATGGGAGAAAATTTTCGCAACCTACTCATCTGACAAAGGGTTAATATCCAGAATCTACAATGAACTCAAACAAATTTACAAGAAAAAAACAAACAACCCCATCAAAAAGTGGGCAAAGGATATGAACAGACACTTCTCAAAAGAAGACATTTATGCAGCCAAAAAACACATGAAAAAATGCTCACCATCACTGGCCATCAGAGAAATGCAAATCAAAACCACAATGAGATATCATCTCACACCAGTTAGAATGGCAATCATCAAAAAGTCAGGAAACAACAGGTGCTGGAGAGGATGTGGAGAAATAGCAACACTTTTACACTGTTGGTGGAACTGTAAACTAGTTCAACCATTGTGGAAGTCAGTGTGGCGATTCCTCAGGGATCTAGAACTAGAAATACCATTTGACCCAGCCATCCCATTACTGGGTATATACCCAAAGGACTACCAATCATGCTGCTATAAAGACACATGTACACATATGTTTATTGCGGTACTATTCACAATAGCAAAGACTTGGAACCAACCCAAATGTCCATCAATGATAGACTGGATTAAGAAAATGTGGCACATATACACCATGGAATACTATGCAGCCATAAAAAATGATGAGTTCATGTCCTTTGTAGGGACATGGGTGAAATTGGAAATCATCATTCTCAGTAAACTATCGCAAGAACAAAAAACCAAACACCGCATATTCTCACTCATAGATGGGAATTGAACAATGAGAACACATGGACACAGGAAGGGGAACATCACACTCTGGGGACTGTTGTGGGGTGGGGGAAGGGGGGAGGGATAGCATTAGGAGATATACCTAATGCTAAATGACGAGTTAATGGGTGCAGCACACCAGCATGGCACATGTATATATATGTAACTAACCTGCACATTGTGCACATGTACCCTAAAACTTAAAGTATAATAATAATAAAAAAAATCTGAAATGGCTGTGAATTCATTTGGGGGTTACAAATTTTAGCAAATAGGTGAATTTGCAAATATGGAACCCATGAATAACAAGGGTCAACTATTTTCCACCAAATTTTTGAAGATTTCAGCCATTATTAGTATTTTTTTCTTCCTCTTTCTACCCTCTCCTGCTGTTCAGTTACATGTATACTGGACAACTTCATTTTTTAAAATTTTATTTTATTTTATTTTAAGACAGAGTCTCACACTCTGTCACCCCATGCTGGAGTGCAGTGGTGTGATCTCAGCTCATTGCAACCTCCACCTCCTGGGTTCAAGCGATTCTCCCGCCTCAGCCTCCAGAGTAGCTGGGATTACAGGTATGCTCTACCATGCCCAGCTAATTTTTGTATTTTTAGTACAGATGGGGTTTCACCATATTGGTCAGGCTGGTCTCGAACTCCTGACCTCAAGTGATCTACCCACCTCGGCCTCCCAAAGTTCTGGGATTACAGGCTTGAGCCACTGCTCCCAGCCTGGACTACTTCATATTACCCCACAGATCTTGGAGTTTCTATTTTTGCGTGTATTTTACAAATTTATTGAGATATTATTCATATACAATTCACCCATTTAAAGTATATGATTCTGTGGTTTTTAGTATATTCACAGGGTTATGCAACTACCACCAACTATCACCAAAATTATTTTTTTTTAATTTATCTTTGTTATGGAGGGGGGGGTCTCCCTATGTTGCCCAGGCTGGTCTCAATCCTCGTGCTTTCAGCCTCTTGAAATGTGGGGACTCCAGATGGGAGCCACTGTGCTTGGCCCCCAAATCAATTTTTTTTCTTTTCTTTTTTTTTTTGAGACACAGTCTTGCTCTGTTGCCAGGCTGGAGTGCAGTGGCGCAGTCTCGGCTCACTGTAACCTCCGCCTCCCGGGTTCAAGCGATTCTCCTGTCTCAGCCTCCCAAGTAGTTGGGACTACAGGCGCGTGCCACCACAGCCAGCTGATTTTTGTATTTTTAGTAGAGACGGGGTTTCACCATGTTGGCCAGGATGGTCTTGATCTCTTGAGCTCGTGATCCACCCGCCTCAGCCTCCCAAAGTGCCGGGATTACAGGTGTGAGCCACTGCGCCTGGCCCCAAATCAATTTTAGAACATGTTCATCACCCCCTACAAGAAACTTTGTATCCCCTGGCCCCCTTCTCCTCATACATAGGCAACCATTAACCTACTTTCTGTCTCTAGAGATTTGCCTCATCTGGACATTTCATTAAATGGAATCGTAATACAATATGTGATATTTTGTGGCTAGCTTCTTTCACTTAGCATAACGTTTTCAAGATTCATCCATGTTGTAGCACGTTTTGGTACTTCATTCCTTTTTATGACCAAATAGTACAACATCTTGTGGTGCTGTAGTTTGGATAGAGACTGTTTGGCCCCACTGTGTCTCATGTTGAAATTTGATCCCTGGTGTTGGAGGTGGGGCCTGGTGGGAGGTGTTTGGATCATGGGGTCAGATTCCTCATGAATGGCTTGGTGCCATCATTGCAGTAATTAGTGAGTTAGTTGCCATGAGAGCTGGTTGTTAAAAGAGCCTGGTACCTCCCTCCTCTCTCTCTCTTGCTTCTGTGCTCTCGCCATGTGATCTCTGCAGTCACCAGCTCCCCTTCACCTTCTGGCATGAGTGGAAGCACCCTGAGGCCTCGCAAGCAGCAGATGCTGGTGCCATGCTTTCTTTACAGCCGGCAGAAATGTGGGCCAAGTAAACCTCTTTCCTTTATAAGTTACCCAGCCTCAGGTGTTCCTTTATAGCAACACAAATGACTGAGATATATGGATAGACCACATTTTGTTTATCTGTTCATTAGTTGCTGAACTTGAGTTGTTTCTACTTTTTGGCTATTGCAAATAATGTGGTATAAAATTAATGCACAAATTATGTGGATTTTTTTTCAATTCGTTTGTATACATAATTAGGAATGGAATGTTCAGGTCATATGTAACTAAGTTTAATCTTCTGAAGAATTGCTAGCTATTTTTGAAAGCAGCTGCCCCATTTTACATTCCTACCAGAAGTTCCCATTTCTCCACATCCTTGCCAATACTTGCTACTGTCCACATTTTTTTTTTTATTATGGCCATCCTAGTGGGTGTGAAGTGTCATCTCATTACAGTTTTGATATGCATTTCCCTGAAGACTAATATATACTCATTTTTCTTTAATCTTTTTCTTTCTGTTGTTCAGATTAGATAATTTCCATCAACTTCTCTTCAAGTTCACCAGTTCCTTTCTCTGCCATCTTCAATCTGCTCTTGAGCTCTGATATTGTTTGAATGTTTGTGTCCCCAGCAAAATTCATATGTTCAAACCTAATCCCCAGTGCAATAGCATTAAGAGGTGGGGACTTGGCCAGGTGCAGTGTGGCTCACACCTATAATCCCAGCACTTTGGGAGGCTGAGGTGGGCGGATCACGAGGTCAGGAGATCAAGATCATCTTGGCTAACACAGTGAAACCCTGTCTCTACTAAAAATACAAAAAAAAAAAAAAAAAATTAGCCAGGCATGGTGGCGGGCACCTGTAGTCCCAGCTACTCGGGAGGCTGAGGCAGGAGAATGGTGTGAACCTGGAGGCAGAGCTTGCAGTAAGCCAAGATTGCACCACTGCACTCCAGCCTGGGTGACAAAGCGAGACTCTGTCTCAAAAAAAGAAAAAAAAAAAAAAAGAGGTGGGGACTTTAGGCAGTATTTAGGTCATAAGGGTGGAGCCCTCATGAATGGATTCAAGGCCCTTATAAAAGAGGCCTGAGGGAGCTTGTTTGCCCCTTCCACCATGTGAGGTCGCAGCAAGAAGGAACAATCTATGAAGTAGAGAGTGGGCCCTCACCAGACACCCAATCTGCTGGTGCCTTGCTCTCAGACTTCTTAGCCTCTAGAACTGCAATACATTCTACTGCAATACATGTCTGTTCTTTAGAAGCTTACCCAGTCTATAGAATTTGGTTACAGCAACCCAAACAGAATGAGACAAGCCTATATAGCACAATTTTTATTTCAATTACATAGTTTTCAGCTATAGGATTTCCTTTTTTTTTTTTTTAGATAGAGTCTTGCTCTGTTGCCCAGGTTGTAGTGCAGTGGTGCAATCTCAGCTCACTGCAACCTCCACCTCCTGGTTTCAAGTGATTCTCCTGCCTCAGCCTCCGAAGTAGCTGGGATTACAGGCACACACCATCATGCCCAGCTAATTTTTGTATTTTTAGTAGAGACGAGGTTTCGCCATGTTGGCCAGGCTGGTCTCAAACTCCTGACCTCAAATGATCTGCCCGCCCTGGCCTCACAAAGTGCTGGGATTACAGGCATGAGCCACCTCATCCAGCCTTTTTTTTTTTTTAATGTAGAGACAGGGTCTCGCTCTGTTAGCTAGGTTGGAGTGCAATGGTGTGACCATAGCTCATCAAACTCCTGGGCCCAAGCAATACTCCTGCCTCAGTCTCCCTAGGAGCTACAGGAAGTAGGATTACAGGCATGTGCCACCACACCTGGCTAAATTTTTTTTGTAGAAACAGGGTTTCAGTATGTTGCCCAGGCTGGTCTTGAACTCCTAGGCTCAAGGGATCCTCCTGCCTTGGCCTCCCAAAGCTCTGGAATTACAGGCATGAGCCACCATCCCAGCCTAGGATTTCTATTTTTATTTTTATTTATGTATTTATTTTTCTGAGACAGATTCTGGTTCTGTCACCCAGGCCAGAGTGCGGTGGCATGATCTTGACTCACTGCAACCTCTGCCTCCCAGGTTCAGGCAATTCTCCTGCCTCAGCCTCCTAAGAAGCTGGGATTATGGGTGTGCACCACACCTGGCTAATTTTTGTATTTTTAGTAGAGATGGGGTTTTGCCATGTTGGCCAGGCTGGTCTCAAACTCCCGACCTCAGATGATCTGCTCACCTCAGCCTCCCAAAGTGCTGGGATTACATTTTTATTTATTTTTTATTTTATTTATTTATTTATTCTATTTTTTTTTTTTTTTTTTTTTTTTTTGAGACAGAGTCTCTGTCACCCAGGCTGGAGTGCAGTGGCGCGATCTCGGCTCACTGCAAGCTCCGCCTCCCGGGTTCACGCCATTCTTCTGCCTCAGCCTCTCTGAGTAGCTGGGACTACAGGCGCCCGCCACCGCGCCCGGCTAATTTTTTTTTGTATTTTTAGTAGAGACAGGGTTTCACCGTGGTCTCGATCTCCTGACCTCATCATCCGCCCGCCTCGGCCTCCCAAAGTGCTGGGACTACAAGCATGAGCCACCGCGCCCGGCCTTTTTTTTATTGTTTTTATTTTTAATTTGAGATTCTCCATTTCTTCATTGATTGTATATTTTCCTTCAATTATTTAAACATATTTATAATAGCTACTCGGAAGTCTTTGCTAAATCAAACATCTGGGCCCGCATAGCATCAATTTCTATTTGCCCCTTTTCCTGAATAGAGATCACATATTCCTGTTTCTTTGCATGTTTAGTAACTTTTGGTTGAACATTGGATATTGTAGATACAATGTTATAGTGACTTTGGATTCTGTCATGTTCTTCTAAAGATGCTTGGATTTTTATTCCAGTAAGCAGTTAATTGTCTGGATTCAATCTGCAAACTTCACATCCCTCACAGTGTAGTTATTGATATCTGTTCTTTTTGTGACCCGCTATTGCTTTAAGCCTGATCCCACAGGTCTTTCCTCTGCCTGCCAGATTTGGTGGCTAGCCAAGTATTTGGGCAGACATGGGGTTCATCGTGGCTGTGACTTCCTTGCTTCTAGGGATTCCCCTAATTTCCAGCCGCTCTGCCTGCTGTGTGCTCTGTCCTTAACTTCAGCTTTTTGAAACCCAAGATGCATGTGTTTGAGGCAAGGAGCATCAGACCCACAGCCCTTGTTCTGCATAGCTGTCTTTCAAGAGAAGACTCTTTCACCAGGCCCTGAGGGGTTTGCTTCACGTAGGCACAGCTGAACTGTCAGTGGAGCAAAGCAGCTCATGCCCAGAACTGTCTTGTTGTTTGCTTGTTTTGATTTTAGTTTTAGTTTAAAACTCTTCTGAGGCAGGGTGTGGTGGCTCAGGCCTGTAATCCCAGCACTTTGGGAGGCCGAGGCAGTAGGATCACTTAAGCCCAAGAATTTGAGACCAGCCTAGGCAACAGTGAGACCCTGTCTCTGAAAAAAAATCAATCAATCAATACATAAATTTTCCAGGCGTGGTGTCACACGCCTGTGGTCATAGCTACTTGGGAGGCTGAGGTGGAAGGATGGCTTGAGCCCAGGAGGTCAAGGCTACAGTGAGTTGCAATTGTGCCACTGCACTTCAGCCCGGGCGACAAAGCCAGACCCTGTCTCAAAAAACAAAAAACAACTATGGCTGAGTGCAGTGGCTTATGCCTGTAATCCCAGCACTTTGGGAGCTTGAGGCCAGAGGATCACTTTGAGGCCAGAGGATCACTTGAGCCCAAAAGTTCAAGACCAGCCTGGGCATTGTGGCGAGACCTCATCTCTACAAAAAATACAAAAATTAGCCAGGCATGGTGGCATGGGCCTGTAGTCCCAGCTACTCAGGAGGCTGAGGTGAGAGGATCACCTAAGCCCAGGAGGTCGAAGCTGCAATGAGCCGTGTTTGCACCAATTCATTCCAGCCTGGGGCTACAGAGCAAGATCCTGTCTCGAAAAAAATAAAAAATAAATAAAACTCTTCTGGTTTCTGTCTGATTTCCAGTATCTTTAAGTTTGGGGTTTTTGTTTTGTTTTGTTTTGATTTTTTTTTTTTTTTTAATACACAGAGTCTCACTCTGTTGCCCAGGCTGGAGTGCAGTGGCA
The DNA here is from genome assembly GCF_000001405.40 of Homo sapiens. Classification (NCBI taxonomy): domain Eukaryota; kingdom Metazoa; phylum Chordata; class Mammalia; order Primates; family Hominidae; genus Homo; species Homo sapiens. The sequence continues at coordinate 96,390,965 of NC_000002.12, forward strand.
TGATCATAGCTCATTGTAATCTTGAACCTCTGGGCTCAAGCGATCTTCCTGCCTCAGCTTTTGGAGTAGCTAGGACAACAGGCACATGCCACTATGCCCAACTTATTAAAAAAAAAAAAAAGAAAGTTTTGTAGAGATGGAGTCTCTCTATGTTGCCAAGACTGGTCTTGAACTCCCAGCATCAAGGAATCCTTCTGCCTTGGCCTCCTAAAGTGTTAGGATTACAGGTGTGAGCCACCATACCTGGCCTTTAAGTATTTTTTTTAAATCCAGTATTTTACTGTTTTGAAAGCCCCCAGCTAAATTGGGGGTCCGGTACCACAGTGCCTAGCAACACCGCCCTAACACGAAATAAGCAGGAGCAGGATGTGGGTGTTTACACTGTGCCTTTCGTTACTTCTAACTGTGGACAGCCTGCTGCTTAGTTGTCTGATCCATGACCAGGTGTCCCTCACTGGGAAACTTGTTTATACTGGCAGACACCTGGTGGCCCTTGTCTGACCCATGTCCTGCCTGCCCATTGCTCTGATGCTAGGATCCTGACCTTGTGTTCTCCCTGGCATCCCAGGGAAAACTCCGCCTGGGGTAGCCCCTGGTTCTTCAGATGGAGGGCGCAGTACACCATAATCAGAAACAAGCTGAAAGATTTATTACTTTCAGATCCTGGGCAGGGAAGGCACAGTGAGTCAGGAGGATGTCTCCTGTCCCTGGCTCACACGAAGCAGGAACAAAGGGTCAGGCAGAAAGAGAGAGAGAGAGAGAGAGAAAGAAAGGGAGAGACAGAGAGAGAGGCAGCAACTGACAGTATGTATAAGGAGGCTCATCAGAGCCCAGGAGTATAGATAAGGAAATAGGATGTGGGTCACCTTAAGTTCATGCACAAATGCCTGAATGGTCCATTAAACAGAAGCAGCAGGAAAAGTGGGGAGCTGCTAGGTGAGAGAGCTGCTTCTAAGTTCTTACCTCTGGTCACCTGCTTGAACCATTTGGGTGTGTGGTTCTGCTTCTAATGCCTAGGCAGCAACCTTCGCTGTGTCATTCCCATGACATTTATCACTGTTGGTTTGGGGGTTGGCGTGCTCACTTAACTCCTGCCTCTACCAAATGGTCACTCTCCACCAGTTGCGTGTGTGTGTGTGTGTTTGTGTGTGTGTATTAGCCCTTGCATGTGTGTGTATTATCTTGCATTGCTGAAAAGTAATACCTGAGACTGGGTAATTTATAAAGAGGTTTAATTGGCTCATGGTTCTGCAGCCTATAGGAAGCATGACACAGGCATCAGCTCAGCTTCTGGGGAGACCTCAGGGAGCTTTTACTCACAGTGGAAGATGAAGCAGGAGCAGACATCTCACATAGCAGAGCAGGAGCAAGAGAAAGAGAGTAGGGGGCCAGGTGCAGTGGCTCACACCTGGAATCCCAGCACTTTGGGAGGCCAAGGTGGGCAGATCACTTGAGGTCAGGAGTTTGAGACCAGCCTGGCCAACATGGTTAAACCACGTCACTACAAAAAATACAAAAATTAGCTGGGCGTGGTGGTGCGCACCTGTGATCCCAGCTATTCAGGAGGCTGAGGCACGAGAATCACTTGAACCCGGAAGGTGGGGGTTGCAGTGAGTCAAGGTTGTGCCACTGCACCACAGCCTGGGTGACAGAGCAAGATCCTGTCTTTTAAAAAAAAAAAAAAGAGAAAGAGAGTGCAGTGGGGGAGATGCCACACACTTTTAAATGACCAGATCTCACGTGAACTCAGTCACTATTGCAATGACAGCACCAAGAAGATGGTGCTAAACCATTCATGAGAATTCTACACCATGTTCCAATCACCTTTCATCAGGCCCCATCTTCAATATTGGGGATTACAATTCAACATGAGATTACGTGGCATCATGTATTGAAACTGTATCAGTGTGTGATTGTATGTGTGTGTTTCCCACTGCACTCAGCACCCAAGCATGTATTGTTGACCCCACACCATCAGGTGGCCTCCGCCAGCCCTCTCCCCTCCTGTCCACTGAGCCTCCCAGCTCTTCATCCTTCCCCTGCACACTGACCTTTTATATCTGTCCCTGGAGCAAACCATGCCCATTTCCGCTTGCTGTTCCCTCTGCATGGAATGCTGTGTTCCCAGGTTTCCAAGTGTTGACTCTGCGAGAAAAGGCCACTCCAAGAAAGAGGGATCTTAAAGATTCAGCTTCCATGTTACTTCCTGGTGTGTCCTTTCCTGACCTCCCAACATATCCCCCACGTCCCTCTCACCTCAGCCTCTTTTATTGTCTCCATGGCCTTATTGCTATTGAAAATGATCTCAGTTGTTAACTCCAGAACGGTAGCTCCCTAGGGGAGGGACCTTGCCTTCCGTACCAACCGGATCTCCAGCCTCTAAAGCAATATATAGTAGGTACTCAATAAACATGTACTGAATGAGTAAGTGATCCTTTTTTTTTTTTTTTTTGACGGAGTCTCGCTCTGTCACCCAGGCTGGAGAACAATGGCGTGATCTCAGCTCACTACAACCTCCACCTCCAGGGTTCAAGCGATTCTCCTGCCTCAGCCTCCCAAGTAGCTGGGAATACAGGTGCATGCTGCCATACCCAGCTAATTTTTTTTTGTATTTTAGTAGAGACGGGGTTTCACCGTGTTACCCAGGCTGGTCTTGAACTCCTGAGCTCAGACAATCCACCCACCTCAGCCTCCCAAAGTGCTAGGATTACAGACGTGAGCCACCGCACCTGGCCAGATCCCTTTTAAAACAAAAGACAAACTGACAATTAATCAGTGAGCAACCATAGGACATAGGGTTGGAGGTGCGGGCTAGGTACTCTTAAAATTGCCTAACAGTGCAGTGCTGGACCAGACCCCTAGCCTCTGTACGCCTCAGATTCCTCATCACCAGACAGGCATAACCATCCCTGCCTTGCTTGCTTCACAGGCCTAATGTGGACCGGAGTGCTTTGGAGAAAGTTGAAACTGTACAGGTATCAAAGAATGTCTTCTAGAAGAGCTGCTCCCATAATTCTGTAGATGTATTATGCTTTTTCTTAATCCCCTGCTGAAGCAAATTGGAAGTTCATTGCTTCCTACTAGAGTTTGCTACACATTTGTTTTTCTGTAAGACCAAGACCCCAGGATCCAAGACCCTCTGATTCAGCATCAGAGTCCTGTGTCTCAGCAATGGTTCTGGTGATTAAGCAAAGCAGAGACTGTCTGCTCGGCTGCATGTCATGTGTGCTGGATGCACTGTGGACGTCTGACTGGACACAAAGTGCTCCCTTCTGGGATGGATTGTCCCCAGACTCTTCTCCGTGGATTCTCCCAACAGTCCTGAGTTCATCGAATTTTATATTTTCCATAAAAATGACTTAGGAAATAAAAGGTTGTGATTTCATTTGTATATCTTTGTAAGATTTCTCACACGAGTAAATCCTCAAATCAGTGGGGAAAAACCTTTGTCAGATTAAATGGAACGATATCGTATTTGTGTCTCTCTAGTGGGACTGCCAGGCAGTGACTCTGTCAGTGGGTTGATATCTCAACACTCTGTTCATTCTAGACTCAACGTCTCTTCTCATTTATGACGTCCCCGCCACATCTCTGCTGTGACAATTCAGACTTTGTGCGGAGTGGCAGTGGGCAGTGATGGTCGCATTTCCAATGAACATAAACGTCCTTTGTTCCGTACGGATGGTGGCTGGGAAGTTTCCTTCAGAGGCTCTGCTAAACAAGCTTATTTTATTTCCGCAGGAAGGAAATAGAACAGTCGCCCAAATTTCCCTGCTTTTCAGAAGGCTTGGGGGCAAGCTGCTCCAGGTGTTCTGACCCCAAGTTCAAAGTAGCTTTTCCAAACAGAATTTATTTATTCATTTATTTTTTTGAGGCAGGGTCTTGCGCTGTCACCCAGGCTGGAGTGCAGTGGCATAATCATTGCTCACTACAGCCTCAACCTCCTGGGCTCAAGCAGTCCTCCCACCTCAGCCTCCCAAGTAGCTAGGACTACAGGTATGTGCCATCACAGCCGGCTAATATTTTAATTTTTTGTAGAGATGGGGTTTTGTTTTGCCATGTTGCCCAGGCTGGTCTCAAACTCCTGGGCTCAAGCGATCCACCCATCTCGGCCTCCTGAAGTGCTGGGGTTACAGTTGTGAGCCACTGTGCCCAGCCAAAATCTTTTTGCTACCGTCAGAGATGGTTTTCCCTGGATAAGGATGAGCAGGATTCATTTACAACTGGGCTCCTCAAGTGAAATCTAATGATACTTCCTCAGAAATAAAAATATTGCAGAGCCAGGAGCAGTAGCTCACGCCTGTAATCCCAGCACTTTGGGAGGCCAAGGTGGCCGGCGGATCATCTGAGATCAGGAGTTCAAGGCCAGCCTGACCAACATGGTGAAACCCTATCTCTATTAAAAATACAAAAATTAGCCGGGCATGGTGGCAGGTGCCTATAATTCCAGCTACCTGGGAGGCTGAGGCAGGAGAATCACTTGAACCTGGGAGGTGGAGGTTGCAGTGAGATGAGATCGTACCACTGCACTCCAGCCTGGGTGACAGAGCGAGACTCTGTCTCCAAAAAAAAAAAAAAAAAAAAAAAAGCAGAACCAGAAAACAGACTATCCTAGAAGAGAAAGGTGAAGAACAGAGCTGACCTCCCTCTTCTAGCTGAAGGAGGAATCAGGAGGAAAGAGGGTAAGAATCTCATGGCACCCAGAGGAAATGCAGCCACTGTGGAAGAGGAATCGAATCTGCTGAGACTGAGACACTCAGCTACCCAGTGGGTGTCACTGGCAAAACACGTGAGAACTGCTACTTTCTGTCAAAATGGAAGCCCAGTTAGGGGAATCATCTATCTCCCTGTTCTTACAGATAAATGAAAGTACTGAATTAATGGCATTGCCTTAAAAGATTCCCTCTGGTCTCAGTCATCTCCTATCAAAAACAGGGATGGGTGCTGTATGATGTGAGTCTAGCCAGGAGACCGGAACCTGTGATTTGAACAGAGAATTAACTATAAAGAGTTGTTTACAGGCATAGAGTTTTTCACCACCAAAAGGACAAAGCAAGAAGTCTAAGGAATCAGGGAAGTAGCAGTGACTGGAAGAAACCACCACCTCTAGGGCTGGGAAACTCAAAGAAAGAGAAAGATTTAGAGACCTTGAAGAGCTAAAACTCCGTAGAGCTAAAACTCTGACCCTTCTGCTCAGCTGGTGCTAGTGTTTTCAAGGAGCACAATGAGGGGGGTTCTGCGAGTGTTGGGAAATCTGCAAATGGCTGCGGCAGGAAGGAACTGGCAATGCCAGGGTGAGGAAGTGTTGCAAGGGCACGCTCTCGGGGTGGGAAGCAGACAGAAAGGGTCAAGTCCCTTTTCCTCCTGCCCCACAGTCTCCCTCAAATGCCTCTTGGGATAGCCTAACAGGGAGTGTCCGGCAAAGCAGAAGTATAGTTTGCAGAGCCAGACCCAGCATCTCCCAGTGGAGAAGAGTAGGTGGGTTTGGAGCTGAGAGACAGTGACTTAATAGCTGGCACCAGGGAGGTCCCATCTCTAAGGCTGTCCCCCCGCTCTGGGCTTCTAGGACTTTTCCTGCTTTTTACCGTTTTTGAAACAGCATTTACTTATATTTATTTACCTACTGTCTTAGTTCATTTGTGCTGCTAAAACGGCATACCTGAGGCTGAGTCATTTATAATAAATGGAAATGTATTTCTCACAGTTCTGGAGGCAGGTAAGTCCAAGCAGGTTTGGTATCTGGTGAGGGTCTGGTCTGTGCTTCCACGATGATGTCTTGAATGCTGCATCCTCCAGAGGGGAGGAACACTTATCTTCACACGCAGAAGAGTCAAAGGGGTGTGGCACACTTGCCCTCTTTGAATGACCCAGGATGACAGCATTACTCCATTCATGAGAGTGGAGGCCTCATGGCCTAATCACCTCTTCACCATTCCACCTCTTAAGACTGTTACAATGCCAGGCTGGCCAACATGATGAAACCCCATCTCTGCTAAAAATACAAAAATTACCTGGCAAGGTGGGGCACACTTGTAGTCCCAGCTACTCGGGGGTGCTGAGGCAAGAGAATCACCTGAGCCCGGGAGGGGGAGGTTGCAGTGAGCTGAGATTGCACCACTGCACTCCAGCCTGGGCGACAGAGCAAGACCCGTCTAAAAACAAACAAACAAACAAACAAACCGTTACAATGGCAATTACATTTCCAACACATGCTTTTGGGGAGACACATTCAAACCATAGCATTGCTCCTGGCCCCCAAAATTCATGTCCTTCTCACATGCAAAATACATATTCCATTACGATATCCCCAAAGTCTTAACTCATTCTAACAACAATTCAAAAGGCAGAATATCGTCTAAATCAGGTATGGTTGAGACTCAATGTGTGATTCATCCCTAGGCAAATTTCCTTCCAGCTGTGAGCCTGCAAAGTTAAACAACTTACCCACTTCCAAATTACACGAGACAGACATGGGACAGGCATTTCCATCCCAAAAGGGATAAACAGGCAAGGAAAAACGGCTAACTGGCCCGGAGAACATCCAAAACCCAACAGAGTCAACAACATCAAATCTTAAGGTTCAGTAGTGTTTCTTGACTATCTGTCCCATCTCCTACACACGATGAGGTTAGGGGTTGGACCTCCAAGGTCTCAGTCAGCCCTACCTCCATGGCTTTCCTGGGCTCAGCCCATGCAGTAGCTCTCACGGGTTGAAGTCTCAGGCCTGCAGCTCTCCCATGCTGGTGTGGCACGCTGGTCTCCCAGCTCTACAGTTCCGGGGTCTTGGGGGTAGCCCCACCCCATGTCTCTTCTAGGCTTAGTGGGGGCTCTCTGTGGTGGCTCCACCCCAGCAGCAGTTCTCTGCGTGGACTCTGAGGCTCCCGGAGGCATCCTTTGCAATCTAGGTGGGAGATGCTGTGGCCCCACAGCCTGTGCCCTCTGCGCTCCTGCACCACGCGCATGCTGCCCAGACTTACAGGCTTGTGCCATCTGGAGCAGCAGCATGAGCCACACCTGGGCCTGCTTGAACCACACAGCTGGGGTGGCCAAGGGGTGCTGTGTTGGAGTGCATAGAGCAGAGACTTGAGGCAGCCCTGGGGAGGCAGCCCGGGGCAGCAAGCCCTTTCTGCCCTCAAGACCCTCACATTCTGAGTCTGTGATGGAGGGGCAGCCTTGAAGATCTCTGAAGTGCCTTTGGGGTCATTCTCCCAGTGTCGATGAGCAGCATTGGCTATAGCACATACTAATCTCCTTGTCACTTGGCCATATCCCTGCTATTCTCCCTTGAATGTACTTCTTTAATCTTTAAATGACCACGTTGTGAATTTTGCACATCTTTCTGTTCTGCTTCCCTTTTAACTCTAAATTCTGCCTTTAAATCACTTCTCTTTTCTTGCATTTTACTTCATGCAGTTAAAAGAAGCCACACTGCACTTGAATGCTTTGCTGCTTAGATATTTCTTCTGCCAGATACCCTAGTTCCCTTCCCCTTCCCTTCCCTTCTCTTTTTTCTTTTTTCTTTTTTGAGATGGAGTCTCATTCTGTCGCCCAGGCTGGAGTGCAGTGGCACGATCTTGGTTCACTGCAACCTCTGCCTCCCGGGTTCAAGCAATTCTCCCTCTTCAGCCTCCCGAGTAGCTGGGACTACAGGCGTGCGCCACCATGCCCGGCTAAATTTTGTATTTTTTGGTAGATGTGGGGTTTCACTATGTTGGTCAGGCTAGTCTCAAACTCCTGACCTCAAGTGATTTGCCTGCCTCAGCCTCCCAAAGTGCTGGGATTACAGGTGTGAGCCACCATGACTTGCCATTTTTTTTTTTTTTTTTGAGACAGAGTCTTACTCTGTTGCCCAGGCTGGAGTGCAGTGAGTGGCGTGATCACAGCTTAGTGCAGTCTCTACCTCCTGGGCTCAGACTCTTGAGTATTGGGACTGCAGGCACATGCCACCACACCCGGCTAATTTAAAAAAAAAAATTTTTTTGTAGAAATGGGGTCTCACTGTGTTGCCCAGGCTGGTCTCGAACTCCTGGGCTCAAGTAGTCCTGCCTTGGCCTCCCAAAGTGCTGGGATTACAAGCATGAGCCCTCGTGCCCAGCCGAGTTCATCATTCTTAAATTCTGCCTTCCATAATGGCCTCAGGCATGGACACAATCCAGCCAAGTTCTTTGTCACCTTATAACAAGAATGGCCTTTACTCCAATCTCCAATACCTTGTTTTCATTTCGTCCGATGCCTCATCGGAATTGCCTTTACCATCCATATTTCTCCCAACATTCTGATCACAAACACTTAAACAATCTCTAAAAAGTTTCAGACTTTCCCTACAGCTCTTCTCCACTTCTGAGCCCTCACCAGAATTGCCATCAACACTCTATTCACGGCAGTACAGGCTTCTCCCAGCATTCACTTCAAAATGATTCCAGCCTCTACTCACTACGTGGTTCTAAAGCTGTGTCCACATTTTTAGGTATTTGTTATGGCAACACCCCACTTCTCTGGTAACACACACTCACACTAACACACACACACTCACACTAACACACACACACACTCACAACCTCACACACCCTCACACACACGCACACTCACCCACCCTCACACACACTCATGCACACTCTCACACCCTCACTCACACACACAGACACACACACACACACACACCATCCCTCCTGCATCCTCCTTCTGCCTCCACTCTAGCCTAAGCCTGCCTCCACCCTGGTGTCTGGGTGGGTTCTGAGACTACTTAGCCACTCTCAGCAGGTGCAGCTCTTGCCTCAGGGTGCCGAGCTTTCCCAGAGGCCTGCTCTCCTGCTGCCTCCATCCTCCACTGGGCAGGCCCTGCTCAAGGCTGAGGAGCCAGCCCCCTACTAACATCTGCTGCTGATGGAGGGAACTCTGCCCCTAAGACAGGTCACAAGGATGCCTCCCCCTTCCCTGTCACCTACCACTGCCCACAAGGCCCTGCTCCTGACATTCCTGAAATGCCATACTCTGAAGCACAGGGAAGGATGCTGAGGCAGAGGCTGCTACCACTCACTCATTACCACCCCTCTTCCCTCCTCAGCAACAGAACCCTGGCAATGTGTGCAGCTGAAGACTGCACCACCCAGGCAACCTTGCAATTAGGTGTGGCCAGGTGACTCCATTCTGACTTGTCCCAGTGACATGTCAGCGGGACTGAGAAAAGTGCTTTGAAAGAGCCCATCCTTCCCCGCAAGGACTGCGTCCTCCCCACGGTCCAGGATGCGGGTTCCAGGTGGATCTCCAGCAGCCAGCCCTCATGACTGCAAGGCGACCTTGAGAAAGGAAGCCATGTGCTACAGACACAGAAGATACAGAAGGACAGAGAGTCTGGGTCCCTAATGCCCATGAGCCACAGGGCCAGCCTTCCATTGCCTATGACAGGATTCTTTCATATAAACAAAACAAGACAAACACATATGCAATCAAACAAATGTAACTTCATCCTTTCTGTTACATGCAGCTGGTTTAATCCTTCCTGACACAGATGCAAACAGGTGGTTAATCCCCGGGGGAAGGAGAAAGGGCTGCTGCCCAGGTAGGAGGCCATGCAGCAAAGGGAGAACGCTGTCGGGGAGACAGATAACATCAGGGATTGGCAAGGAGGTGGGGAGACTGGTACTTGCCCCCCACCAATGCTGGTGGACAATGTTGGCAATATTTACAATATAAATGCACACGCCCTCCAACCCAACAATTACGTTTCTAGGTCTTTATTTTAGAGACACACTCATCCAGATGCACAGAGAGGCTTGTAAAGAATGTTCTTGGCAGGGTGCGTGGCTCATGCCTGTAATCTCAGCACTTTAGGAGGCCTAGGTGGGAGGAACACTTGATTTTGAGTATTTCAGACAATGCTGTGAAGAACATTCTATATTTCTTTGGGGTTAGAACAGCTCTTAGAATGTTCTTGGCAGCCTTGTTTGAAATACTCAAAGTAGCTGAATGCTTACTGTTAAGGAATTGTTGAACAGCCACACCATGTACTAATATACAGCAAAAACAAGCTCCTGAGGTGGAAGGAGCCCCAAAACACACTATTTTTCACTTTTTTTTTTTGGACAGAGTTTCGCTCTTGTTGCCCAGGCTGGCATGCAGTGGTGCGATCTCGGCTCACTGCAACCTCCGCCTCCTGGGTTCAAGCGATTCTCCTGTCTCAGCCTCCTGAGTAGCTGGGATTACAGGTGCCTACCACCACACCCAGCTAATTTTTTTGTATTTGTAGTAGAGATAGGGTTTCACTATGCTGGGCAGGCTGGTCTCAAACTTCTGACCTCAGGTGATCCGCCTGCCTCGGCCTCCCAAAGTGCTTACAGGCGTGTAATCCCCAAAGGGATTACAGGCATGAGCTACCATGCCCAGCCTATTTTTCACCTTTTAAGTGAAAAAAAAAAAAAAAAAAAAGCTATAGAAAAGCATACCACTTATGTAAGAAAAACAGAATATGCATACTATATACTTTTGTATAACCTTATTTTAACTTGATCATCTGCACCTATTTCCAAATAAGGTCACATTCACAGGTACTGGGGTTAGGACATTAACATGGTTTTGGGAACATGATTCAGCCCATAACACATATACTCATAAGGTTATTAGGGTGAGCTTTAATCCAATATGATTGGTGTCCACCAATTAGGATGGCTACTGTCAAAAAATCAGAAAACAGCAAGGTTGGTGAGAATGTAGAGAAACGGAAACCCCTGTGCAATGTTGCGGAGAGCATAAAATGGTACAACCGCTAAGGAAAACAGGATGGAAGTTCTTCAAAAAATTAAAAATAAAACTACCATATGACCCAGCAATTCCACCTCTGAGTATGTACGGAAAGAATGGAAAACAAGGTCTTGAAGAAATATTTGCACACCTGTGTTCACTGTAACATTATTCACAATAGCCAAATGTGGAAGCAACCTAAGCACCATCGATGGATGAATGAACAAAATGCGGTCTAGACATATAATAAGATATCACTCAGCCTCAAAAAGCGAGGAAATATTGACATACGCTAAAACATGGATGACTCTTCAAGACATGCTGAGTGAGATGAGCCAGTCACAAAAGACAAATTCTGTATGATTCCACGTATATGAGATATCTAAAATAGTTAAATTCACAGAGACAGAAGAATGTGGTTGCCAGAGGCTGGAGGAAAGGGGAGACTGGGGAATTAGTGTCTCATGGGTATAAAATTTCCACTTTGCAAGATGAAAAGAGTTCTGCAGATGGCTGGTGGTGAGGGTTGCACACAGTGTGAATGTACTAAATGCCACTAAACTGTATACTTAAAAATAGTTAAGATGGTAAATATCACAATTAAACATAATACATTTTAAAACGGAAATTTGGACACAGAGACACACACAGATGGAAGATGATGTGAAGACACAGGGAGAACACCATCCACACTCAAGAAAGGCCAGAGGCTTACAGAGGCTGGAGGGAGGCCTGGAACAGATCCTTTTTTTTTTTTTTTTTTTTTTGAGATGGCGTCTCGCTGTGTCACACATGCTGGAGTGTAATGGCACAATCTCAGCTCACTGCAAACTCTGCCTCCCGGGTTCAAGCAATTCCCCTGTCTCAGCCTCCCGAGTACCTGGGACTACAGGCGTCCGCCACCACACCGGGTAGTTTTTGTATTTTTAGTAGAGATGAGGTTTCACCATGTTAGCCAGCCTGCTCTCAAACTCCTGACCTCAAATAATCCCCCCGCCTCAGCATCCCGAAGTGTTGGGATTACAGGTGTGAGCCATGATCCACCCGCCTCAGCCTCCCAAAGTGTTGAGATTACAGGTTTGAGCCACCATGCCTGGCTGGAACAGATCCTTTGCTCAGAGGCCTCAGAAGGAACCAACCCTGCTGCCCCCTTGACCTGGGACTTCAGCCTCCCAAACTGTGAGATGATGAACGGTGAGAGAATGCATTTCTGTTGTTTAAGTCCACAGGCTGTGGTCCTTGTTACAGCAGCCCAAGCAAATGAACACAATTTGTATAGAAATACATAGGCGGCCTACTCCAGGCATGAGCCACCGCTCCCGGCCCTATATATTTCTATACAGAGTGTGTCCGTTTGTTTGGGCTGCCATAATAGTGCCTTGCCTGCAGTGTCTCTGATAACAAATCTTTTTTTTTTTTTTGGTGGGGGGGACAGAGTCTTGCTCTGTCACCCAGGCTGAAGTGCAGTGGCACCATCTCGGCTCACTGCAAGCTCCGCATCCAGGGTTCACGCCATTCTCCTGCCTCAGCCTCCCAAGTAGCAGGGACTACAGGTGCCCGCCACCACGTCCGGCTAATTTTTTTGTATTTTTAGTAGAGATGGGGTTTCACTGTGTTAGCCAGGATGGTCTCAATCTCCTGACCTTGTGATCCGGCCACTTCGGCCTCCCAAAGTGCTGGGATTACAGGCGTGAGCCACCGTGCTCGGCCAACAAATCTTTGGCTCAGGAGTTTGAGACCAGCCTGGGCAACAAGGTTGAACTCCACCTCTACAAAAAATACAAAATCAAAAAATGATAGACAGGCATGGTGGCACGTGCCTGTAGTCCCAGCTACTTGGGGGGCTGAGATGGTGTCACAGGATACTTGCGGTGTTGCTTTTCTGGCCAGAAACCTCTGTGGCCTGTGCCTGAGTTTTGCTCAGGCTTGCTGAGCTTGTTCCACCCACTTGGCCTGGCAGGCTGCACTCAGCTCACGTTACTGACTTGGATCCCATGCCTCCAAGGGCAAGCCAGACATGGACTGGCAATGGGTGTGTGAGTGAGTGAGCATGGGATCCAGCCACTGCGCACTGTCAGGCACACTGGCTGCTGCAGTGGGATGGGCAGCTCTAGGTGCCAGCATGGGGACCAGCTCACTGCAAGGCCATGGCTGGACCAGGTGCACCGCAAGGAGATTCCGTGGTTAGCACCAGGCAAGGTGGTGATGCTCAGAAGCTTGCAGACTCCAGAAACTGCAGGGATCCAAAGAGGGAGTCGCAGACTTGGCTCAGGGAGCTCCCAGGTCTGGGCTCCCCGAAGGGCCGCAACTCTTCTCTCCTTCTCTTCTCTCGCAATGTGGTAAGCGAGGGGTGTGTTTCAGTCCCATTTGTGTTACAGCTCTTTCAGCCCCACCATTCAGCAGGTCCCAAGTTTTTGTCCTGTGCCGAGGAAGAATGAGGAAAACAGACAAGTGGAGGGTGAACAAGGCAAAGAGGAGCTTTACTGAGCAACAGAATGAGTAGCAGGGAAGTGGGTAGCTCCTCTCCACAGGCAGATTGTCCTGTCAAGTGTTCAGCTCTCAGCAGAGAGGAGACCCTAGGTTGGGTAGCTCCCCTCTGCAGGGAGGTTGTTTCATCTTCTCTGTAGCTCTCAATAGAGAGGAGGATTTGGAGTGGGTAACTCTTCTCTGCAGGCAGGTTGTCCTGTCATCTCCCAAAATATGGCTGAGTCCAGGGCTTTTTGTGAGCCTCAGAGGGGGGGAAGTGCATGCTGATTGGTCCATGGGCGGCATGGGCAGGCCCAGGAAAAGGTGCCACCAGTTCCCCCTCCTCTCCTTGGGGCTGGCAGCCTGGCCCTCAGGCTTCAGGCCTTCCCCAGCCTAAAGGTGAGGCTTCACTGGGGACCCACCCCTTTCCGCCCCAGAGTCTGTCTGTTTCCTATTGCTTTCTATGGCGCCCATGCTGTTTGTGCCAAGGGGCACCTACAGGCCAGCACCAAGCTGCCCTCAGTGCCCCCTCAGCCTCCCTCCCCTGCTCATCAGCACTCAAAGTCCAGAGGGGGCTGAGGCAGCAGGGGGGAGGTGTTTCAGCACTGCCCCAAGCATGCGCACACCTGGCCAGGCTGCGATAGCACCCAAGCTTGACCCCAACCTTGTTCTGAGATCAGAGCAGGCACTGGGAGCAGGGAGAGGCCAGGCAGTGGGAGCAGACACCTGTGAGCCTGCAGGAACAGTGAGGGTTTCCTGGGCCCCCAAGAGTGCAGAGATGCCCAGGTCGACAACCACAGCTTGGGCAGCTGCACCTGCACCCAGGAGTGTGGGACTCCTGACTGCTCCCAGCCCCCTGGAGCACAGGGAGGCCCGGGTCCACAGCTGAGACTTAGGCAGCTGCCGTTGTGCCCAGGGAGCTTCCACTCTGCTAACTCGGAAGGGGTGGGGCTCCCGCTTGTCCCTGGTTCCAGCTGGCTCCATGGAGTGTGTAGCCCTGGCCACACCTCCCCTCTGTAGCTGGCATCTTGGCAGCAGCCGATCCAATGGGAGGATTGTGTGAGCCCAGGAGGTTGCAGTGAGCTGAGATCGCACGACTATACTCCAGCCTGGGTAACAAAGTGAGACCTGGTCTTAAAAAAAAGAAGGAAATATATAGCAAAAGTCTGGAAGACTGGATCCCTTTGAGGGGGACCTGGATGGGTTTAATAAGATGGGAGAAGAGCTTAATAAGAATCTCTTATTTGTATAATTAAAAAGAAAATGTTAAGATACATTTTTAAAACAAAAGATTCTTCATCTAATTTAATCCCCATCTCATCCCTCACAACCACAGCAGGAAAACTGAGTCCACATAGCAATTTCTCACCCTCTTTTCATTTTTATTTTTTGCCAGAATAAAAGGTGTCAGTGTTGCTCTGGCCACTGTTGTGGTTAGCAATGTGAATTCTGTGCCTTCAGTGCCTCTGATGGGAATCCTGCTTTGGAGGATGTGCCTCCTTCTCCATCCAGGGAGGAATTCCACCTGTAGCTTAAGACCCTCCCTCTGTTTAAATTCCTGGAGATTTTGCTGGAAGGAGTTGAAGGCAGGTTTCCTTTTGTAAGAGGCCATCCGGGCCACAATCTCAGGCCTAGAAGGGCTCTGAAATAGAGTTAGGGTGCCCCTCCATCCCCTCCTGCTGGAACAGTCACCAGACACCCCAGTAGAGGCCGTGTCTTCCCGACACCCTGCCCACCGAGACCCAGGAGGCTGGACTGCCAAAGACCCCATTTCAACAAGGGGAGCATCTGGATACTGTGTGGGCTTTGACAGGGAATAAAACAGGGTGTGAAACCCTTTTGTCCAACCCTGACTTTGGCAGGTTCTAAAACAGGTGGGGAGGCGTTGTAACACTGCTGGCTCTCCACAGTCAGCCTTGTCTTCCTTCTTTGCCCATCTGGCCCACAGGCTCAGGGAAGGTGACCAGAGTCCCATCTCCAGCTCAGCCCAATCTGATTGACTGAACCAGTCACAGTGGCCCCATTCCCCTTGTCCATTGTTGGTTTACAAATGGGCATGTGATGCAGCTCTGGCCAATGAGATGTACAGGAACATTTGCTGGGGGATAGTTTCTTAGTTTCTTTTTCTTTTTTTCTTTTCTTTTCTTTTTTGTTTTTTTAGATGGAGTCTCGCTCTGTCCCCTAGGCTGGAGTGCAGTGGCGCGATCTCGGCTCACTGCAAGCTCTGCCTCCTGGGTTCACGCCATTCTCCTGCCTCAGCCTCCCGAGTAGCTGGGACTACAGGTGCCCGCCACCACGCCCGGCTAATTTTTTATGTTTTTAGTAGAGACGAGGTTTCACCATGTTAGCCAGGATGGTCTCGATCTCCTGACCTTGTGATCTGCCCGCCTAGGCCTCCCAAAGTGCTGGGATTACAGGCATGAGCCACCGCGCCTGGCCGATGGGGGATAGTTTCTTAAAAAAACTCACAGCGAATCTTCCCCGCAGAGCTGGGAGTCTGCGTGGGCCTGCAGCTGCCATCTGGCAGGCATGGGAGGTGGGGCCAGGCTGTATGCTGAGGATGGCTGAGGGGGAAGGACTCTTTTTTCGCTCCTGTTTTTTTAAAGTTGTACATCAATATTTTATAATTGTATAAATTGTTGGAGTACAAAGCGATGTTATGATTTATGATTCTTTTTTTAGAGAGTGGGGGTCTTGCTCGGTTACCCAGGCTGGATTTCAGTGCCATAATCATAGCTCACTGCAGCCTCAAACTCCTGGCCTTAAGCGATCCTCTTGCCTCGCCTCTCAAGTAGGGGGGAGTATAGGCATGTGCCACCACATCTCTACACATTTTTTTGTAGAGATAGGGTCTTACTATATTGCCCAGGCTGGCCTCCAACTTCTGGCTTCAAGTGATCCTCCCGCTTCAGCCTCCCAGAGTGCTGGGATTACAGGCACGAGCCTCTGTGCCCATCCATGATTTATGATTCTTGATGGTACCAAATTGAGCTACTAAAGTAGCTGACCCGGAGTTGCCTTGCCTTGGGGCTGCCTGTGATGTGGGATGACAAAGCCTCCTTGTTTAGGTCATTGGAATTAGGTTTCCTGTTGCTCATGGCTGCAAACATCCTAACAGATATGTGAGGAGACCACCTCCAGCTCACCAAATACACCCCCTCTCCTTTCTTCTCAATAATCAGTGAAATTTGCTATTTCGTGCGCGCTGTGTTCCCTACCGCCGCTTGCTCCTGCTCAGGTGGGGTGAGCCTCCTCCCAGCCAATTACTGGAAATTTCTGCCAAGGGGCATCTTGGAGCCTCTCTCACCCCCGTTCTCACCAAATACAGGCACTTCCTCTGAGAGGACGGCAGAGGGCGCAGATTTAGCTTCTGTCCTGCGAATGAAGCACGCAGTACAAGGTTCCAAACTGCAAGTCAACAGCAAGCACGAAGCAGCCACACTGGAAATGGGGTGCCTCCATCGCCTGGGGCTGTGGGCTGCCATCCTCTGCCAAGCGGATGCTCTGCCACCAGCTCCACTGACATGGGCAAGCCACTTCCTGTCGCCCTGGCCCCCAGCTCCTCATGTGTAAACATGGGGGTTGAATGGGCCTCTTCCAACTAGCTGGGTTTCATCTGTTGGCTGAAAACAACGGTCCCAGTGTGCCAGCCAAAAGCAAGCCTTTCACGCCCAGACTCAGCCTCAGGGACTGCAGGGGCCAGCTCCCCCAGAGGGGCCCGGGGACAATGATGTCAAATCTGTGACATCAACACCCACACAGAAAGGATCCAGTCCTTTCAGCCTCTCAGACTCTCTCAAACTGTAACGAAATGGGTGGGGTTTTTTTTGTTTTGTTTTATTTTTGTTTGTTTGAGACAGAGTCTTGCTCCATTGTCCAGGCTGGAGTGCAATGGCGCGACCTCGGCTCACTGCAACCTCCGCCTTTCGGGTTCAAACGATTATCTTGCCTGAGCCTCCTGAGTAGCTGGGATTACAGGCTCCTGCAACCTTGACTGGCTAGTTTTTGTATGTTAGCCAGGCTGGTCTCAAACTCCTGACCTCAAGTGATCCTCCTGCCTCGGCCTCCCAAAGTGCTGGGATTACAGATGTGAGCCACTGTGCCTGGCCCGAAATGGTTATTTGAAAGGATACAAGGAGTGGCGTAATCACAGAACCAGACCAAACTGAGCCTACTCTGTTGATAAGAGAATGTCAAGTTACCTTGTAGGTATAACCAAGCCAAAACTGCGAGTCATGTAGTCCAGGCACAATAGAAAAAGCTTTGACCTCTAACAACACCGGAACCAATGATTTCTTCCTGCAGAGCCAACAGGACTGGGACATGACCAGAACCTGAACACTGGAACCCTTTCAAAAGGAAGGAGTCTATGGGCCTGGAAGATCTGGGGCTAAAATCTGCCTCAACATACCTTACCACAAATGGTTAAATTTGAAGCCCTCCAATCAGACCCTGCCAAGCCAACATTCCTAAATACTTTCCCTTGCCCTCTGACCCCTTAAAACGTGCCCCACACCCCAAATTGGAGAGAGAAGTTTGAGCTGTGCCTCCTGTCTCCTTGCTGGTCTGCCTCACAATGAAGCTTTTCTTTTCTCAAAGCTGGAGCAGCAGTGTTGGCTTCTGTGCAGTCAGGCAGCAAGCCCATTTGCTCGGTAATAGCTGGAGTGAGAGTACTGAGACAGTAGAGATAAGACTTGGCTTCAGCTCAGCCCCACTACAGCATTCCCACGGATCACAAAACCCACACCACTACCCCACGATGCCATAATGTTTAACCATGCCGCTTACTTAAAGAACTCTGGCCAGGCGCAGTGGCTCACATGTGTAATCCTAGCATTTTGAGAGGCGAGGCAGGCGGATCGCTTGAGTCTGTAAGTTTTAGACCTGCTTGGGCAACATGACAAAACCCCGTCTCTCCAAAAAAATACAAAAATTAGCTGAGCATAGTGACAAACACGTGTAGTCCCAGCTACTCAGGAGTCTGAGGTGGGAGGATCACTTGAGCCCAGGGAGGTCAAGTCTGCAGTGAGTCATGATGGTGCCATTGTACTCCAGCCTGGCAACACAGCAAGACCCTGTCTCAAAAAAAAGAAAAAAAAAAATTCCAGGAACTGGCCTGAGGAGATAACCAAGGTTGCACAGTGTCGCATCCCAGGAAGGAATTCTGAACAATTGATTTAAAGCTTTGTTGCTACCAGCCAGACCACCAGGTGGCCCATTATTATTAATGGGTCATGGTTATCCTGACCATGAAAACCATGGCAATCAAATATGCTGACCTGCACACCCTACCCCTTATGAGGTCTGCCCGGCTCAGCCTGCTCGCCCTACCCCTGATATTAGTTCCTATGCTTTGTCTAATAAAAAAATCTCCACCAGCTCTTTTTGGAGAGTCAGTCAGGAAATTCTCTCTCTCTCTCTCCCTCTCTCTCTCTCTGTCTCTCTCTCTTTCTGTCGCTCTCTCTGCCTTTCTCTCACTGTCTTTCTGTCTCTCTCTGTCTCTGTCCTTCTGTCTCTTTCTCTGTCTTTCTGTCTTTTTCTCTGTCTCTGTCTCTCTCTGTCTCTCACTCTCTGTCTCTCCGTCACTCTCTCTCTCTGTCTCTCTATCACTCTCTCTCTCTCTCTCTCTCTCTCTCTCCTCTCTAGTGCTGCCTCCCTTATGTCCAGGCATAAGCTCTAATGAAGCCTCGTCTGGGAAAACTCTTTTGGCCTCATGTCAATTTCTTTTACATCCAGAGCCAACAGCCTGTGGTGGGTAATCGTCCCTTCTCTAATTACTTGCCCAGCATCTACCAAGCAGGCCCTGTCAGCGGGAGTCCTGCCTGCACTCCTCCCGGGGCGGATGCTCTCCTCTTGGCTAGCCCAGACAGGTGCCCTTGGGGCTCCCCGCCAGGCAGGCACTGACCTCCCGCGGTCCAGCCACCTCCTGCTCTCAGGGATGCCCCAGCCGGATCTCAGCCCAGCAATCCCGGGTCTCCAGCCTGCCGCTCCACCCTGGGCTGCCTCCTGACTGTTAACACATGACATTGACAGGGACTGTCTCTGTTATGGGTTGAATGTTTGTGTTCCCCCAAAGGAAACGAGAATATTTCACCCCAAAATATACCTCTTTGGCTTATTTTGAGATGGCTATTCAGAGAGGCTGCAAACAGAAGAAGGACTTTGAAAAGCTGCCTTTCGTGAGGGAGAGTTGCACCTGGAGAGAAAATCTATGTTAGTGAAATCAATGCCCAGGCTTTCCCTGAGGACCCTGTAAGCAAGTGGGGTGCAGGGGTGAGGGGGTTGGGGGATCTCAAAGGATTATAGGAATTTAATCAACTTAAGCAATCAGCCTGTTTTGGGTTTTTTTGTTTTGTTTTGTTTTTTGTTTTTTTTGAGACAGAGTCTCGCTCTTTCACTCAGGCTGGAGTGCCAGGCTGGAGTGTGATCTCGGTTCACTGCGAACTCCACCTCCCTGGTTCAAGGATTTCTCCTGCCTCAGCCTCCCGAGTAGCTGGGACTACAGGCTCGTGCTACCACGCCCAGCTAATTTTTGTATTTTTAGTAGAGACAGGGTTTCACCATGTTGACCAGGCTGGTCTTGAACTCCTGACCTCAGGTGATCCACCCACCTTGGCCTCTCAAAGTGTTAGATTACAGGCTTGAACCCCCACGCCCAGCCTATCAGCCTGTTTTACAGCCTCCTGCCCTGCAGCCTGTTTCTTCCAAGCCCTGTTTAGAATGCAGTCACCCACTTGATTCAAACCAGCTCCCAACAGACCCTAGCAACTTACAGATGAACCCAAGTGACCTTTCTTGTTACCATGCTAAAGTCTCCACCCCAGGAAGGGCTGCAGCTCAGCTCCATCACCATCACATGCGACCTATGTGCTGGCATGAGGATCACTGCGTCTGCACCTCTGGGACCCCTCCTCCACATGCGAAGACACATCCTCTCCCCCTCCATCGCCCCATGAAACCCTCCTGTCACTTTCCCTCAGGGGACACTGCCTTGGAGAATACTCCCAGGGTTCTACCTACTTGGGCCAGGTAATAAAACTTTTATTGATCAAAACCTGCATCCTCATGGAGAGTCATTTGTTACTCACCAGGCAAACAAACCCGGTTTTGGGGGTAATGCCTCCCTTATCTGAATCTAGGAAAGATTAACTCAGGAAAATAAACACTGAAGTCTGACACTTTTAAAGGTCTCAGAGAGAATCTTTTACCAAAGGCCACCATCTATTCTTTCTGAGGGCAGCTCTGAGTTTACCTGGGATTTTTTTTTTTTTTTTTTTTTCTCTTTTTCGGGACAGGGTCTTGCTGTGTTGCTCAGGCTGGAGGGCAGTAGTGCAATGAGAGCTCACTGCAGCCTCAAACTCCCAGGCTCTATAGATCCTCCCACCTTAGCCTCCTGAGTAGCTGGGACTACAGGTGCACACCACCATGCCCAGCTAATTTTTAAAAATTATTTTCAGAGATGGTATCTCGCTATGTTGCTAGGGCTGGTCTCAAACTCCTGGGCTCAAGCGATTCTCCTGCCTCAGTCTCCCAAAGTGCTGGGATTACAGGCATTAGCCACAATGTCCGGCTGAGGGATATTTTCATCTGCACCACAAGACAGCCTTTGTTAGACACACTTTCCCATAACCTGTGTCCCTCTATAACCTCAGGATGATGTAAAAACTTCAGTGGCCTGGCCCCTTCTTTGAGTCTTATATTTTGTATGTGTCTCTTCTGTTCATATGCATGTCAATAAATTTGTACATTCACACCAAAAAAATTATATTCCTTTTTTTCCTGTTTTGTTTTTTTTTTTTTTTTTTTTTTTTTTTTCAGACGGAGTCTTGCTCTGTCACCCAGGCTGGAGTGCAGTGGCGCAATCTCGGCTCGGCTCACTGCAACCTCTGCCTCCCCGGTTCAAGTGATTCTCCTGCCTCAGCCTCCCTAGTAGCTAAGATTACACGCCCAGCTAATTTTTGTATTTATAGTAAAGATGGGGTTTCACCATGTTGGCCAGACTGGTCTTGAACTCCTGACCTCAAGTGATCCTCCCTCCTCGGCCTCCCAAAGTGCTGGGATTACAGGCGTGAGCCACTG
Source organism: Homo sapiens (assembly GCF_000001405.40). NCBI lineage: Eukaryota > Metazoa > Chordata > Mammalia > Primates > Hominidae > Homo > Homo sapiens. The sequence continues at coordinate 96,412,247 of NC_000002.12, forward strand.
AGCCCAACCGTTTTTTCCTATTGATCTGTCTTTTGTTACAGAGGTGTCCCAGCTAGGAACTTATGAGGGTTGAGAAAAGAAATTATACATTTTTTTCTCCCCTTCACCTCCAAATTCCTATGTTGATGCCCTCACCACCAATGTGACTACATTGGGAGATAGGGCCTATAAGGAAGCAATAAGGGTTAAACGAGGTGAGGTCGAGGGTGGGACCCTGTTCTGCAGGATTAGTGACCTTGTAAGAAGAGACACCACGGCTGGGCACGGTGGTTCACGTCTTTATTCCAACACTTTGGGAGGCCAAGGGAGGAGGATCGCTTGAGTTCAGGAGTTTAAGACAAGCCTGGGCACCATGCTGAAACTTCATCTCTACTAAAAAGTACAAAAATTAGCTGGGTGTGGTGGCATGCACCTGTAACCCCAGCTAGTCAAGAGTCTGAGGCACGAATATCGCTTGAACCTGGGAGGCAGAGGCTGCAGTGAGCTGAGATCGCACCACTGTGTCAGAGGCGTGTTAACCAGAGCAACTCCATCTTGACTAAGAGCTGGGTAAAATGAGGCAGAACCCTACTGGGCTGCATTCCCAGGCAGTTAAGGCATTCTAAGTCACAGGATGAGATAGGCGGTCAGCACAAGATACAGGTCATGAAGACCTTGCCGATAAAACAGTTTGCAGAAAAGAAGCTGGCTAAATCCTACCAAAACCAAGATAGCCACAAGAGTGACCTCTGGTCGTCCTCACTGCTACACTCCCGCCAGTGCCATGACAGTTTACAGATGCCATGGCAACATCAGGAAGTTACCCGATATGATCTAAAAAGGAGAGGCATGAATAATCCACCCCTTGTCTAGCATATCATCAAGAAATAACCATAAAAATGGGCAACCAGGAGCCCTTGGGGCTGCCCTGTCTATGGAGTAGCCATTCTTTTATTCCTTTACTTTCGTAGTAAACTTGCTTTCACTTTGCACTGAAGACTCGCCCTGAATTCTTTCTTGCACGAGATCCAAGAACCCTCTCTTGGGGTCTGGATCAGGACCCCTTTCCTGTAACAACTGCACTCAAGCCTGGGTGATGAAGCAAGACCCTGTCTCTAAATAAATAAATAAGAAGGAAAAAAGAATAAGCTCCTTTATTCCTTCTCGTGTTTCCGCTTTAACAGTGCCACTTAGAGGACAAGAGCCAGAGGCTTGGTTTGGATAGGGTGTGTAGTCGGTGAACAAACAAGAGACAGGCTCTGGCTGGAATGGGGTGGGTGATTGGTCCAAGCCCAACAATTTTTCCTTAACATATGATACTCACTGGCTCCAAGTGCTGGGTGCTGTACACCCAGCAGACACATGGGTCCAGAAGACAGAGTTACAGGGAGGTTTAGAGAAGCGAGGGACAGGTGAATGGGGCAATGTCCAGGGCTGGGGGCCAGGCAGGGCATTCCACTGCTGCAACTGTAGTCCTGTTGATTGTTCCCCTAGGATTGGCCAGAGAAGCCCAATCTTAGCATTATCTTCCTGTGGCCCCATAACAATTTGTATAGTGGTCATAACATGTGTATTAGATGGGAGACTAAGATATGCCATCCCAAAATATACTTCTTTGACATATTTCAAGATGGCTATTCAGAGAGCCTGCAGGCGCAGGGATAGCTCTGAAAAGCTGTCCTTTCGTAAAAGAAATTTGCATCTATAAAGGAAATCTACATTAATCAACAGCGGACGAAAGCAGAAGCTTTCTCTAAGGGCCCCTTACCTGTCTAGAGTCAGAGCTAGGAAGGATCATATCACAGAAAGAGACTAGGCACCTGCCCAGACAGAGACTGTCACAGGCTATCACTATTCTGCAGGCAGTTCGAGATTACCTGAGAATTTAGCTGCATAATAAGACTTTTTTTTTTTTTTTTTTTTTTGAGACAGGAGCTTGCTCTGTCACCCAGGCTGGAGTGCAGTGGCATGATCATAGCTCACTGCAGCCTTGAACTCCTGAACTCCTGGGTTCAGGCAATTGATCCTCCTACCTCAGCCACTTGAGTAGCTGGAACTAGCGGCATGCACCATCATGCCTGGCTAATTACAAAAGAATTTTAGAGATGGGGGTCTCACTGTGTTGCCCAGCCTGGTCTTGAACTCCTGGGCCCAAGCGATACTCCTGCCTTGGCCTCCCAAAATGTTGGGACTACAGGCCTGAGCCACTGCACCCATAAGACATTTTATTCACTGTGCATTGCTTCCCCAACCCTCTCATAGCTTGTCACCATCTTCACCATCTGCCACCATCTGGTGTCATAACTCACTGCAGCCAGAAGTTCAAAACCCTATTCCAATGCTATAAAAACTTCAGGGCAGGTGTGGTGGCTCATGCCTATAATCCCAACACTTTGGGAGGCTGAGGCAGGTGGATCACCTGAGGTCAGCAGTTCGAGGCCAGCCTGGCCAACATGGTGAAACACTATCTTTACTAAAAATACAAAAATTAGCTGGGCGTGGCGGCGGGTGCCTGTAATCCCAGCTACTTGGGAAGCTGAGACAGGAGAATTGCTTGAACCCGGGAGGTGGAGGTTGCAGTGAGCCGAGATCGCACCGTTGCACTCCAGCTGGGCAACAAGAGAGAAACTCCGTCTCAAACAAACAAACAAACTTCAATCTTCTGGCCTTTCTTTGAGTCCTATATTTTGTGAGATTCCCGTGTGTATGCATGTAATAAATTGGTATGCTTTTCCTCCCATTAACCTGTCTATTGTCAGGTGTTTTTATTTTTCTCAGAGACTCAAATATCAAATCTTCAGAGAGTAGAAGGAAAATTGTCTTCTCTCCAGTAGTTACTATTCTAGAGTCTGAGAAAATATCATCACCACAAATATACTCAGGGAAATAACACAAAAGGAAAGAATTCTTTTCACAAAGGAACTCTTTGTAAAGAGAAATTAGAATCAAGCTAGTGCCTGAATCTAGGAAAATGTGTTAATCTTCTCAGGCTGCCATAATAAATATCACAGATTGGGTGGCTTAAACAACAGAAATTTGGGTGGGTGCAGTGGCTCACGCCTGTAATCCCAGCACTTTGGGAGGCTGAGGAGGGTGGATCACCTGAGGTCAGGAGTTTGAGACCAGCCTGACCAATATGGTGAAACCCCGTCTCTACTAAAAATACAAAAATTAGCCAGGTATGGTGGCAGGTGGCTGTAGTCCCAGCTACTTGGGAGGCTGAGACAGGAGAATTGCTTGAACCCAGGAGGTGGAGGTTGCAGTAAGCTGAGATGGCGCCACTGCACCCCAGTCTGGGCGACAGAGCGAGACTGTCTCAAACAAACAAACAAACAAACAAAAACAGAAATTTATTTTCTCCAGAACCATCTTCCCAACTAGGCCTTGACTTTTAGGTCTCTGTGTTCATCTCTGCATTGTCCAATTTTAGCAAGAACCCTGCTAAGTTGGTTTAGCCAGAACCCCCTCCCTCATTATCTGATCACCCTTGATGTCAGATCAGGTTCCTCATCCTCACCAACCCCAAGGCGATGTCCCATCACGCTGGCCTGTGAGGTGGGTTTAGCCAGAAGCCCTCTGACCCCCGAGGCTTCCTCTTAGTAGTTTTCCAGCCACTGAACCCCATCCACCCTGGGAGGCTGTACATTTCCCTTTTCCTTGTTATGTTTGGAATTGGGCCCACTCTCTCATCCCTGCTGCAGAGGCCCATTGCAGTAGTGCCTACACCTATACCCTGAATAAAAGAAACAGGTCTTGAATAAAGTCTACCTTCCTGCCTTGAACAAGCACCATTTATTAATTTTTAACAATTAAGGTGCTGTGATTCAGATAGGATCAGTGTATTAGTCTGTTCTCACACTGCTATAAAGAACTGCCTAAGACTGGATAATTTATAAAGGAAAAAGGTTTAATTGATTCACGGTTCCACAGGGCTGGGGAGGTCTCAGGAAATTTACAATCATGGTGGAAGGGTAAGAAAACACATGTCCTTCTTCACATGACAGCAGCAAGGAGAAGTGCAGAGCAAAACTGGGGGAAAGCCCCTTTTAAAACCATCAGATTTCATGAGAACTCACTTACTATCATCAGAACAGCAGCATGGGAGTAACCACCCCCATGATTCAATTACCTCCCAACGGGTCCCTCCCATCACACCAGGGGATTACAGGAACTACAATTGAAGATGAGATTTGGGTGGGGACACAGCCAAACCGTATCAATCAGATTCATCATTGGACTCCCAGGCTTCTCATCCAGCATCCTAAGTGTGCATCACTGAAGCCTTTAGTCTTCACTCCTGATTGATTTGGGATCCATTGGTGAGTCAGACTCCTGAACCATTGCTCCAGTCAAATGACTGTCGAAGTTAGTGAGTACAGATTCCTTTTTTTTTTTTCTGTTTTTGTTTGTTTGTTTGTTTAATCTTTTTTTTTCTTCTTTAAGTTCTGGGATATACGTACTGAACATGCAGGTTTGTTACATAGGTATACATGTGCCATGGTGGTTTGCTGCACCTATCAACCCATCATCTAGATTTTAAGCCCCGCATGAATTAGGTATTTGTCCTAATGCTCTCCCTCCCCTTGCCCCCCACCCCACAACAGGCCCCGGTGAGTGATGTTCCCCTCCCTGTGTCCATGTGCTCTCATTGTTCAACTCCCACTTATGAGTGAGAACATGCAGTGTTTGGTTTTCTGTTGCTGTGTTAGTATGCTGAGGATGATGGTTTCCAGCTTCTTCCATGTCCCTGCAAAGGACATGAACTCATTCTTTTTTATGGCTGCAGAGTATTCCATGGTGCGTATGTGCCACATTTTCTTTATCCAGTCTATCTATCATTGATGGCCATTTGGGTTGGTTCCAAGTCTTTGCTATTGTAAACAGCGCTACAATAAACATACATGTGCATGTGTCTTTATAGTAGAATGATTTATTACCCTTTGGGTATATACCCAGTAAAGGGATTGCTGGGTCAAATGGTATTTCTGGTTCTAGATCCTTGAGGAATCACCACACTGTCTTCCACAATGGTTGAATTAATTTACACTCCTATCAACAGTGTAAAAGCATTCCTACTTCTCTGCATCCTCACCAGCATCTGTTGTTTCCAGACTTAATAATTGCCACTCTAACTGGTGTGAGAGGGTATCTCATTGTGGTTTTGATTTGCATTTCTCTAATGACCAGTGATGATGAGCTTTTTTCATATGTTTGTTGGCCACATGAATGTCTTCTTTTGAGAAGTGTCTGTTCATACACTTTGTCCACTTTTTGATGGGATTGTTTGTTTTTTTCTTGTAAATTTGTTTAAGTTCCTTATAGATTCTGGATATTAGACCTTTGTCAGATGGATAGATTGCAAAAATTTTCTCCCATTCTGTAGGTTGCCTGTTCACTCTGATGATAGTTTCTTTTGCTGAGCAGAAGCTCTTTTGTTTAATTAGGTCCCATTTGTCAATTTTGGCTTTTGTTGCAATTGGTTTTGGTGTTTTATTCACGAAGTCTTTGCCCATGACTATGTCCTGCATGTTATGGCCTAGGTTTTCTTCTAGGGTTTTTATGGTTTTAGGTTTTACGTTTAAGTTTTTAATCCATCTTGAGTTAATTTTTTGTACAAGGTGTAAGGAAGGAGTCTAGTTTCTGTTTTCTGCATATGGCTAGTCAGTTTTCCCAGCACCATTTATTAAATAGAGAATCCTTCCCTGATTGCTTGTTTTTGTCAGGTTTGTGGAAGATCAGGTGGTTGTAGATGTGTGGTGTTATTTCTGAGGCCTCTGTTCTGCTCCATTTGTCTATATATCTGTTTTGGTACCAGTGCCATGCTGTTTTGGTTACTGTAGCCTTGTAATATAGTTTGAGGTCAGGTAGCATGATGCCTCCAGCTTTGTTCTTCCTTTTTGCTTAGTATTGTCTTGGCTATACAGGCTCTTTTTTGGTTCCATATGCAATTTAAAGTAGTTTTTTCTAGTTCTGTGAAGAAAGTCAATGGTAGCTTGATGGGAATAGCATTGAATCTATCAATTACTTTGGGAAGTATAGCCACCTTTGACAATATTAATTCTTCCTATTCATGAGCATGGAATGTTTTTCCATTTGTTTGTGTATTCTCCTATTTCCTTGAGCAGTGATTTATAGTTCTCCTTGAAGAGGTCCTTCACGTCCCTTGTAAATTGTATTCCTAGGTATTTTATTTCCTTTGTAGCAGTTGTGAATGGGAGTTCACTCATGACTTGGCTCTCTGCTTGTCTATTACTGATGTATAGAAATGCTTGTGATTTTTACACACTGATTTTGTATTCTGAGACTTTGCTGAAGTTGTTTATCAGCTTAAGGAGCTTTTGAGCTAAGACAATGGGGTTTTCTAAATATACAATTATGTCATCTGCAAACAGAGACAATTTGACTTCCTGTCTTCCTATTTAAATACCCTTTACTTCTTTCTCTTGCCTGATTGCTCTGGCCAGAACTTCCAATACTATGTTGAATACAAGTGGTGGGAGAGGCATCCTTGTCTTGTGCCAGTTTTCAGAGGGAATGCTTCCAGCTTTTGCCCATTTAGTATGATATTGGCTATGGATTTGTCATAAATAGTTCTTTTTTTTGAGATATGTTCCAATAACACCTAGTTTATTGAGAATGTTTAGCATGTTGAATTTCATCAAAGGCCTTTTCTGCATCTATTGAGATAATCATGTGGTTTTTGTCATTGGTTCTGTTTATTTGATGGATTATGCTAATTGATTTTCATGTGTTGAACCAGCCTTGCATCCCAGGGATGAAGCAAACTTGATCATGGTGGATGTGCTTTTTGATGTGCTGCTGGATTCAGTTTGCCAGTATTTTGTTGAAAATTTTCGCATAGATGTTCATCAGGAATATTGGCCTGAAATTTTCTTTTTTTTGTTGTTTCTCTGCCAGGTTTTGGAATCAGGATGATGCTGACCTCCAAAAATGACTTAGGGAGGAGTCCCTTTTTTTCTGTTGTTTGGAGTAATTTCAGAGGGAATGGTACCAGCTTCCCTTTGTACCTCTGGTAGAATTTGGCTGTGAATCCGTCTGGTCCCAGGCTTTTTTTTGGTTGGTAAGCATTAATTACTGTCTCAATTTCAGAACTTCTTATTGGTCTGTTCAGGGATTCAACTTCTTCCTGGTTTAGTCTTAGAGGGTATATATGTCCAGGGATTTATCCATTTCTTCTAGATTTTCTAGTTTATTTTTGTAGAGGTGTTTATAGTATTCTCTGATAGTAGTTTGCATTTCTGTGGGATCAGTAGTGAGCTCCCCCTTATCATTTTTTCTTGTGTCTATTTGATTCTTCTCTTTTCTTCTTTATTAGTCTGGCAAGCCGTCTATCTATTTTGTTAATCTTTTCAAAAAATCAGCTCCTGGATTCATCGATTTTTTTGAAGGGTTTTTCATGTCTCTATCTCTCTCAGTTCTGCTCTGATCTTAGTTATTTCTTGTCTTCTGCTAGCTTTTGAATTTGTTTGCTCTTGCTTCTCTAGTTCTTTTAATTGTGATGTTACAGGGTCAATTTTAGATCTTTCCACTTTCTTATGTGGGCATTTAGTGCTATAAATTTCCCTCTAAACACTTCTTTAGCTGTGTCCCAGATTCTTGTACATTGTCTTTTTGTTCTCCTTGGTTTCAAAGAATTTTGTTATTTCTGCCTTAATTTCGTTATTTACCCAGCAGTCATTCATGAGCAGGTTGTTCAGCTTCCGTGTAGTTTTGCAATTTTGAGGCAGTTCCTAAATCCTGAGTTCCAATTTGATTGCACTGTGGTCTGAGAGGCTGTTTGTTATGATTTCCATTCTTTTGCATTTGTTGAGGAGTGTTTTACTTCCATTTATGTGGTTACTTTTGGAATAAGTACTATATGGTGCTGAGAAGAATGTATATTCTGTTGATCTGGGGTGAAGAGTTCTGTAGATAGCTATTAGGTCCACTTGGTCCAGAGCTGAGTTCAAGTCCTGAATATCCTTGTTAATTTTCTGTATTGTTGATCTGTCTAACATTGAGAGTGGGGTGTCAAAGTCTCTCACTATTCTTGGGTGAGAGTCTAAGTCTCTTTGTAGTCTCTAAGAACTTGTTTTATGAATCTGGGTGCTCCTGTATTGGGTGCATATATATTTAGGATAGTTAGCTCTTCTTCTTCTTTTTTTTTTATTATACTTTAAGTTTTAGGGTACATGTGCACATTGTGCAGGTTAGTTACATATGTATACATGTGCCATGCTGGTGCGCTGCACCCACTAACTCATCATCTAGCATTAGGTATATCTCCCAATGCTATCCCTCCCGCCTCCCCCAACCCCACAACAGGCCCCAGAGTGTGATGTTCCCCTTCCTGTGTCCATGTGTTCTCATTGTTCAATTCCCACCTATGAGTGAGAATATGCGGTGTTTGGTTTTTTGTTCTTGCGATAAGTTAGCTCTTCTTGTTGCATTGATTCCTTTACCATTATGTAATGTGCTTCTTTGTCTTTTGATCTATGCTGGTTAAAGTCTGATTTATCAGAGACTAGAATTGCAACTCCTACTTTTTTTTTTTTTTTGCTTTCCATTTGCTTGGTAAATATTTCTCCATCCCTTTATTTTGAGCCTATGTGTGTCTTTGCATGTGAGATGGGTCTCCTGAATACAGCACACAGATAGGTCTTGACTCTTTATCCAATTTGCCAGTCTGTGTCTTTTAATTGGGGCATTTAGCCCATATACATTTAAGGTTCATATTGTTATGTGTGAATTTGACCCTGTCATTATAATGCTGGCTGGTTATTTTGTACACTAGTTGATGCAGTTTCTCCAAGTGTCATTGGTCTTTACATGTTGGTGTGTTTTTGCAGTGGCTGGTACCGGTTGTTCCTTTCCATATTTAGTGCTTCCTTCAGAAGCTCTTGTAAGGCAGGCCTGGTGGTAACAAAATCCCTCAGCATTTGCTTGTCTGTAAAGGGTTTTATTTTTCCTTCGTTTATGAAACAGTTTGGCTGGATATGAAATTCTGGGTTGAAAATTCTTTTCTTTCAGAATGTTGAGTATTGGTCCCCACTCTCTTCTAGCTTATAGAGTTTCTGCAAAGAGATCTGCTGTTAGTCTGGTGGACTTCCCTTTGTAGGTAACACGACCTTTCTCTCTGGCTGCTCTTAACATTTTTTCCTTTGCTTCAACCTTGGTTGTCTTGAGGTTGCTCTTCTCGAGGAGCATCTTAGTAGTCTTCTCTGTATTTTCTGAATTTGAATGTTGGTCTATCTTGCTAGGTTTGGGACCTTCTCCTGCATAATATCCTGAAGTGTGTTTTCCACCTTGGTTCCATTGTCCCCGTCACTTTCAGGGACCCCAATCAACTGTAGGTTTGGTCTTTTCACAATAGTTCCATATTTTTGGAGGCTTTGTTCATTCTTTTTCAATCTTTTTTCTCTAATCTCATCTTCATGCCTTATTTCAGTAAGTTGATATTCAACCTCTGATATCCTTTCTTCCACTTGATCTATTTGGCTATTGATAGTTATGTATGCTTCATGAAGTTCTCTTGCTATGTTTTTCAGCTCCATCAGGTCACTTATATTCTTTTCTAAACTGGTTATTCTAATTAGCAGTTTCTGTAACCTTTTGTCAAGGTTCTTAGCTTCATTGCATTGAGTTACAACATGCTCCTTTAGCTCAGAGGAGTTTGTTATTACCCACAGTCTACCTCTGTCAATTTGTCAAACTCATTCTCTGTCCAGTTTTGTGTTCTTGCTGGAGAGGACTTGCAATCATTTGAAGGAGAAGGGGCATTCTGGTTTCTGGAATTTTCAGCATTTTTGCACTGGTTTTCCTCATATTTGTGGATTCATCTACCTTTGATATTTGTGGCTAATGACCTTTGGATGGGGTTTCTGTGTGGGGCTTCTTTTTGTTGATGTTGATGTTATTGCTTTCTTTTTGTTAGTTTTTCTTCTAACAGTCAGGTCCCTCTTCTGCAGGTCTGCTGCAGTTTGCTAGAGGTCCACTCCAAACCCTATTTGCCTGGGTATCACCAGCAGAGGCTGCAGAACAGCAAAGATTGCTGCCTGCTCCTTCCTCTGGAAGCTCTGTCCCAGAGGGGCACTGGCCTGATGCCATCTGGAACTCTCCTGTATGAGGTGTTCGTCAACCCCTGTTGGGAGGTCTCTCTCAGTCAGGAGGCACGGGGGTCAGGGACCCACTTAAGGAGGCAGTCTGTCCCTTAGCAGAGCTCAAGTGCTGTGCTGGTAGAACCCTTATTGTCAGGATCCACTGCTGTCTTCAGAGTCGGCAGGCAGGAACGTTTTATTCTGCTGAAGCTGTGCCCACAGCCATGCCTTCCCCCAGTGGCTCTGTCCCAATGAGATGGGAGTTTTATCTATAAGCCCCTGACTGGGGCTGCTGCCTTTCTTTCAGAGAGGCCCTGCCCAGTGAAGAAGAATCTAGAGAGGCGGTCTAGTGTGAGCACAGATTTCTATTCTTAAGACTGAGTATAAGCTAAAAGCTGAATTAGAGTCTCAAGATTCTCTCTCTGTAAGAAGCTGGGTTACAGTCAAGTTTGTTTTGTTTTGTTTTGTTTTTAGAGACCAGGTTCTTGCTCTATCACCTAGGCTGGAGTGAGCAATCATAGCTCACTGTGGCCCTGACTTCCTGGCCTCAAGTGATCCTCCCACTTCTGCCTCCTGAGTAGCTGGAACTACAGCTGTGTATTAGTCTGTTCTCATGTGGCTAATAAAGACATACCCGAGACTAAGTAATTTATAAAGGAAAGATTTTTAATGGACTCACAGTTCCACATGGCTGGGGAAGCCTCACAATCGTGGTGGAAGATGAAGGAAGAGCAAAGAGACGTCTTACATGGCAGCAGGCAAGAAAGCTTGTGCAAGGGAACTCCCATTTATAAAACCATCAGATCTTGCGAGACTTATTCACTACCATGAGGACAGTATGGGGGAACCAGCCCTATGAGTCAGTTATCTCCACCTGGCCCTGTTCTTGACACTTGGGGATTATTACAGTTCAAGGTGAGATTTGGGTGGGGACAAGCCATATCAAGGTGCATGCCACCACACACACCTAACTTTATTTTATTTTTTAGAGATAGGATTGGCCCAGGCTGGTCTCAAACTCCTGGGCTTAAGCAATCCTCCTGCCTCAGCCTCTGGAAGTGCTAGGATTACAGACATGAGCCACAGTGCTAGGCCCAAGCATCTTTGATTGGAAGCTGCCTGCTGTACTGGAAGTCCCGCTCTTTGTTTGCAGTGGAGATGATTCATTCATTCTCTGACTCCTAGGCCTGGCTCTGGGCTGGTAAATTCTTCCTCACTTTGTTTCAAGTGGGGATCCCCTCCCCAAATCCTGGGCTGGAAGATTCTTCCCTGGCTCTTCATGAAGGCTCTCTGTTCTCTATTTGGCCCTGCTCCTCCCACGGGAATCTTTCAGTCCACTGAAACTTCCTTCTTGAACCCTGGCTAACTATATGCTCCACCAGCTCTGTCCATCTTCTTAGTGCATGAGCTGGCTGAGGATAATTTAGAACTTGATTGGTCTTTCTGGGAAACTTAAGACCTCCCCAAAACGGCCCCTCTAAGACCTCCGTCTTCCCATTATTTCCTCCTCCTTCCTCCTCCGACCACCTTTGATCTTCCCTTCAGCTCCCTTGAATCCTTTGATGTGTCCCCTTTAAACTCCTCCCCCTCCTGCCTCTGTCCACCCCCACCAGACATTTCTCTTTCCCAGCCCTTGGCTCCCTCAGCCATTTCAGTCCCCCTGCCCCAATCAGGGGCTCTCAGGGGACTCATGTTATCCCAAAAGCAACTTCCTGAAGCTGAAAAGAAAAAAGCTGATTGGAATTAGATTAAATTTTTATCCACTCACGTGGGCTGTGAGGACATTCAGGCAGCCCCCAGCATCTCCTTAGTAACATGCTTGAAATGTGATCCACAGGCTCCAAGGGATTACATAACAGGGCAGAAGGAAATCTTAAAAATCTCCCCCACAAACACATACACATACACAAAAGCAACACACAATTCAGATACAAATATCAAAGATAAGAGTGTATTAAAATTTTAGAATGGGCCTTGTGCAGTGGCTCATGCCTGTAATCCCAGCACTTTGGGAAGCCGAGGTGAGCAGATCACTTGAGGCCAGGAGTTTGAGACCAGCCTGACCAACAAACTGAGACCCAGTTTCTACTAAAAATACAAAAAGTAGCAAAGTGTGGTGGTGCATGGCTGTAATCCCAGCAATTCAGGAGGCTGAGGCATGAGAATCACTTGAGCCAAGATCAGGCCTGCACTCCAGCCTGGGCAACAGAGCGAGATTATCTCAAAAAAAAAAAAAAAAAAAGGAACGGAAAGCTGTAAGATCTCTATTTGCATTTGTCCATGTATGTATGTGATGTACATGTGATAGTTTTCTATCTCCACATGGTGTTGCCAAAATTAATTAATAAAAGAGCTCTGTCCAGTCTCTACCAAAAATACAAAAAAATTAGCCGGGTGTGGTGGCGGGCACCTGTATTCCCAGCTACTCAGGAGCCTGAGGCAGGAGAATCACTTGAACCTACGAGGCGGAGGTTGCAGTGAGCCGAGATCGTGCCATTGCACTCCAGCCTGGGTGACAGAGCAAGACTGTGTCAAAAAAATAAAAATAAAAATAAGTACTTATATAATTTAAATATTCCTAAAACTCTCAGAAATAAAGGAACTATATTGCTCTTCAAGTTTATATGACTTAGGTAAATCTTTGATATGTAAGATTAGTTTAATATTATTGGCTTAATAAAAACAGTTGTGTCTTCTGAGTTCCAGCATTAAATGTAATATGAGCATACATTTCTATTCAACTTGGGTTTACTAGTTAAATAAGCTAATATTTTATCTACTGGATGTTTAAGAATATGAAAATTGTTAATATAATATGAGAACAAATGTACGAGTAAAGATGCAGTAAAAGTGAATTGCTTGAAGTCCATTATTTCACTTATATCAAACACAATAGTAAAGCAAACACAATAGTAAAGCAAACACAATAATAAAGCAAACACAACAGTAAAGCAAACACAATAGTAAAGCAAAAGCTCTATGTATTTAATAATTTAGGTTTTTATTTTTATGATATTTGTTTAACATGCATGTGCTGTAAAAATAGTTAACAGAGGAAGAATTTGAGATGATGGCTAGCTTTCTTTCTTTTCTTTTCTTTCTTTCTTTTTTTTTTTTTTGGTAGGATCTTGCTCTGTTGCCCAGGCTGGAGTGCAATAGCATGATCACAGGCTACTGCAGGCTCAAACTCCTGGCCTCAGGCAATCCTGCTGCCTCAGCCTCCTAAAGTGCTGGGATTATAGGCATGAGCCACTACACTTGGTGCTAGCTTTGTTTAATACCTGAAAACAATTTTCAAAATCTTTTTGGTAACTTGCAACCTTGGAGTTATGCTAAGTTAAATTAAGTAACAGAAATCCATTAAATGTCTACATTGTTTCTAAGTACAATAAACTACCAAAACATTCATGGCTAAGTGTATTAGTCCATTTTCACACTGCTATAAAGAACTTCCCTGAGACTAGGTAATTTATAAAGGAAAGAAGTTTAATTGACTCAGAGTTCCACATGGCTGGGGAAGCTTCAAGAAACTTAAAATCACGGTGGAAAAGGAAGCAGGCACCTTCTTCACAAGGCGGCAGGAGGGAGAAGAGGGAAAGAGGAACTTCCAAACACTTATAAAACCATCAGATCTCATGATAACTCACTCAGTATCATGAGAACAGCATGGGGGAAATCACCCCCATGATCCTATCACCTCCCTCCCTCGACACGTGGGGATTACTATTTGAGATGAGATTTGGGTGGGGACACAGAGCCAAATCATATCATTAAGATTAAGTTTAAATTTATATACTTTGGAGTTTTTCTTTTTACATGGTATAGGTAGATAAAATACATTTGGATCTGTTAGTAAACATTCTTTTTGTCATATTGAAAAATTTTACTATAAAGAAACAGTATATGTCTCTAGAAATTGTCAGATAGTATATTCATAAAACACTTGTTAGTATTTGTATAGTATTTTGCTAATCTGCTATAGAATACTGGTATGTGATGACAGTTCACAATTGTATGCTTCCTAGTTTTCTCTGTAAAAGAAAGGTTACTAATAGTTAAAATTATAATTAATATATGTAATTAAAACTATTAAAAATAATAAAGCTGGAGGAAAACAACTGCATATGAAAAGTATGCAAGGAAAATCGGATGTGTATGTATGCAAAGAAAGTAAGATGAAGGTATGTTTTTTTGTTAAGAGAAAGAGGGTAATTTTATTTTAATGTATTAATAGAACATCTAGTTGTTCCAGAATGAGAAAGGAAAATGTGGGGCAGGAGGTGAGGGGACCTGAATGGATGTAGAAGCGTTGTGGAAAAGGAATCTTGGAAAAGGAATTTTATGTATGGTCAAGCTGGCTAAGATTTGAATGGATTTATTTATGTTTTTTTAAGCCCTAATATCAGAAGTACGTTGGTGCAAAACTAAAATTTGGTTTTTCTCTCTGTTAAAACAACAAAGTTTTCTTAGAAAGAGGTTGTAAAAGGTTTTTCTTCACCTTTTAAATAATCTGTCTAGGAAAGCAAGATTTTACATATTCTCAGAAGAATCTCCTGTGCTTTATGTTAATCTTTGTCATGTCCTTGATTATTTAAGAGTACCAACACTTGTCACTTTTAAAAGAGCTGAAGTTTTTTTTGTGTGTGTGTGTGACAATTTTGCCTTCCCAAAAATCAAATCCTAAATGAAATCTTGTTCTCAAACTGACTTTGAGATTTCCCAGAGGGCTTCTTGAAAATCTTCAAGGATTGGTTCTTTAATCTTGTAAAAAGAGAAAATATAAAAATAAATTGGTGTATTTGATATGTTTAATGCATGAAAAGATGTTGTCACATAAGAAGGGATGCTTATCCTTTCCTGTGTTATATTTAGGGACATGAATAAGCTGTGGGGTCCTAATAAGGGAAAAAGAATCAGGCTGGTGGGAGCAGGAGAAAGCAAAAAGAAAAGGCAGATAAGCCATGCGTCTGTCCTTCTTCATGGTCCAGGACACACAGTCCTCCTGTACAAATAACTCACAATCTGCCTGTGCCCAGCTATCACCAGACCCTTGCCTGACAGAAAAATGCAAGCTAGCTCACTGCAACCTTGGTATTATCAGTATTGCACGCAGCCCTCTCCATCACAAGCACCATCCTATTAAATCCCCAGCAGTCAGCTCCTCTCTTGCTGATCTGCCTGTTGCTTTCTTGCAATGTATTTTCCTATTTTCGCTAAAAAATTTGCCTTTCTGTACCGACAATTGTCTTGGTAAATTCTTTTACCACCCACACCACCAGCCCCAGCTAGTTGCTATCCATGACATTTGGGTGGCCCATATGAAGACTCTCTCTTCTTACAGGAAACCCTCTCCCCTCTCTCTTTCCCAACCCAGGGCCCTCGGTGGACAGCGTCTAAGCATGGAGACAACTGAAGGTCTCTGGCCGAAGTTACACTCTGGTGGGACTGAAAGGTGTCCATATGAAAGTGTCTAACTGCCACCACCCATCAGGTGAGGGACCTAAGTTTATTTTCTCTTTTCAGTCTTCCAGCAGCCGGCTGCTAGTATCCCTCTAGCAACTAACAGCAACCAGCTGGGGCTGCTACTCAGTGTTGCCTAAAGGCCAAAGGGTGAACAGGGTTGGCTGCCTTGCCTGTGATGGAGGAAAATTCCCTCTTCTCTCTTTTCTGGCCAAAGGTCCCTAATCCCTATGTATGACATGACTGGCAGCGGTAGCTCATTCAGAGTGACTTCACACACATTTTGGGTGACTCATATCCTCTCTTTCTCACTCTAAATTCTCCTGTGGAGTCACCCAGTCATCTTGCTCTGGATGTTGCTAAATCAGGTGATCCCAGACAGCCTCAGAATGGTACATCTTTCTTTACCCACCCCCTCTCCTGGACTGGCACCAAGCCAAGTTGTTCCTTTACCCTTTTTCCTCATACCTGGGTTAATCACCCAGCATAACAGCATACCTGGACTGGCCATCTGGCATAAGGCACCAGCATGAAGAGGTCTTTTCTAATGGGTGGGACACCCCTTTAGAAAGTGCACCTGAGGCCAGGCGAGGTGGCTCACACCTGTAATCTCAGCATTTTGGGAGGCCGAGGCAAGCAGATCACGATGTCAGGAGTTCAAGTCCAGTCTGACCAACATGGTGAAACCCCATCTCTACTAAAGATACAAAAAATTAGCTGAGCGCGGTGGCGTATGCCTGTAACTCTAGCTACTGGGGAGGCTGAGGCAGGAGAATCACTTGAACCCAGGAGGTAGAGGTTGCAGTGAGCTGAGATCCCCCCATTGCACTCCAGCCTGGGTGACAAGGCGAGACTCCATCTCAAAAAAAAAAAAGAAAGAAAAAAAGAAAATGCACCCAAGTCCCTAAGCAGACATGAGTGAAACCCTTTTCCTCAGTGGGATGCCCCAAGAGAATGTGTGGTTCATGTCCCCAGGAGATGTTAGCCCTGAGTGGCTCATTTTCCAGTCCTTCCGTCGGACCCATCTATTCCTTCAAACTCACTTCTAGGCTGCATTCCAAAGCACTGGGACAAATTCAACCCCCAAACCCTCAAAAAGGAAGGTCTAATTTTCTTGTGAAATAAAGCATGGCCCCTCTGCAGAAAATCCTCAAATTAGTCTCCTCAGTCTTTTGTAACCAAGAGCAGAATAAGGAGGACAGGGCTAAGGAGAAAGAAAAATACAGGGACAAAAGGCAAGCTCAACTGTTGGCTGCTGTACAAGCCCCAGCCCCTCCCCATAGCTCTAAGGAAACTTCTCCAGGTAGTTGCCAGGCCACTGGAAGGCAAACTACCCCAATGGGATAAATGGGAAAAAGCTCTACATGGCTCTGCCACAAGCTCAGCCACTGGAAATGAAGCTTCCTTGAGGGCTGAAGTGCCTCCAGGATGGAATTCCAACCCTTGGTGGCCTTGAACTGAAGGGGCTCTCTGCTCCAGCTGCTTCCAAATCAGACACCACCATCAACACAACAAAACCAAGGGCAACTCTGAAGGTGGCAAGTGAAATTATAAATTTCCCTTTTAAGTTCAAAAGCTACTTACTCTGTACTAATCTTCCCTGAACAACTCTCCTCCAAATTCTGTCAGGTAATGAGGGCAAGCAGCACCTGCTCCCTCCCCCAAAAAATTCACACCCCTTTATATTACTTAAGGAACCAACGACCTTTCTCCCAACAGTCCCTATAGTATCTAAATAACCCAAACTCCTTTGGGACAAAAATATACTTTCCAAAATGGGTGCCTGCTTAATATTTACCCAACTTCTGAATTCATCTTTCCCTCTAATAGCCCTATTTCTCCCAGGAATGCCAGCTAAATCTTTAACCAATAACCTTCACCTAGATAGTCTTACCTCCAGGGTTAAAAATAGCCCACACTTATTCAGACAAACCCTAGCAAGAAATCTAACCAAGCAATCTCTAAGGGGGACTAACTTCTACAGTGTGTAGATCACCTCCTCATTTGCTCCCCCTTCACAGAACTCACACAGCAATGTGCAGTACAAACCTTAACTTCTTAACTAAAGGAAAATAATTGTTGTCTAATCCAAAAGCTATTTAAAAGTTATAGTTGTTCTAACATTGGTTCCCTACATTGAAACAAAATTTTCTTAAGGTATTAATGATGGCAGCAGTGGGCCATCTGGAGTTGACACTGCCATCACACAAGCTGCAGCAGGGAGGCATGGCTGGGGCTTCATGCTCAATGAAGCCAGTAAAGTGGGGGACAAGCAGGAGCCCTACCCCTTCTGAGTTGAAGCAGGAGCTCCTTGGATGCAGCTGCAGCCACCCAAGACACAGTTCCAGTTCCAGACATCCCTGTGCTCCCACTCCATGGAGCAAGCAAGAGCCCTGACCCTGGGATACAGCTGCAGCTGCCCAAACTACACCTGTGGACCTAGGCATCCCTGCACTCTTGGGGGCCCAAGAAGGCCCCCACTGCCCTTGCAGGCTTGGAAGTGCCTGCTCCCACTGCCTGGCTTCTCCCTGCTGTCAGTGCCTGCTCCAATCTTGGAGCAAAGTTGGGGCTGAGCCTGGGCATTGTTGCAGCCTGGCTGGGTGTGCACACACTTGGGGCAGTGCTGACACACCAGGCCCCTGTTACCTCAGAACCCTCCAGATTTTGGGTGCGGATGAGCATGGAAGGGAAGCCAAGGCAGGACTGAGGCCAGCTCAGCAGCGCTGGCCTGCAGGCAGCCTTTGGTATGAACAGCCTGGGCACCATGAACCACAGCAGGAGGCAGACAGCCTCCTGGGCAGAAGGGGGCAAGTCCCAATGAAGCCCCACCTTCAGTCCAGGGAGGGCCTGAAGGCTGGAGGCCAGGCTGCCAGTCCCACGGACTGGAGTGGGAACTTACAGTGCCTTTTCCAGGCCTGCCCATGGCCACCCATGGACCAACTGCTGTGCACTTCCTCCCCTGCAGGCCCATAAAATCCCCAGGCTCAGCCAAACTTGGGCAGATATCAGTATGACCAGCTGCAGAGAGGAGCTACCCACTCCAGGGCCTCCTCTCTGCTGAGAGCTGGGGAGATGACGGGATGATCTGCCTGCAGAGAGGAGCAACCCACTCCAGGGCCTCCTCTCTGCTGAGAGCTGCAGAGACAATGGGATGACCTGCCTGCAGAGAGGAACTTCCTATTCCAGGGTCCCCTCTCTGCCAGGAGCTGAACACTAGTGGGGACAGCCTGGTTGCAGAAAGGAGCTGCCCCCTGCTCATGTGGGAGACTGAGTTGTTCTATCACTCAATAAAGCTCCTCTTTGTTTTGCTCACCCTCCACCTGTCTGTGTACCTCATTCTTCCTTGTCACAGGATAAGAACTTGGGACCTGTTGAATGGTGGGGCTAAAAGAGCATTAACACAAACAGGCCTGAGACATGTCCCTTGCTCACCACATCACGGGGAAAGAGAAGGAGAGAAGAGCTGTGGCCCTTTGAGGAGCCCAGACTTGGGAGCTCCCTGAGCCAGGGCTGTGACTCCCTCTTTGGGCCCCTATGGTTCTTGGTGTCTCCAAGCTTCTGGGTGCCACCATGTACCCTGATGCCCACCATGGAAGTTGCCTGCAGTACACCTGGTCCAGCTGTAGCCTCGCGGAGAGCTGGCCCCCATGCTGGCACCTGGAACTGTCCATCCTGTTGCAGTAGCTGGCATGTCTGACTGTGCGCAGTGGCTGGACCCCATTCTCACTCACACACCCCTTGCTGTTCCATGCCTGACTTGCCCTTGGCAGGCGTGGGACCCAGGCCAGTAACATGAGCCGAGTGCAGCCTGCCAGGCCGAGTGACTGGAACAAGCCCAACAGGCCCAAACAAAACTCAGGCAAAGGTGCCACCAGCCACAGAGGTTTCTGGCCAGAAAAAGCAACACCCCAAAGATCCCATAACATTAATCTACTCTTAATAAAATTGCAAGAAATTTTAGTTTTAATTTTATAAATTAAAAGTATAAATTTTATAAATGTCTTTTTAAAACTTCTCAAAATTATATTTCAGAAGTTCAACTTTTGCTATATCTTGCTGCTTTCAGCTTTTTCTCCTCTGAAGAAGTCTTAAGATAATAACTCCTTCAGTATTTGTCAGGTCCTGTAACTTTTTCTTTCAGTTCTCACTGTTATAATGGCCTAATGCTAAGAAGTTTCATCTTAAAGGTCAAAATTAAGCAATATTCTCCTCTAATATAACTTAATCTTGTACTCTTGGCTTTTCTTAATATGTCAAAATTTGCAATTTAATAAAAACTTTTTATGCTGTTTCTAAAATTCGTGTATTGCCCTGCTATATTCATAACCCTGAACACACTCTTCCTATGTCTATTTACATTCAAACACTTTTTCATAGAGTTTAACTTCCAGGTTATCCAAATGGGCTTCCAATAAGGAAAAACAGTCACACTGCAAGAGGTTTTTCTTTGCTTTTTCGTTAACTTGTCAAATAAACTCCCGTCATATCTTTAAAAGCTCACAGGTTCATAAAACTGCTAACTCAAGATCAAGCAGAACAATTAATTACTTGAGAATTACTAAATGAACTGATAGAGAGGATGAACATATCTTTGTTTGGAACATCACTAGGTTTTTAATGTTCCTTTTTTCCAGATATGAAGAACGCTTTATCCATTTTCTTCTAAGTTATCTGTAACTTACAACTATATAAGAGATTATACTGGCTGGGCATGGTAGCTCACACCTGTAATCCCAGCACTTTGGGAGGCTGAGGCAGGTGAATCCCTTGAGTCTAGGAGTTTGAGACCAGCCTAGGCAACATGGTAAAACCCTATCTCTACCAAAAAAAAAAAAAAAAAAAAAAATTAGCTGGGTATGGTGGTGCATACCTGTAGTTCCAGCTACTCAGGAGGCTGAGGTGGGGGATCACCTGGCTTGGGGAAGTCCACGCTGCAGTGAGCTACGATCACACCACTGCATTCCAGCCTGGGAGACAGAGTGAGAACCTGTCTCAAAAAAAAATAGGTTGTACCTTTATAAACAAGAAATCAAAATTTTTTTCTCCCTTTCTTATCCCTCTTGAGCTTGGAAACTCGAATTGAGTATTCTTTATTTTATTTTATTTATTTATGTTTTTTGAGAAAGGGTCTTGCTGTTTCCAAGGCTGAAGTGCAGTGGTGCAATCTCAGCTCACTGCAATCTCTGCCTCCAGGGTGCAGGCATTTCTCATGTCTCAGCCTCCCAAGTAGCTTGGATTACAGATGTGTGCCAACACACCTGACTATTTTTTGTATTTTTAGCAGAGATGGGGTTTCACTATATTGACCAGGCTGGTCTCAAACACCTGACCTCAAGTAATCCATTCACCTCGGCTTCCCAAAATGCTGGGATTACAGGCATGACCACTGCACCTGGCTTTATTGAGTATTCTTATTTTCACAGATAATATAATTATTTGCACAATTTCAGTAAGAATCTGTTCTCATAAAAGGACAAAATTGAAAGCATTGGTTATATTACCAAGGCTTTGACTGGAGTGTCATAGTTGAGAATGATGATAGCATCAGAAATGACCAGACAGTTTTAAGAAACTACAATTGATCTTATCGAGCCAATGCTTACAAAACCCCTTGGAAAAATCTGCCTGGTACCTGGCTTACAGGGCTCCCAGTACTGCAGATGTAAGGAAGGGCACTTCCTGGCAGGCTCAGGAAACTTAGGATATTTTGGGAAATCCAGGAAGAGAGAAATTTACCCAAATCTGTAGGTATTGCAGGAGAAATCTGGTGGTGAGTTCTTGGCTTGGCTTCTTATCCTTGAGAGGCTGTCAAAGTCTCATCTGAGATTTCTTGTGAAAAGTTCCAGCAAAGCAAACTCAAAAGGCCCATGTGGTCAATTACCACTTTGGCTACACTTATATAAATAATCAGGCTGAATTTAATGAGACCAGACATTTTGTAAACCAGAATCAGAATGTAGGTGATAGTGGAGGGAATTTTTATGTTTTAATGGAAAACTCTAGAGTACCCTAGTAGGTTCCTTCTTGCAAATTTTGCCAGTGCTTAGTAAATTCCCAATCCTTCTGTTTCCTCCAATGTCTGCCTACAACTCTCCAAACCAATGTTTTCCATTTTTCTTCCACCATCCTAACTTGGAATTCCTGAGAAATCAAACTTCCCTTTTTCCCAAGCCCCACAGACTGAAGCTGGATGACTTGATACAGACGTCAAAAAAAAAAACAATCACCTTTGTGCCTGCTGCCATGTGGGCCACTCAGAAAGTTCACTGAAACACCCAATGCTGTTGCCAAAGAGATCTAAACTGCAAACAAGAAAATTCATCAGATTATGACTGCCCTTTCCACCTCACCATCTAAAGGTGCTTTGATCTTAAGTCTAGAAATCTGTCTGGACTCAGAAACAGTTTTCAACTATTCATCTTTGTATTTTTCTTCTGTTCTTTTTCATTTTTCTTTTCTTTCCTGTTCTTTTTGTCTTTTTTTTTTTTTTTTTTTTTTGACAGAGTCTTGCTCTGTCACTCAGGCTGGAGTGCCGTGGTGCAATCTTGGCTCACTGCAACCTCTGCCTCCCAGGTTCAAGCTTCTCATGCCTCAGCCACCCAAGTAGCTGGGATTACAGGTGTACACCACCCTGCCAGCTAATTTTTATATTTTTTGTAGAGATGGGGTTTTGCCATGTTGGCAAAGCTGGTCTTGAACTTCTGGCTTCAAGTGACCCACTGCCTTGTCCCCCCAAAGTGCTGGGATTACAGGCATGCACCACCACACCCAACCATGTATTTCTTACATTATCTGGATATCTTCAATATATGATTGGGTCCCTCATACTCCACCATCTAATCCATCTGGTTGATGTCTGGTCATCCTGGCCTGTCTTTAGCAATAATCCTGTTAGGTTGGTTTAGCCAAAAGCCCCCTTACCCTTGATGTTCCCTCTTAGTAATTTCCCATTCACTGAGCACTGACCCTGCTCCTTGACTATAAATTCCCACTTTTCCTTGTTGCCTTTGGAGTTGAACCCAGTCTCTCTCCCCAACTGCAAAACACTATTGCAGTAGTCCCCTCACCTATCACAATAGTCCTGAGTAAAGCCTGCCTTACCTCTTAATGAGTGTCATAAATAACTTTTTCTTTAACAGTAATTACATATAATTTTTTCTCCTGACCCAGAAAACTTCTCCACAATGATAGTAGAGAAAGAAAACAGTTTTCTTATTTAGTAAGCATTAAACCAGAATGTGATGCATATCCAAGGCAATCTACTAAGAGATTACAAAGACAGAAAGTAACTCTACCCCCTTAGATGGTGCTGGGGCTCATGACAATGTAACCGTCCAGCAGGTTCACCTTGCCCACTGCCTAGACAGAGCCAATTTCTCAAGACAGGGGAATTGCAATAGAGAAAGAGTAATTCACACAGAGCCAGCTGTGCAGAAGAACAGAGTTTTATTATTACACAAATTCATCATCCTGAGGATTCGGAGATCAAAGTTTTTAAGAAAAATTTGGTGAGTAGAGGGTCAGTGAGTTGGGAGTGCTGATTGGTTGTGTCAGAGATACACAGGGGGTCGAAATGAGTTTTTCTTTTTCTTCTTCTGTTTTTTTTTTTTTTTTTTTGAGACTGAGTCTCGCTCTGTCACCCAGGCTGGAGTGCAGTGGCACGATCTCGGCTCACTGCAACCTCTGCCTCCTGGGTTCAAGCAATTCTCCTGCCTCAACCTCCTGAGTAGCTGGGACTACAGGCACGTGCCAGCACACCCGGCTAATTTTTTGTATTTTTAGTAGAGACGGGGTTTAACCATGTTAGCCAGGATGGTCTCGATCTCTTGACCTCGTGATCCGCCCGCCTCGGCCTCCCAAAGTGCTGGGATTACAGGCGTGAGCCACTGCGCCTGGCCCATTTTGAAAGGGAAATTTACACCTGCAGAGGAAATCTTCATTTGGAAGGATGTCTCCCTCTCTGTACCAGGAAGAGAAAGAGGATAAATCATCAGAGGCTTATCAGTGAAGAAGGCACCACATGAATCTTCAGGACAAACCTCACCTTTATTTAAGGTGCTTATCCTGGCACCTCATCTTAAATGGGCCTTTCTCCACACCCTTTTTTATTTGTTTTGACAAATAATGGTATTTAAGTCCAAGGCTCCAGCTCTTTACTCTGGATATTTACTGATTTATCTGGTTTTCTCCCATGTGTATAGGATGTCTACATGTTAAGAAACTTCTATTTGTTTTTCTCTTGTTAATCTGTCTTTTGTTACAGGGAGTTCCGGTAAGGGTGGAGAGAAAATTATTTTTCCTCCCCTGCAATAGCCAAACAGATTTGATTGAAACCACCTTTGCAAAAATTGTAACAGTGAGAAAATTATGACATTGAAAGAGAGCTGATCTAATCAACCCCCACCTTGCATTTATTTATTTAGTTAGAGATGGAGTTTCACTCTTGTTGCCCAGCTAGAGTGCAATGGCACGATCTCAGTTCACTGTAGCCTCTGCCTCCTGGGTCTAAGCAATTATCCTGCCTCAGCCTCACGAGTAGCTGGGATTACAGGCATGTGCCACCATGCCCAGCTAATTTTGTACTTTTAGTAGAGATGGGGTTTCACCATGTTGGCCAGGCTGGTCTCGAACTCCTGATGTCAGGTGATCCACTTGACATCCTCAGCCTCCCAAAGTGCTGAGATTACAGGCAAAAGCCACCACACCCAGCCCCCCAACCTTGCCTTTAACCTCCAAACTGCCCTTATTCATTCCTGGGCCTGGGCCAAGCTAACTTTGTGAGACATTTAGTTTATAGTTTAAGCCCGTATTCATTCCTGGGCCTGGACCAAGCTAACTTTGCAAGACACTTAGTTTATAGTTTAAATGATAATGGCCTGTCCCCCAAAGTAAATCACGTTTGTAAAGCTAATGAGCATCCACCATGTTAAGAGGGTGAAAGGAACCTGAATTCTGCTAAGGTATAGACTTAAGTGATTACCAGCCATTATTCTGAAAGTCACTAGATTTGCAACTGCCTCAATTACTCCTGCAGATAACATCACTCTTGGAGAACCTAAGATTGGCCTTTTGAAATATCTTTTCAGGTTTCTGCATTTCTGATGGCCAATGGCTCCACCTGGACCCACCAACCAGTCTTGTGGTCCCCACTCAGGAACTGACCTAGCTTTGACTCCCTATGATTTCATCTTTTACCCAATCAATCAACATTCCCCACTCTCGGGCCCCCTACCCACCAAACTATCCTTGAAAAAGCCTGGTCTCTGAAATTTGTGGTGAGACTGATTTGAGTAGTAGCACTCTGGTCTCCCACTCAGCTGGCTCTGCATGAATTAAACTTTCTATTGCAATTCCATTGTCATGATAAATCGGCTCTATATAAGCAGCAGGCAAAATGAATCTGTTGGGCCCTTAAAGAACCCATTACATATGTCAACCTTAAGCAATTGAAAGGATCACAATCCAGTTTAAAAGAGTTTATTCAAGTGCAAAGCTGAGAATAGCCATCCTGGTAATACAGACTCCAAAGAAATGGGGTCAGTGTTCAGAAGCTGAAAAGTTAAGGTCTTGCTTATATAGGCAAAAAATAAATTTTACAGATTATAACATGTTCCATAAAAGGTTGGTTTATGAGTTACCGCAATTTGACTAATTACAGCTGTTTTCTTTTCCTTTTCCAACTTAAAAGGTTATATTTGACATTCCATCTTAGATGATGTGACAGTCATGAGGTCTTTGTGTAAGAGAAGTAAGAGGAAAGTTAGTCTATTATGAAGACGGACAGTGATATGGTTTGGCTCTCTGTCCCAACCCAAATATCTTGAATTATAATCCCCACACATCAAGGGAGGAAGGTGATTGAGTCATGGGGGTGGTTTCCCCCATTCTGTTCTCATTATAGTGAGTGAGTTCTCACGAGATCTGATGGTTTCATAAGTGTTTGACAGTTCCTCCTTCACATGCTCACTCCTGCTGTCTTGTAAAGAAGGTGTCTACTTCCCCTTCTGCCATAATGGTAAGCTTCCTGAGGCCTCCCTGGCCATGCAGAACTGTGAGTCAGTTAAATCTCATTCCTTTATAAATTACCCAGTCTCAGGTATTTCTTTAAAGCAGTGAGAAAACAGGCTAATACAATAAATTGGTAACACAGAGAGTAGGGTACTGCTGTAAAGATATTTGAAAATGTGGAAGTGACTTTGGAATTGGGTAAGAGGCAGAGGTTGGAACAGTTTGGAGGGCTCACAAGGAGACAGGAAGATGTGGGAAAGTTTGGAACTTTCTAGAGACTCATTGAATGGTTTTGACCAAAATGCTGATAATGATGTGGACAATGAAGTCCAGGCTGAGGTGGTCTCAGATGGAAATGAGGAACTTCTTGGGAACTAGAGCAAAGGTCACTCTTGCCATGCTTTAGCAAAGAGACTGGTGGCATTTTGCCCCTGCCCTAGAGATCTGTGGGAATTTGAACTTGAGAGAGATGATTTAGGGTATCTGGTGGAAGAAATTTCTAAGCAGCAAAGCATTCAAGATGTCACCTGGATTATTCTGAAAGCATTCAGTTTTATGCATTCTCAAAGAGATGGTTTGAAATTGGAAATTAGGCTTAAAAGGGAAACAGAGCATAAAAGTTTGGAAAATTTGCAGCCTCACGATGCAATAGAAAAGAAAAATTCATTTTCTGGGGAGAAATTCAAGTCAGCTGCAGAAATTGAAACTTTTTTAAACTATGAGAATGCTTTATTAGGCAAAACCACATACTATGAAAATGCTTTAAAATGCAATAGGATATGATGAGAAGACACAAAGAACAAGTGCAGAGTGACACATGGCTATCAGAACACACTAAGAATCCACACCACTTCCATGAGTAACAAGCAGCCAAATGTTAATCACCAAAACAATGGAGAAAATATCTCCAGGGCATGTCAGGGGTCTTTACGGCAGCCCCTCCCATCACAGGTCTGGAGGCCTAGGAGGAAAAATGGTTTCATGGGCTAGGCCCAGGGCTCCCACTGCTCTGTGCCACCTTGGGACATGATGCCTTGCATCCCAGCCACTGCAGCTTCAGTTGTGGCAAATAGGGGCCAAGGTACAGCTCAGGGTGTTGCTTCAGATGGCACAAGCCCCAAACCTCAGTAGCTTCCAAGTGTTTTGGGGCTTACAGGTGCACAGAAGTCAAGAATTGAGGTTTGGGAACCTCTGCCTAGATTTCGGAGGATGTATGAAAATGCCTGGGTGTCCAGATAGAATTATGCTGCACAGGTGGAGCCCTCATGGAGAGCCTCTGCTAGGGCAGTGTAGAAGGGAAATGTGGGGTTGCAGCCCCCTCACAGAGTCCCCAGTGGAGTACTGACTAGTGGAGCTGTGAGAAGAGGGCCACCTTCCTCCAGAACCAAGAATGGTAGATCCACTGAAAGCTTGAACCATGCCCATGGAAAAGCCACAGACACTCAATACCAGCCTGTGAAAGCAGCTGGGAGGGAGGCTGTACCCTGCAAAGCCACAGGGGTGGAGCTGCCCAAGACCATGGGAGCCCATCTCTTGCATCAACATGACCTGGATGTAAGACAGGGAATCAAAGGAAATTATTTTGGAGCTTAAAGATTTAATGACTGCCCTGCTAGATTTTGGACTTGCATGGGGCCTGTAGCCCCTTTGTTTTGGCCAATTTCTCCCATTTGGAATGGAGGCATTTATCCAATGCCTGTACCACCATTGTATCTTGGAAGTAACTAACTGTCTTTTGATTTTAAAGGCTCCTGGGCAGAAGGGACTTGCCTTGTCACAGATGAGACTTTGGATGTAGACTTTTGGGTTAATTCTGGAATGAGTTAATACGGTGGGGGAGTGTTGGAAAAGCACGATTGGTTTTGAACTGTGAAAAGACATGATATTTGGGAGGGGCCAGGTGTAGAATGATATAATTTGGGCTCTGTATCCCCACCCTCCCAACTCATCTAGAATTGTAATCCCCATGTGTGAAAGGAGGGACCTGTAATCCCCATGTGTCAAGGGAGGGAGATGACTGGATCATGGGGACGGTTTCCCCCATGCTGTTCTCATGATAGTGAGTGAGCTCTCACTAGATCTGATGGTTTTATAAGTGTTTGACTGTTCCTCCTTCACACACTCACACTCTCTTCTGCCACCCTGTGAAGAAGGTGCCTGCTTCCCCTTCTGCCATGATTATAAGTTTCCTGAGGCCTCCCTGGCTATGCAGAACAGTGAGTCAATTAAGCCACTTTCCATTATAAATTACCCAGTCTTGGATATTTCTTTATAGCAGTGTGAAAACAGACCAATACAGACAGTGAAGAGGGAAGGCAGGCTTCTCTGGTATCCTTTAGTCTTTAACAACATTTTACAGAATAATGTAGGTAGAGAAAAGTTTATAATCAGAGGAACAAAGATTACAGCTGCCTAGGTTACAACAGCCCAAGTTACAGCTGTCTGTTATGTGGCCCAGGTCCCCAAATCACATTCCTTTAAAGCTCAGAATAATTTAAAGTTCCAATATCTTTGATTTTGAATTGCTTGTTTTTATACATACATGTTTTTGAAACCACCATTGCAAAATTATAACTGAGACAGTGAAAGAGACCCAACCAATTCCATCTTCCTCCTAACCTCCAAGTTGCCCATGTTCATTCCTGGGCATAGGCTGAACTAACTTTGGGAAGAACTTAGTTTATAGTTCATAGTTTAAAACAAAGTAGATAATAGCTTTTTCTTAAAACAAACCTCCTTCTTGCCTAGGGACTAGACTGCCTTTGTAGGACTAACAAATTAGCCACAACATTAGAAATTATGGTTTAGGTGTCATGCAGCTGGAGGCTACAAGATTCTGACCCTCCCCAAATTGCTCATGGTGATAACATCATTATTGTAAAACCTAAGATCAGTGCTTGAGATAATTTGCAGACCCTGCATTTGCTGGATCAGCTGGAAACACCCACATCAATAAACTGGCTCATCTGATCTTGTGGCCCCCAACCACGAACTGACTCAGTGCAAGAAGACAGCTTCAATTTCCTATGATTTCATTTCTGACCCAACCAATCAGCACTCCCAACTCACTGCCCCACCCCCCTCTTCCCACCAAATTATACTCAAAAACTCTGATCCTTGAATCTAGAACTAGAAATACCATTTGACCCAGCCATCCCATTACTGAGTATATACACAAAGGATTATAAATCATGCTGCTATAAAGACACATGCACACGTATGTTTATTGCGGCACTATTCACAATAGCAAAGACTTGGAACCAACCCAAATGTCCATCAATGATAGACTGGATTAAGAAAATGTGACACGGTGGGGAGGAGCCAAGATGGCCAAATAGGAACAGCTCCGGTCTACAGCTCCCAGCGTGAGCGACGCAGAAAAGACAGCCGATTTCTGCATTTCCATCTGAGCTTTGAAGAGAGCAGTGGTTCTCCCAGCACGCAGCTGGAGATCTGAGAACGGGCAGACTGCCTCCTTAAGTGGGTCCCTGACCCCTGACCCCTGAGCAGCCTAACTGGGAGGCACCTCCCAGCAGGGGCAGACTGACACCTCACACGGCCGGGTACTCCAACAGACCTGCAGCTGAGGGTCCTGTCTGTTAGAAGGAAAACTAACAAACAGAAAGGACATCCACACCAAAAAGCCATCTGTACATCACCATCATCAAAGACCAAAAGTAGATAAAAACACAAAGATGGGGAAAAAACAGAGCAGAAAAACTGGAAACTCTAAAAAGCAGAGTGCCTCTCCTCCTCCAAAGGAATGCAGTTCCTCACCAGCAACGGAACAAAGCTGGACGGAGAATGACTTTGACGAGTTGAGAGAAGAAGGCTTCAGATGATCAAATTACTCCGAGCTACGGGAGGACATTCAAACCAAAGGCAAAGAAGTTGAAAACTTTGAAAAAAATTTAGAAGAATGTATAACTAGAATAACCCATACAGAGAAGTGCTTAAAGGAGCTGATGGAGCTGAAAACCAAGGCTCGAGAACTACGTGAAGAATGCAGAAGCCTCAGGAGCCGATGAGATCAACTGGAAGAAAGGGTATCAGGGATGGAAGATGAAATGAATGAAAGGAAGCAAGAAGGGAAGTTTAGAGAAAAAAGAATAAAAAGAAATGAGCAAAGCCTCCAAGAAATATGGGACTATGTGAAAAGACCAAATCTACATCTGATTGGTGTACCTGAAAGTGATGGGGAGAATGGAACCAAGTTGGAAAACACTGTGCAGGATATTATCCAGGAGAACTTCCCCAATCTAGCAAGGCAGGCCAACATTCAGATTCAGGAAATACAGAGAACACCACAAAGATACTCCTCAAGAAGAGCAACTCCAAGACACATAATTGTCAGATTCACCAAAGTTGAAATGAAGGAAAAAATGTTAAGAGCAGCCAGAGAGAAAGGTCAGGTTACCCTCAAAGGGAAGCCCATTAGGCTAACAGCGGATCTCTCAGCAGAAACTCTACAAGCCAGAAAGAGTGGGGGCCAATATTCAACATTCTTAAAGAAAAGAATTTTCAGCCCAGAATTTCATATCCTGCCAAACTAAGCTTCATAAGTGAAGGAGAAATAAAATACTTTACAGACAAGCAAATGCTGAGAGATTTTGTCACCACCAGGCCTGCCCTAAAAGAGCTCCTGAAGGAAGCGCTAAACATGGAAAGGAACAACCGGTACCAGCCACTGCAAAATCATGCCAAAATGTACAGACCATTGAGACTAGGAAGAAACTGTATCAACTAACGAGCAAAATAACCAGCTAACATCATAATGCCAGGATCAAATTCACACATAACAATATTAACTTTAAATGTAAATGGACTAAATGCTCCAATTAAAAGATACAGACTGGCAAATTGGATAAAGAGTCAAGACCCATCAGTGTGCTGTATTCAGGAAACCCATCTCAGGTGCAGTGACACACATAGGCTCAAAATAAAAGGATGGAGGAAGATCCACCAAGCAAATGGAAAACAAAAAAAGGCAGGGGTTGCAATCCTAGTCTCTGATAAAACAGACTTTAAACCAACAAAGATCAAAAGAGACAAAGAAGGCCATTACATAATGGTAAAGAGATCAATTCAACAAGAAGAGCTAACTATCCGAAATATATATGCACCCAATACAGGAGCATCCAGATTCATAAAGCAAGTCCTGAGTGACCTACAAAGAGACTTAGACTCCCACACATTAATAATGGGAGACTTTAACACCCCACTGTCAACATTAGACAGATCAACGAGACAGAAAGTCAACAAGGATACCCAGGAATTGAACTCAGCTCTGCACCAAGTGGACCTAATAGACATCTACAGAACTCTCCACCCCAAATCAACAGAATATACATTTTTTTCAGCACCACACCACACCTATTCCAAAATTGACCACATACTTGGAAGTGAAGCTCTCCTCAGCAAATATAAGAGAACAGAAATTATAACAAACTGTCTCTCAGACCACAGTGCAATCAAACTAGAACTCAGGATTAAGAAACTCACTCAAAACCACTCAATTACATGGAAACTGAACCAACCTGCTCCTGAATGACTACTGGGTGCATAACGAAATGAAGGCAGAAATAAAGATGTTCTTTGAAACCAATAAGAACAAAGACACAACATACCAGAATCTCTGGGATGCATTCAAAGCAGTGTGTAGAGGGAAACTTATAGCACTAAATGCCCACAAGAGAAAGCAGGAAAGATCCAAAATTGACACCCTAACATCACAGTTGAAAGAACTAGAAAAGCAAGAGCAAACTCATTCAAAAGCTAGCAGAAGGCAAGAAATAACTAAAATCAGAGCAGAACTGAAGGAAATAGAGACACAAAAAACCCTTCAAAAAATTAATGAATCCAGGAGCTGGTTTTTTGAAACGATCAACAAAATTGATAGACCACTAGCAAGACTAATAAAGAAGAAAATAGAGAAGAATCAAATAGACACAATAAAAAATGATAAAGGGGATATCACCACCGATCCCACAGAAATACAAACTACCATCAGAGAATACTACAAACACCTCTACGCAAATAAACTAGAAAATCTAGAAGAAATGGATAAATTCCTGGACACATACACCCTCCCAAGACTAAACCAGGAAGAAGTTGAATCTCTGAATAGACCAATAACAGGCTCTGAAATTGTGGCAATAATCAATAGCTTACCAACCAAAAAGAGTCCAGGACCAGATGGATTCACAGCCGAATTCTACCAGAGGTACAAGGAGGAACTGGTATGCTTCCTTCTGAAACTATTCCAATTAATAGAAAAAGAGGGAATCCTCCCTAACTCATTTTATGAGGCCAGCATCATCCTGATACCAAAGCCGGGCAGAGACACAACCAAAAAAGAGACTTTTAGACCAATATCCTTGATGAACATTGATGCAAAAATCCTCAATAAAATACTGGCAAACCAAATCCAGCAGCACATCAAAAAGCTTATCCACCATGATCAAGTGGGCTTCATCCCTGGGATGCAAGGCTGGTTCAATATACGCAAATCAATAAATGTAATCCAGCATATAAACAGAACCAAAGACAAAAACCACATGATTATCTCAATAGATGCAGAAAAGGCCTTTGACAAAATTCAACAACCCTTCATGCTAAAAACTCTCAATAAATTAGGTATTGATGGGACGTATCTCAAAATAATAAGAGCTATCTATGACAAACCCACAGCCAATATCATACTGAATGGGCAAAAACTGGAAGCATTCCCTTTGAAAACTGGCACAAGACAGGGATGCCCTCTCTCACCACTCCTATTCAACATAGTGTTGGAAGTTCTGGCCAGGGCAATTAGGCAGGAGAAGGAAATAAAGGGTATTCAATTAGGAAAAGAGGAAGTCAAATTGTCCCTGTTTGCAGATGACATGATTGTATATCTAGAAAACCCCATTGTCTCAGCCCAAAATCTCCTTAAGCTGATAAGCAACTTCAGCAAAGTCTCAGGATACAAAATCAATGTACAAAAATCACAAGCATTCTTATACACCAACAACAGACAAACAGAGAGCCAAATCGTGAGTGAACTCCCATTCACAATTGCTTCAAAGAGAATAAAATACCTAGGAATCCAACTTACAAGGGATGTGAAGGACCTTGTCAAGGAGAACTACAAACCAGTGCTCAAGGAAATAAAAAAGGATACAAACAAATGGAAGAACATTCCATGCTCATGGATAGGAAGAATCAATATTGTGAAAATGGCCATACTGCCCAAGGTAATTTACACGTTCGATGCCATCCCCATCAAGCTACCAATGACTTTCTTCACAGAATTGGAAAAAACTACTTTAAAGTTCATATGGAACCAAAAAAGAGCCCGCATCGCCAAGTCAATCCTAAGCCAAAAGAACAAAGCTGGCGGCATCACACTACCTGACTTCAAACTATACTACAAGGCTACAGTAACCAAAACAGCATGGTACTGGTACCAAAACAAAGATATACATCAATAGAACAGAACAGAGCCCTCAGAAATAACGCCGCATATCTACAACTATCTGATCTTTGACAAACCTGAGAAAAACAAGCAATGGGGAAAGGATTCCCTATTTAATAAATGGTGCTGGGAAACCTGGCTAGCCATAGGTAGAAAGCTGAAACTGGATCCCTTCATTACACCTTATACAAAAATTAATTCAAGATGGATTAAAGACTTAAATGTTAGACCTAAAACCATAAAAACCCTAGAAGAAAACCTAGGCTTTGCCATTCAGGACATAGGCATGGACAAGGACTTCATGTCTAAAACACCAAAAGCAATGGCAACAAAAGACAAAATTGACAAATGGGATCTAATTAAACTAAAGAGTTCTGCACAGCAAAAGAAACTACCATCAGAGTGAACAGGCAACCTACAAAATGGGAGAAAATTTTTGCAACCTACTCATCTGACAAAGGGCTAATATCCAGAATCTACAATGAACTCAAACAAATTTACAAGAAAAAAACAACCCCATCAAAAAGTGGGCGAAGGACATGAACAGACACTTCTCAAAAGAAGACATTTATGCAGCCAAAAAACACATGAAAAAATGCTCATCATCACTGGCCATCAGAGAAATGCAAATCAAAACCACAATGAGATACCATCTCACACCAGTTAGAATGGCAATCATTAAAAAGTCAGGAAACAACAGGTGCTGGAGAGGATGTGGAGAAATAGCAACACTTTTACACTGTTGGTGGGACTGTAAACTAGTTCAACCATTGTGGAAGTCAGTGTGGCAATTCCTCAGGGATCTAGAACTAGAAATACCATTTGACCCAGCCATCCCATTAATGGGTATATACCCAAAGGACTATAAATCATGCTGCTATAAAGACACATGTACACATATGTTTATTGCGGCATTATTCACAATAGCAAAGACTTGGAACCAACCCAAATGTCCAACAATGATAGACTGGATTAAGAAAATGTGGCACATATACACCATGGAATACTATACAGCCATAAAAAATGATGAGTTCATGTCCTTTGTAGGGACATGGATGAAATTGGAAATCATCATTCTCAGTAAACTATTGCAAGGACAAAAAATCAAACACTGCATATTCTCACTCATAGGTGGGAATTGAACAATGAGAACACATGGACACAGGAAGGGGAACATCACACTCTGGGGCCTGTTGTGGGGTCGGGGGAGGGGGGAGGGATAGCATTGGGAGATATACCTAATGCTAGATGACGAGTTAGTGGGTGCAGCGCACCAGCATGGCACATGTATACATATGTAACTAACCTGCACATTGTGCACATGTACCCTAAAACTTAACGTATAATAATAAAAAATAATAAAAAATAAAAAAAAGAAAAAGAAAATGTGTCACATATACACTGTGGAATACTATGCAGCCATAGAAAAGGATGAGTTCATGTCCTTTGTAGGGACATGGATGAAGCTGGAAACCATCATTCTGAGCAAACTATTGCACTGACAGAAAACCAAACACCGCATGTTCTCACTCATAGGTGGGAATTGAACAATGAGAACACTTGGACAGAGGAAGGGGAACATCACACACCGGGGCCTGTTTTGGGGTGGGGGAAGGGAGAAGGGATAGCATTAGGAGACATACCTAATGTAAATGACGAGTTAATGGGTGCACCACACCAACATGGCACATGTATACATATGTAAGAAACCTGCACAATGTGCACATGTACCCTAGAACTTAAAGTATACTAATAAAAAAAAATTGGTTTATGATGTGCCTTGGAGTAGTTTTCTTTATGTTTTTGACTTGATATTAATTTTGTTTATTGGACCTGTAGGCTTAGAGTTTTCATCAAATTTGGAATTTTTTCATTATAATTTTTTAAAAATATTTTTTCTGTCCTCCACTTTGAAGACTCCAATTGCAGGAGTCAAGAGTTTGAGAACAGCTTGGCTAACATGGCGAAATCCCTTCTGTACTAAAACTACAAAAATTAACTGAATGTGGTGGCAGGTATCTGTAACTCCAGCTACTCAGGAGGCTGAGGCAGGATAATAACTTGAACCTGGGAGTCACAGGTTGCAGTGAGCCAAGATTGCACCACTGCACTCTAACCTGAGTGACAGAATAAGACTCTGTCTAAAAAAGCAAAAAAAAAAAAACAACAAAAAAAGCTCAGCTGGGCTTGGTGGCTCATGCCTGTCATGCCTGTAATTGCAGCACTTTGGGAGGCCAAGGCGAGCGGATCATGAAGTCAGGAGTTCGAGACCAGCCTGACCAACATAGTGAAACCCCATCTCTACTAAAAATACAAAACTTCGCCATGTGTGGTGGTGCATGCCTGTAATCCCAGCTACTCAGGAGGCTGAGACAGGAGAATCACTTGAACCCAGGAGGTGGAGGTTGCAGTGAGCCAAGATCGCACCACTGCACTCCAGCCTGGGTGACAGAGCGAGACTCCCTCTCAAAAAGAAAAAAATCATACATAGTGTATTTTTTTTATATCAGACCTTGTAATTTTCATCTATAGATGTACAGTTTACATTCTTTCTGTGCCTTCCATATTTCCACTTAACAGGATCAGTCTTCCTTCTTCCTTTTTGTACCTGTGGAATACAGTGATAATTATAGTTTTTAAAGTTGCTTTCTACTAGTTGCATCATCTGTGTCATTTCTTGATTAGTTTTGATTGAGCAATTTTTCTGTTGATTAGGAGTATAACATTAAGTAACTCAAGCTTAAAATAATTCAAACTTAAAGCTATTGGAACTTTAAATTATCCTGAGCCTTGCAGGCCTTTGGCTACACAGCCTCAGTGAGGCAGTATGCAGCTGCAACTCCTGCCTTTTTTTCCCTCTGTAAGTAATTAAGACCAAACGGCACCAGAAATCAGACCCCGTCAAATCACTCCTCCCCGTCATGGAGTAATGAAGAATCTTCCTTGGAATGTAGCAATCTGCACCAATCAAATCACTGTGGCATCTGTACCTGGTCTCGTATGGAAACTGCAATCCTGCTGGAGCTTTTCTGTCTCTGTCCACTTAAGCAAAACTGTAACTCTTCCACTTTGGAAACACTGACTCCTTTTGTGTGGAGTTGGTGCTTTCCTGGGTGGATATCCTCAAGCTTTGCTCTTGAATAAACTCTGCACTTAATTAGATTCTGTAAATCTCATTATTTAAGATCGACAGAAGTCATATTTTTATTGTTTCTTTTTGTGCCTGATAAATTGTGATTGGATGATAGACATTTTGAATCTCACGTTGCTAGTGGCTGGATTTGTTCATATTCCTTTATTTTATTTTTAAATTGTTATGTTTTAAAATCTCTAGCCCTGGTTGAGCGTGGTGGCTCACGCCTGTAATCCCAGCACTTTGGGAGGCCAAGGTAGGCAGATCACGAGGTCAAGAGATTGAAACCATGCTGGCCAAAATGGTGAAACCCTGTCTCTACTAAAAATACAAAAGTTAGCTGGGCGTGGTGGTGCATGCCTGTGGTCTCAGCTCCTTGGGAGGCTGAGGCAGAAGAATCGCTTGAACCAGGGAGACTGAGGTTGCAGTGAGCTGAGACTGCACCACTGCACTCCAGCCTGGGCATGCAGCCAGACTCCGTCTCAAAAAATAAATAAATAAATAAATAAAATAAAATAAAATAAAATAAAATCTCTAGCCCTATATTATAACACATTCCTTTAAATATTCTCCCATTGTGTTTTGGGATGCACACAAGTAACATGGAAACAGTTGTTTTTTTCCTTTTATGCTTGATTAAGTGTGGCCAGCAGCTTTTAGTCTAGGTCTAATTTTGCCCCACTCAGTTAAAGACCTTCTGAATAATTTACCCAATCCCTCATGAATTATGAAGTTTT
This sequence comes from Homo sapiens, assembly GCF_000001405.40. Classification (NCBI taxonomy): domain Eukaryota; kingdom Metazoa; phylum Chordata; class Mammalia; order Primates; family Hominidae; genus Homo; species Homo sapiens. Next base: position 96,449,117 of record NC_000002.12, read on the forward strand.
ATATTCTTGCTGGTGGGAACTGAAACTCTTTCTGACTATATTATCCCAGGACTGTTTCCTGTAATCCTTTCTGGTGGTTCTTTCTAACACTTTTGGAGAGAAGAAAGCTATACATGAAATTACAATTACACATGTAAATTTCTTACATGCACGCACTGACCAGTGCTCAGACCTCCAGAGCTCTATGTCTTTCTCCCTTCCTACTCTGTCCTGTGAATTCCAATCTGCTCAGATTCCCAGCTCAGTCCTCTCAATTCTAGGAGCCTTGGATCCTATCTGGCTTCCTCCTTCCTGCATGAGGCCTGGAAACTCCGGGCAGTCAGCAGGTCAATCACAGGGCTCATATCTTTTATTTTTTATCTTTCAGGGATGACTGTCTTTGTTGTCTGATGTCCAACATCTTCCAAGCCTTTGTTATCTGTATTTTTGTAACCACAGGACCAGTTCTAATGCCCTATGTGGTCTCCCAACTGCAGGGACATTTCTAGCTAGCCCTATTGTGTTGATAACAGGTTGTCAAGTTACTTTACAAGCACAGAGTCAAGAAAGTGCACATCATGCAGCCAGAGTGCGGGCAGAAAAGGAGACTTCAACCTCAACACCCAGAACTAAAGCCTGGCCACACTCCCTAGAAACCATAGATCAGGACATAGTTGGAACCCCAACATGGAAAGCTTTGAAAAGCGAGCGGTCCATCAGAGCCCAGGAATGTCTGGTGATAAGACCTCTCCTCGTGCCTTCCCATAAATAGTCTTGTTTGAAGTCTTTCCAATCAAAACCTGCCCTGCCAGTGCTTCTGCATACCAACCTGTCCTCTGTAGTCCACGAAAGCTGCCCCAAACCACAAACTGGGGAGACCAACTTGAGCCCATCTACTATCTCCTTGCTCAGCTGCCTTCCGATAAACCTTTCTCTCTAAAAAATCTGATGCTTTGGTGCTGGGCTTTCCATTGCAAATGAGCAAATGGAGCCCGTTCAGTTCTGCAATATTTTGAATATTTTGTCTCTTTTTTGTTTGTTTGTTTGTTTGTTTGTTTACATTGTTTCTGGAGGGAGGGTAATCTAGTCCCTGTTATTCCATTTTGGAAGCATAAGTCTCCACTGGTTGATGTTAACCAAGCCAACTAAATTTGCTAGAAAATGATTCCAAGTACAAATGAGTAGTCCTATCGGTCATGGAGGCCCCCTGTGCTGGAAAACACTGCCTCCAAGAGGGCTTCCTTCTGCTTAGTCTCCAGCCACTGCCCCCTTGAAGTTCAATTTCAAGGTCTCAGTGATGTCAGTGTTCCAAACTCAGAAATGAATCTACTGAGTAGCCAGCCATAGCTACCACTAGTTTGGCTTGATTCTATGCCTGGTCTTAGAGTGTTCACATGTATTAGCTCATTGTTTTAGTCTGTTTTATGTTGCTATAAAGGAATACCTGAGACTTGGTGATTTGTAAAGAAAAGAGGTTTATTTGGCAGATGGTTCTGCAGGCTGTACAAGCATGGCATCAGCATCTGCTTGGCTTCTGGTGTGGCTTCAGGAAGCTTTTACTCATAGTGGAAAGTGAAGGGGAGCAGGAGTGTCACATGGCAAGAGAGAGAGCAAAAAAGAGAAAGGAGGTGCTAAGCTCCTTTAAACCACCAGCCCTCACGTGAACTAATAGAGAACCCACTCATCACCAAGAGGATGGCACCAAGCCATTCTTGAGGGATCCGCCCCCATGACCCAACATCTCCCACCAGGCCCCACGTCCAGCATTGGAGATCACATTTCAACATGAGAGCTGCAGGGACAAATATCCAAACTATATCACTCATGAACTCTCACAATATCCTCAAGATGCAGATACTGTTATGTATTTATTTTCAACTGAGAACACTGAGCCTCAGAGGGGCTAAGTAACATGATGGAGGTTACATGGCTAGCAACCCCAGATCTGCCACTTCCTAGCTATGTGCCCTTCACTGCAACAAGGTGTGCATGTCATAGGGTTGTGAGGACAAGGTTAATTCAGTGCTTAACTCATAGTTGGTGCTCAGTAAATGCTAGTTATATCATTACTGCATGTGGCTGCAAGATCAAGTCCATTAGGTAGACTGTTAGAGCAGGGGACTTTTGGACTATCTGTGCCAAGGAGTCCTAATGAGACTTGCAGCCTGGGAAGGTCATTTTCCTCTGGGAACCTTCCACTGGGCTCTAAAGACCACCTTCGGTTTGCACCCTTTCACTCCCTCCTCACCCTCATGCTCCTAAGAGCTCACCCTCCCAGCCTCAGCCCAGAGCCCAGAGTGTGCTACTCCCCATCACCTCAGTCCACTGCTCCTGGGCCTGACAACCTTGGCCTCACCTTCTGGAACAGCTGCCTCCCAGGGCTTCCACCTCTTTGTATCTGTTCCCTGCTTAACCTCCCTCCGGCAGAGTTCCAGTCTCAGGCATCCTTGCCGTCCAGCTCCCAGCATGCCACGGTAGCCTTAATAACAGCTTCATTGAATGAGTAATTGGGAACATGTGTACTGAGAAGTCAAGCCCTCCCGCCACTGAGGACAGTTCAACCCTCATGCACTCTGAGACACCCATTTCCCTGAGACCCCACCTCCCTGAGGGCCCCGACCTCTGCAGCCAGAGCACTTGACAGCATAGCCTGAGAGTGGGCACCATGTGCTTCTCTGGACACCATGCTGTGACAGCATAGCCTGAGAGTGGGCACTGTGTGCTTCTCTGGACACCACGCTGTGACAGCATAGCCTGAGAGTGGGCACCGTGTGCTTCTCTGGACACCACGCTGTGACAGCATAGCCTGAGAGTGGGCACCATGTGCTTCTCTGGACACCATGCTGTGACAGCATAGCCTGAGAGTGGGCACCGTGTGCTTCTCTGGACACCACGCTGTGACAGCATAGCCTGAGAGTGGGCACCGTGTGCTTCTCTGGACACCATGCTGTGCACACTGTAGGCACTAAAGAAGCATATGCTGAAGGGATTGGAATGAAATTGGATCATAGAGAGCATAGGCTTCCTTAAGCCTCTGGTAGGAGCCATTAATTGCTAGGACTCTGGCCGTGGGCTGTCGTGTTCTAGGAGGAGGTTGCTGAGCGGTGCCAGATATGCAAGGAGCTTGACCCTGGAGTAAGGGCAGGGCAGGGAGGGGACCCAGTGGAAAGAAAGAAAAATGCCATGGCATAGTTCCCACTTACCCAGTGGCCTACACTTCTCGCTCTTCAAACTCCTCTAGGATCTGTCTTGACTTCACCAGCAGCTGTGGCATGACCTGTCCATTACCCGTTAACAGATCCGAGATTGTTAATGTCAATTACCCATTAACAATTACTCATTAGCCCAAACTATTAATGGGTTGGGAGCACATGTGCTTGGAGCCCAGTGGCCTGGAAGGGCACTCAGTCCATGCAGGAGCAGCATCACCACCTCAGACCACTCACCCAAGCTTCAGAGGCCCCGTCTGTTAGCCACTTTGAGGGGACAAGGAGACATGTCTGAGGGTGGGGGTTGTGGGCTGGCCTTCCTGATGTGGTTTGGCTGTGTCCTCATCCAAATCTCATCTTGAATTGTATGTAGTTCCCATAATCCCCACATGTTGTGGGAGGGACCGGGTGGAGATAGCAGAATTATGGGGGCAGTTTCCCCCATACTGTTCCCGTGATAGTGAGTGAGTTTTATAAGGGGCTTCTGAGATCTGATGGTTTTATAAGGGTCTTCCCCCTTTTGCTTGGTTCTCATTCTCTCTTCTGCCGTCCTGTAAAGAGGTGCCTTCCGCTGCAATTGTAAGTTTCCTGAGGCCTCCCCAGCCATGCAGATCTGTAAGTCAATTAAACCTCTTTCCTTTGTAAATTACCCAGTCTCTGGCAGATGCTTATAATAGTATGAAAACAAACTAATACTCCCCCCAACGCTGAAAGCTCATGCTCAGACACCCCTGCCACCACTTCTAGGCACTTGTAGACCTCTACTCAGCATCCGTCCTGCGACAGTGACTGTGCTGTGGGTGGACATGTCCCTGCGCCTGGGGCCACTTTTTGCAGGGTGTCTGCTGTGTTGATGCATGGGCTGGGGTGGTCAGACATTTGCTTGTGAGGCCCTTTGTGGTATAGGACATGGTGCAGACTGGTGTAGGCCATGGCTGAGGGCTGGAGCCAGCTTGTCCCACCCCACTAGGTTCCTGCAAGGAAATCCAAGGAGTCCAAGAACTCCAAGATTTGACTTGGCCTTCTAGGCCAGATGATGGCATATTTGTCAAGGTGGTAGGAGAGGAACATATTTCAATAACTTGTTAGCTAGATAGAACACTTCAATGTCTAGACCTAGGGTGTGTGGGCCTGGGCCCCACAAACATTAGGAAAGGGGCTGAATAACTGTGTGACTGCCAGCTAGGTAAATAGTAACCTGGGCAGGCAAGTTACTGCTTCTTCCTGCACCTCAGCAGCCTCTTCTGTGAGTGGGGCTTGTTGAAAGGATTGAGTTTATCTTTATGAAGTGCTTAGCACAGCTCCTGTCACACAGTAGGTGACTGATGAATGTTTATTATTGTTATCACAGTGGATGCTGAGATCAGACCAACACCAAACTTCTAGGGACTCCACTGGTGGATATGGGACTCTGGCTTCTGAGTCTACCTCACTGCGAGCCCATGTTCCCAGAAAAGTCCTGCATGTGGGAGAGATGAGAGGTGGCCACCACAAGGAGGTAGACTGGAAACCCTCTAGGACAGTGAGGACAATACAGAATAGTAGATTTGGTAGGAATATTTATTTCCCGTCTCTATCCCTCATGACGTGATGATTCAGGGGCTTGCCTCTCTGCAAAATGGCAGTCTTGGTGATCCAGTGGTCCCAGCACACTGCTCAGCAGCACTCCCACCTCTGCCACTGACAGCCTCTGCCACCTGGGGAGCTAGGAGGTAATGAAAATGGGAGGCACCAGTTCCCCTGGGACAGGACAGTCCTGCCCAGGCTTGAGGCTAATACAATGCTTTACAGCCTCTGAAGGAGATACTAGCAGAAGGTGTTTTTTACCAATAAATTACAGTCATGCCTCATTAGTAGCCATAGTTCAGTTTTATAAAATCACCTCAACCGCTGAATTAACAAATACAGAGCCATCGCTCCTAGGAAAAATTCAGAGGTAGGTTCCTGCAAGCCTCTGGTCACATTTTTGTCAACTTATCAACACAAAATCTTGTTTTATGTGCATTTCTGTTGAAACACACCTTATTTACTATGTATTGTTGATGTACTAACATTGAACACAATAGCCAACAATACTATAAATCATGCCTGAATGAAGTTTACTTAAGACATGTATTTTGGGGGACCTGGCAAGATGGCCAAATAAGAACAGCTCTGGTCTGCAGCTCCCAGTGAGACCATCGCAGAAGGTGGGTGATTTCTGCATTTCCAACTGAGGTACTGTGTTCATCTCACTGGGATTGGATAGGCAGTGGGTGCAGCCCATGGAGGGTGAGCTGAAGCAGGGTGGGGCTTCGCCTCACCCAGGAAGTGCAAAGAGCCAGGGGTTTCCCTTTCCCAGCCAAGGGAAGCCGTGAGGGACTGTGCTATCCAGCCTAGATACTACACTTTTGCAATCCACAGACCAGGAGATTCCCCCTTGTGCCTGCACCACCAGGGCCCTTGGTTTCAAGCACAAAAACTGGGCAGCTGTTCAGCAGACACCGAGCTAGTTGCAGGAGTTTTTTCTTTCAAACCCAGTGGCACCTGTAACCCCAACAAGACAGAACTGTTCAATCCCCTGGAAAGGGGGCTGAAGCCAGGGAGCCAAGTGGTCTCACTCAGCAGGTCCCCCTCCCATGGAACCCAGCAAGCTAAGAACCACTGGCTTGAAATTCTCACTGCCAGCCCAGCAGTCTGAACTCAACCTGGGACTGTTGAGCTTGGTGGGGGCAGGGGCATCTGCCATTACAGAGGCTTGAGTAGGCGGTTTTCCCCTGTCAGCACTAAGGAGGCCTGGAGTTCAGATTGGGCGGAACTCAACCCAGTGCAGCAAAGCAGCTGTGGCCAGGCTGCCTCTCTAGATTCCTCTTCACTGGGCAGAGCGTCTCTGAAAGAAAGGCAGCAGTGCCAGTCAGGGGCTTATAGATAAAACTCCCATCTCACTGGGACAGAACACCTGGGGGAAGGGGTGGCAGTGGGTGCAGCTTTGGCAGACTTCAACATTCCTGCCTTCTTGCTCTGAAGAGAGTAGCAGATCCTGACAAGGTGGGCTCTCCCAGCACAGTGCTCAAGTTCTGCTAAGGGACAGACTGCCTTCTCAAGTGGGCCCCTGATACCCATGCCTCCTGACTGGGAGAGACCTCCCAACAGGGGTTGACAGACACCTCATACTGCAGAGCTCCAGATGGCATCAGGCCAGTGTCCCTCTGGGATGAAGCTTCCAGAGGAAAAAGCAGGCAGCAATCTTTGCTGTTCTGCAGCCTCCACCGGTGATACCAGGCAAATAGGGTCTGGAGTGGATCTCCAGCAAACTGCAGCAGACCTGCAGAAGAGAGGCCTTACTGTTAGAAGAAAAACTAACAAACAGAAAGCAATAACAACATCAACAAAAAGGAACCTCACCTAGAAACCCTATCCACAGGTTATCAGCCTCAAAGATCAAAGGTAGATAAATCCATGAAGATGAGGAAAAACCAGCACAAAAATGCTGAAAATTCCAAAAACCAGAATGCCTCTTCTCCTGCAAATGATCACAACTCCTCTCCAGCAAGAACACAGAACTGGACAGAGAATGGTTTGATGAATTGAGAGAAGTAGACCGTGGGTAATAACAAACTCCTCTGAGATAAAGAAGCATGTTCTAACTCAATGCAAGGAAGCTAAGAACCTTGACAAAATGTTGCAGGAACTACTAACTAGAATAACCAGTTTAGAGATGAACATAAATGACCTAATGGAGCTGAAAAACGCAGCACAAGATGTTTGTGAAGTATACACAACTATCAATAGTGACATCGATCAAGCGAAAGAAAGGATATCAGAGATTGAAAATCAACTTACTGAAATAAGGTGTAAAGATGAGATTAGACAAAAAAAATTGAAAAGGAATGAACAAAGCCTCCAAAAAATATGGGACTATGTGAGAAGACCAAACCTATGCTTGATTGGGGTCCCTGAAAGTGATGGGGAGAATGGAACCAAGTTGGAAAACACTCTTCGGGATATTATCCAGGAGAATGTCCCAAACCTAGCAAGACAGACCAACATTCAAATTCAGGAAATACAGAGAACACCACTAAGTTACTCCTTTAGAAGAGCAAACTCAAGACACATAATCATCAGATTCTCCAATGTTGAAGTGAAGGAAAAAATGTTAAGAGCAGCCAGAGAGAAAGGTCAGGTTACCTACAAAGGGAAGCCCATCAGACTAATAGCAGATCTCTCTGCAGAAAACCTACAAGCCAGAAGAGAGTGGGGGCCAATATTCAACATTCTTAAAGAAAAGAATTTTCAACCCAGAATTTCATATCCAGCCAAACTAAGTTTCATAAGTGAAGGATAAATAAAATCCTTTACAGACAAGCAAATGCTGAGGGATTTTGTCACCACCAGGCCTGCCTTACAAGAACTCCTGAAGGAAGCACTAAATACGGAAAGGAAAAACCAGTACCAGCCAGTGAAAAAACATGCCAAATTGTAAAGACCAACGATACTTGAAGAAACTGCATCAACTAATGTGCAAAATAACCAGCCAGCATCATGATGACAGGATCAAATTCACACATAACAATATTAACCTTAAATGTAAATAGGATAAATGCCCCAATTACAAGACACAGACTGGCAAATTGGATAAAGAGTCAAGACCCATCGGTGTGCTGTATTCAGGAGACCCATCTCACATGCAAAGACACATATAGGCTCAAAATAAAGGGATGGAGAAATATTTACCAAGCAAATGGAAAGAAAAAAAAAAAAGCAAGGGTTGCAATCCTAGTCTCTGATAAAACAGACTTTAAACCAACAAAGATCAAAAAAGACAAAGAAGGGCATTACATAATGGTAAAGGGATCAATGCAACAAGAAGAGCTAACTATCCTAAATATATATGCACCCAATACAGGAGCACCCAGATTCATAAAACAAGTTCTTAGAGACCTACAAAGAGATTTAGACTCACACCCAATAGTAGTGGGAGACTTTAACACCCCACTCTCAATATTAGACAGATCAACAAGACAGAAATTAACAAGGATATTCAGGACTTGAGCTCAGCTCTGGACCAAGCGGACATAATAGACATCTACAGAACTCTCCACCCCAAATCAACACAATATACATTCTTCTCAGCACCACATCACACTTATTCTAAAATTGACCACATAATTGGAAGTAAAACACTCCTCAACAAATGCAAAAGAATGGGAATCAAAACAAACAACCTCTCAGACCACAGTGCAGTCAAATTAGAACTCAGGATTAAGAAACTCACTCAAAACCTCACAACTACATGGAAACTGAACAACTTGCTCCTGAATGACTACTGGGTAAATAACAAAATTAAGGCGGAAATAACCAAGTTCTTTGAAACCAAGGAGAACAAAAAGAAAACATATCAGAATCTCAGGGACACAGCTAAAGAAGTGTTTAGAGGGAAATTTATAGCACTAAATGCCCACATCAGAAAGTGGGAAAGATCTAAAATTGACACTCTAACATAACAATTAAAAGAACTAGAGAAGAAAGAGCAAACAAATTCAAGAGCTAGCAGAGGCCAAGTAATAACTAAGATCAGAACAGAACTGAAGGAGATAGAGACACAAAAATACCCTTCATAAAATCAATGAATCCAGGAGCTGGTTTTTTGAAAAGATTAACAAAATAGATAGACCACTAGCCAGACTAATGAAGAAGAAAAGAGAGAAGAATCTAATAGACACAATAAAAAATGATAAAGGGGATATCACCACTGATCCCACAGAAATACAAACTACCATCAGGTAATACTCTAAACACCTCTATGCAAATAAACTAGAAAATATAGAAGAAATGGATAAATTCCTAGACACATACACCCTCTCAAGACTAAACGAGGAAGTTGAATCTCTGAACAGACCAATAAGAAGTTCGGAAATGAGGCAATAATTAATAACCTACCAACTAAGGAAAGCCCAAGACCAGACAGATTCACAGCCAAATTCCACCAGAGGTACAAAGAGGAGCTGATACCTTTCCTTCTGAAACTATTCCAAACAATAGAAAAAGAGGGACTTCTCTCTAACTCATTTTATGAGGCCAGCATCATCCTGATTCCAAAACCTAGCAGAGACACAACAACAACAAAAATTTCA